>NC_000021.9:33644800-33954754 GCF_000001405.40 Homo sapiens | reverse complement strand
ACATGTTGAAGCCCTAACCCCCAATATATTGTATTTGAAAATGGGGCTTTGGGGAAGTAATTAAGGTTACATGAGGCCATGAAGGTGGGCCTTTCATGATGGAATTAGTGCCCTTATAAGAAGAGACACCAGGGAGCTTGCTCACTTGCTATCTCTTGCGACACACCCACAAAGAAGAGATCATGTGAACACATAGCAAGATGGTGCCCACCTAGAAGAATAACCATCTCCTACACCAGGAAAAATGCTCACTAGGAACCAAATTGGCTGGTACCTTCATTTTGAACTTCCCAACCACCAGAATTGTGAGAAATCAATTTCTGTTTTTTAAGCTACCCAGTCTATGTTATTTTGTTATGGCAGCCTGAACAGACTAATAAATAGTAGCATCCAAAAAATCACAAACCTAGGTATTAACATAATGGAAGTTGTGTAAGAGCTCTACCATTCAATATTGGAAGATTCAATATTATAAAGATATAAACTCTCTACAATCTGGCATATCTAGAGTTTCTGTGTAATTCTAATAAAAATCCCAGCGGGTTTATTGTGAGCGTGCATGGAAATTGACAAGCTCATTCTAAATTTTATATGAAAATGTTAAGGGGCAAAAAGAACCAAGACAATCTTAAAGAAAAACAAAGTTGGAAGACTTTCCCTATTTGATATCAAGACTCATTATAGAATGAAGTAATGGTATACAGTAAGATAATGTCACAAGGATAAACAAATAGACCATTGGAACAGAATCCAGGATCCAGAAACTGACCTATAGATATACGGTCTCTTGATTTACAGCAATGGTGACAATGTAACACAAGAGAAATAATATTATTTTCAATAAATAGTGTTGGGTCAGTTGGCTATCTAGATGTAAAAAAATTAATACCAACCTCTATATATTTTTTTAAAACTATATATACAAAAAAAGAATTCAAGATGGATTGGATTGTAGCTCTAAATTTGAAAAATATAAAAATAAAGCTTCTAAAAGAAATCACAGGAAAATATATTATTTTGGACTAAGCAATATTTCTTAAGTAGGTCTCACAAAGTAATAACTATAAGGAAAAAATAAGAGACTTGAACTTTAATAAAATCAAGGACATCTGCTTATCAAAAACACCATTAAGAGAACGAGGCCGGGCGTGGTGGCTCATGCCTGTAATCCCAGAACTTTGGGAGGCCGAGGTGAGTGGATCATCTGAGGTCAGGAGTTTAGACCAGTCTGGCCAACATGGTGAAACCCCGTGTCTACTAAAAATACAAAAAATTAGCCAGGCATGGTGGCGGGCGCCTGTAATCCCAGCTACTCAGGAGGCTGAAGCAGGAGAATCGCTTGAACCCAAGAGGCAGTGGTTGCAGTGAGCCGAGATCTCGCCATTGCACTCCAGCCTGGGCAACAGAGTGAGACGCCGTCTCAATAAAGGAAGAAAAAAAAAGAGTGAAAAGGCAAGCTAAAGAATGGGAGAAGATATTTGCAATATATTTATGGTCACCAGGATTTATATTTCAAACAAATCTATAAATCAAGTATAAACTGTAAATCAGTAAGAAAAATACAGATGACCCAATAGAAAAAATGAGCAAAATACTTGAACAAACACTTCATAAAAGCAGGTATCAAATTGCCACAATACATATGAGAAAGTACACTCTCATTCATCATCCTAGAAATGCAAATCCAAGGTCAGGCACAGTGGCTCACACCTGTAATCCCAGCACTTTGGGAGGCCGAGGTGGGCAGATCACAATCTCAATCAAGAGATCGAGACCATCCTGGCCAACATGGTGAAACCCCATCTCTACTAAAAATACAAAAATTAGCTGGGCATGGTAGCACACACCTGTAGTCCCAGCTACTCAGCAGGCTGAGGCAAGAGAACTGCTTGAACCTGGGAGGCGGAGGTTGCAGTGAGCTGAGATCATGCCACTGCACTCCAACCTGGTGACAGAGTGAGACTCCATCTCAAGAAAAAAAAAAAAGAAAGAAAGAAATGCAAATCCAACCAGAGTGATTAAAATAAGCCTGAGGAAAAGACAATACAAATTGAGGATGTGGAGCAATTAGAATGCTCCTACACTGTTGTCATTGCTGTTGGACTTTTTTTTTTTTTTTTTTTTTTGATACATGGTCTCACTTTGTTGCCTAGGCTGGAGTGCATTGGCGCGATCAAAGCTCACTGCAGCCTCCATTTCCTGGACTCAAGTGATCCTCCTATCACAGCTTCCTGAGTAGCTGGAACTACAGGTGCACGCCACCATGCCCAGCTAATATTTTAATTTTTTGTAGCGATGGGGTCTCACTATATTGCCCAGGCTGGTCTCAAACTTCTGGCCTCAAGCAATCCTCCTGCCTTGGCTTCCCAAAGTGTTGGGATTACAGGCATGAGCAATAGTGCCTGGCCCATATGCTGTTATTTAAAATGAACAGCAACTTTGAAAAACTGTTTAGCAGTATTCTCCAAATCTGAGGTTATACATACCTAAATTCAATAATTTTTCTCTTAAATATTTGTTCAACATAAATACCTTATGTGCAACAAAAACTCACATACCAGAATGTTCTAAGCAGCACTATTCACCAATATTCAAAAACTGAGAGTCACACAAATGTCCTGGATGAACTTTCAAACCCAAGTGCCCTGCTTCCCAAAACCAGCGTGTACACCCCCATCCCCAAGGGATACACCACATCAGTCATGTACTTGAAGCTCTGACTTCCAGTTCACTCTTCATTTGGCCCCTACAGATTTGCTTTACTTTCTTATGAGCTCAGTTTTGCACTGAAGAGGCTGCATGTGACTGTTCATTCAGAACGTCAGGAGGTTTTGCAGCAGAAGTATTACAAGATTACATAGTTCCTGATATGCCTCATCATCTTTCCATGGCCCTGTCTAGCTGTGAAGATTCTTCCTGGCCCTGGTTTTGCAGACTAAAGATAATATTTTGTTGTAAAGCGGAGAGAGCAGAGAGAAAAAAGGAAGATACTTTCACTTAACACCGAAGGGTCGGGGGAGCATGGTTGGGGTAGTGTCTCTCCCCTAGTTCATCTGCTGAGAGGCTGCAGTGAACCTTGTCCACATCCCACTGGAGAACCAATGCCCTGCCTGGCTGGAAATCAACACCCTGGCTGTCCTAAGGGCTCATCTCTGGTTTGATGAGGTTGACAACTATTTCTAGAGGCTCCCATCACCCAGCTGAGCAGCTGTCCACCTCCCTCAGGTCTCTGGGTGGCACTGGGCAGGGCTGGAATCTAGGCTGCCAGGCACCCCTGACTGAGATGTGCTGAGAGGGTCAAGCCTGGAGAATCCCTCCCACCTTCTGCTTTGCCCCTGGCTCCTGTATGGATGCCCTTCAAGGTCACGCCTCTCTCTGATAGAGGACTCAGTTTAATTACCAGGTGCTGCTTGGACTTCTCGTGTCCTAATTTTCAAATAGCCCACAAGGCCCCAGGCCGCATGTAAACAGGCAGGGAAAATAGTAGCTCCTCCTGAGTGCTGTGCATGGCCCCAGAGGCCGGGATGACCAGTTTTCTGCTGACCACTTCTTTGTGGTTGAGTAAAAAGGCCTTCGCATTTCGGGATAGAACTGAGGTTCCTTAGGATCTACTGTCATCTTCAACCTGTGGCTAAAGAACAAGGGCTGGTGAACAGGGAGATGCTCAGGTCATAACAACAAAAACAGGTGACAGTGATGAAGTATCCTACATGCCAGGCACGGTACACAGGGCTTTACATGGGTTAGGTCATTTAATTCTCAAAACAACCCGAAAGATAGAGATATAGACATACATACATATGTATATATGCGTATATATACACACATATATTATAAATAAATATATATTATAAATTAATGTATAATTATATATTATATATAATCCCATTTGTGATTATTATAATCATATAATTATATATACACATATTATAAATAAATATATAATTATATTTTTTATATATATATATAAAATTCCCATTTTTCTGATGAGCAACTGAGACTGCCAGAGGTATGTGACTTGCTCCAAGTGACACAGTTAAGTGACAAACCCAGGACTGAGCCCCAGAAAATCTGGCTCACATCCTTGACCACGGTTCTAGGTGTGATCTTTTGTCGCTGATCCCAGATTCTACGTCACCTCTAGCACATGTCAGGCACTGCCCCTGGCGGACCCTTTCCACCCTTCCTGCTTTGCTGTCTCAGTGGACCCTTCAGTAGGTGTGTCAGCGGGAGGGGTTCACAGAACACCTCTTTGGCGGGATCTCCAAAAGCCCCTCCTCATTTCCCTCTTCTTGACCACCAACGTGTCCCTCTCCCTGCCCTTTTAGCTGGGGTCTCCTGCGTGCCTGGGCCTTTCTGTCTCCTTCTTATTTACTTTGCCCAGCAACTACTATAACTTCTCACCTGGCTCTGACCCACACAAACCTAGACCAATCCCCCTGTTTCCCTCTCCACCTCCTAAAGAGTGGGGTGCCCAGCTGGACCATAACGACACAGCTGCCTCGGGCTGGGGTTGAGGGGCATCCACTTGGTTCTTCCTTCACTGGGAACGCCAGACCAGGAACGGCCCCAGCTTTCCTTAAGGAGGAATGGTTTCTCTGAGTGGAAATGGTACGCATTCTGCAGGCACTAACCATCTTCAGTGGTTGTGGTTTAAAACTCAGAATGAGAAAGCCACCTTCAAAGAAGCCATGCCACACATTTCCTGTTTAGGAGCTCAGCCTAGACTAGATGAGTGCTCACGCCTATAGTCCCAACACTGGGAGGCTGAGGCGAGTGGATGGTCTTCAGCCCAGGAGTTTGAGACCAGCCTGGGTAACACAGTGAAACCCCATCTCTACCAAAAAAAAAAAAAAAATTAGCCGGGTGTGGTGGGACTCACCTGACTCACCTGTACTCCCAGCTACTCAGAAGGCTGAGGTGGGAGGATCACTTGAGTCCAGGAGACTGAGGCTGCAGTGAGCCATGATCACACTACTGCACTACAGCCTGGGCAAGAGAGTGAGACAGTGTCTCAAAAAAAAAAAGAGCTCAGCCTTGATTGGGCATCAGATTTAGTTCTTGCTTAATGGCCCAGAGCAGCATAAAGCATGAAGCATGACAGACATGTCAAAAGCAGGCCTGGCAGAGTCATCCTCCTGGGCTCCTATGGCATATCCTTCACGCTGGCCAGGCCTCAAATCCAATTCCAGGTCTTGACCACCACCAAAGCCCTGCGGTCAGCCGAAGGTTCCTGCCAGCCAGCTTTGTTCAGTTATCTACTTATTTTTACCCCTAAACCACCCCAAAAAAATAAGCAGACTGACTGTTCAGTTAAGGAGGGACATCAGTCCACTACAAGGCCCTGAAGCCAAGAGCTAATTTTAAGAAAGGAGGGAAACACATATCACAATGTGCCCCAGACCAAACACCACTGGGACAGGAGTGTGAACAGCGCTTAGAACCCAACCCTGGAGGCTCACCTCTGTGCAGCCTTTGGCCATCCATCCGGAGCCCGCCCTGATTCTCCACAGGGAGAGTGGGGAATTACAGTTCCCATCCCTGTTGGGTGGAACCAGATGACATCCTAAAGGCCCTTCCTACTGGGACTCGCTCCATCCTGGTAATACCTGCCATCGAATAAACACCATGGCCAGCCATAGAGACGCATGATCACACTCGGTCATCCCAACAACCCAGCCAGACTGTTCTTGTGAACACCCTTTCCAGAAATGGGGACAGTCTCGTGCCAAGATGCCAAAATGGGTGGGGGGAAGAGAAAGGGTTTGGGTCCAGGTCTGTCTAATTCGAAGGCTGCTTCTGGCACTTCCCCAGCTCACGAAGCCTGCTGCCTCTTGACAGGAAGTAAAAGGCACAGACAGATGGTGCTCTGGTGGAGCCCTGCCCAGAAAATGGCCACTTCCGGAGCAAAACTGCCACAGCAACAGGCCTTGTCAACAGCAGCCTCCAACCGTTAACCACAGGGCCATCTCACCTCTAGAAATCAGCTCCCTTTTATCCACACATCCCTACACACAAACAATAACTCCATCACCCAGGAGACCACAGAACAAAGGCAACGAGAGAGAGGGACAGAATGGGGCATAAATAAGATGCTGGATGGGCAGACAGGAAAAAAACACTTCAAGGCAGAGCACACCAGGATGTATTAGAAAGGAGTATTTGACACGCAGGCTTTTAGATGAAGCCTACCCTCCTTACGTGGGGAGTATACACAAATGAGTCTGTATTTTCAACTACGTCACATGCACCGCCTTGCAACCCAAAACAATATTTGTGCTTCAGGGGCTGCACTGCGCTGTTTTATACACAGAATCACCTGGCACAGCTCCTGTCCCTGAGATGCAAATTAATGTTCTCATGTAGTGGGGGGAAGGGGTCGAGAGGAGGCGAGGGGGAGGGGAGCAAATGTGCTCTGCAGGCCACACTCAGGCATTGACATCGCTGGGCATGATAGGCGCCGCCAGTGCTGTTGCTTAGCAACTCAATACCCTTCGAGAAAATCCAGCAGCCTCGCTGGCTTGCAGAAGCAGGCAGGGCTGGTTCAGCATGGCATTGGGCATGGAAAGATACTAACAGGTTTTTTTTTTCCAGTTATTAATAATCATTCTTCCTGATTTCCCATACAGATCGACATACCTGAGGGGACCCAGAGTCATCCACTACACTGGGGCTGGAAAAAGCCCAGGGTTTTTAAATTGCCTCCCAATCGGCTTCGGAGAGTAGTGGAATTTTACTGGCTGGTCCCATGACACTCCTTCCAGCCCCGGCCCTCACCACAACACAAAGGCAGAGCTCCACAGTGTGACTCACCAGCATACCTTCAGATCGTTGTTTGTCAGCCCATGTCATGAGTCATGGTTTCTTCAGCTTTCTTTTTTCTCAAAACTGAAACACTTGACATTTTACAATAGGGTTGGGGGGAGGCTTTTCATTTTTTTTTTTTAAGCCACTCTGTGGCTTTGTGTGCAAGTGTGGGGGCACGTGGGCAGAGGTGAGTAATGGATGCAAGAACAGGTAAACATGAGCAAGGTTCTCCACGCCATCAGCCACCTGGCAAGCCATCAGAGCTCAAGGAAGTTGTCATTTGTGTCGTGGAGGAATGGGAATACCCCTGGGCTATGTATCTTGGAAGAGACAAGGTGCTGGACAGCTTTCCACCCTCCATCTGTTGCATCCCAGCAGTGTAATGCTCCCTCTATTCCCACACACAAAGAGGTCGGCTTCATTTTGTGCCACGTGATAACAGCACCATGTAAGGCTTTAAGAAAAATCCTGCAGGAGTTACAAGAGACAAAGTACACTGCGACGTAAGATAAGAAAAAAAGAAGTGGAATTGCCACAGGGAAACTGTGCTGGGCCGAACAGTTGGTTGGTGGGTCCCTGGCTTTGGGTTCTGATTCTGACATAAATCGGGTGGGTGATGAGCTTCTTATTTGCATGGCTCATGCAAATATGCCATGATGTTATAAAGCACAACTTTCCTCCTCTCCATGAAGCCCTCAATCTCCAAATTTATTCACTTAGACAGCACAGTCTTTCCCCCAGAGTGTGAACCCCTCAAAGTCGGCACCATTTTATAAATCTCTTTATGGTATCAACCCAGCACATATCCAATACATACTAGATGCTCACTCATGCTGCCTGTGTGTATGGAGACATGGAGAAACAAAAATTAACTAAATCCAATTCACGTTTTGGAATCCTTATTTATTCCCATGCATTACAGGATAGATTCAATATGCCCTGTCAAGTCCCAGGAAAGTAATGAAGACCTAGGAAAGGATACAACAGAAAACGTTCTGAATGTTACACAATTTGAAATGCCATGATGTCATAAAGCATTCTTAGAAAAGGTAATAGTTGGCCGGAGGTGGTGGCTCACTCCTATAATCCCAGCACTTTGGGAGGCCGAGGCGGGCAAATCACCTGAGGTCAGGAATTCGAGACCAGCCTGACCAACAGGGTGAAACTCCGTCTCTACTACAGATACAAAAATTCGCCAGGCATCACCTGTAATCCCAGCTACTCGGGAGGCTGAGGCAGGAGAATTGTTTGAACCCAGCAGGGGGAGGTTGCAGTGAGCTGAGATGGCGCCACTGCACTCCAGCCTGGGTGACAGAGTGAAACTCTGTCTCAAAAAAGAAGAAAGAAAGAGAGAGAGAGAGAGAGAGAGAGAAAGGAAGGAAGGAAGGAAGGAAGGAAAGAAAGAAAGAAAGAAAGAAAAAGAAAGAAAGAAAGAAAGAAAGGAAAGAAAGAAAGAAAGAAAGAGAAAGAAAGAAAAGGTAATAACTATCAAAAGTCTCCCCACAGTCAGGGATGAGGACCAATTCTATACATAAGTAAATTAGGGAAGGGGAAAGTTAGAACTAATAAAAATATTTGCCCTGTCAGATTGGGGTAATGTCTGAAATTTCCACAATATTTGCTTATTTAGATTAAGATATTGAAGACCTGTGTCAAAATGTAAATGTTCTGTAGCCACAGCAATGTATAAATCCATTATTAACCTCAGGTGCATTTGCTAAATTTATTAAATCCATTCCCAGAGTGTAAGAGACCTAGGGATTGAGACTTGAAGCATGTAATTGTGTTTTTACATTATGGAAATGTCCAAACATGTACAAACTTGAAGTAATAGTGTAATCAAGCTCTATGTGCTCATCAGCTAGCTTCAACAATTATCATCCTATCACCAGCCCTGTTTTATCTACTTCCTCCCAACACACACACATTGGAGTGTTTTGAAACAAATCTAAAACCTCATAGCATTTCATTCATACATATTACAGTATATAACTCTAAAATATAAAGACTTTTTTTTTTTTTTTTTTTTTTTTTTTAGAGACAGGTACTCACTATGTTGTTCAGGCTGGTCTCAAACTCCTGGCCTCAGGCAATCCTCTCATGTAGCTGGAATTACAGTCCTGAGCCACCGCACCCAGCTAAAAACATAAAGACTTTTTAAAAACATAACCACAATACCAGTATCACACCTGAAAAAAAACCCCAACAATTTCTTTTTTTTTTTTTTTTTTCTATTTTTTTGACATGGAGTCTCGCTCTGTTGCCCAGGCTGGAGTGCAATGGCATGATCTTGGCTCACTGCAACCTCCACCTCCTGGGTTCGAGCAGTTCTCCTGCCTTAGCCTCCCAAATAGCTGGGACTACAGGCATGCACCAAAATGCCCAGCTAATTTTTGTTATTTTTAGTAGAGACAGGGTTTCACCCTGTTGGCCAGGCTGGTCTCAAACTCCTGACCTCAGGTGATCCACCTGCCTTGGCCTCCCAAAGTGCTGGGATTACAGGTGTGAGCCACCACACCTGGCCAACAATTTCTTAATATCAGTAAATATCTGGTCAGTACTCAATATTCAAATATCCCTGTTAAAACAATTCAGGGGTTCTTTTTGAATTAATGAACTTGAATTATTAGAGCAGTTTTAGGTTCACAGCAAAATTGAGCAGAAAGTACACTTCCCATATGCCCACTGCACCCAGACATGCACCACCTCCCCCACTATGGACGTCCCCCACCAGAGGATGATCTTTGTCACAATCAGTGAACCTACACTGATACATCATTATCACCCAATGTCTGTAGTTTACATTGGAGTTCATTCTCGGTGTTGTATACTCTTTGGTTTGGACAAATGTATCATGATATGGATCCACCATTACAGAACCATAAAGAACAGTTTGACGTCCCTACAAATCCTCCGTGCTCTGCCTGTTGATCCTGCCCTCCCTCCAACCCCTGTCAACCACTATCTCCACCGTTTTGCCTTTTTCAAAATATCATATAGTTGGAATCATACGTAGCCTTTTCAGATTGGTTTCTTTCACTTCATAATCGCATTTAAATTTCCTCCATGTCTTTTCATGGCTTGACAGCTCATTTCCTTTTAGTACTGAATAATATTCCACTGTCTGGATGTACCACAGTGTGTTTTTCCATTCGCCTACTGGAGGACATCTTGGTTGCTTCCAAGTTTTGACAACTATGAATAAAGCAGTTATAAAATCCTGTGTAGGTTTCTGTGTGGATATGTTTTCAGCTCATTTGGGTAAATATCAAGGAGTATAATTGCTGGATCATGTGGTAAGAGTATGTTAGTTTTGTAAGAAACTGCCAAAGTGTCTTCCAAAGTGTCTGTATCATTTTGCATTCTCAGCAGCAAAGAATGAGAGTTCTTGTTGTTCCACTTTCTCGTCAGCATTTGGTGCTGTCAGTGTTTGGATTTTGGCCCTTGTAATAGGTATGTAGTTGTATCTTTTGTCATTTTTATTTGCAATTCCCTAACAATAAATGATGTTGAACATCTTTTCATATGCTTATTTGGTATCCATATATCTTCTTTGGTGAGGTGTCTGTTCAGGTCTTTTGCCCATTTTTTAATTGAACTGCTCCTTTTCATTTTTTCTTTTTCTTTTTGTTTTTTTTTTTTGAGACAGGGTCTTGCTCTATTGCCCAGGCTGGAGTGCAGTGGTGTGATGTCAGCTCATTGCAACCTCCACCTCCTGGGCCCAAGCAATTCTCCCACCTCAGCCTCCTGAGTAGCTGGGACTACAGGTGCACACAACCACGATTTGGAGTTTTGTTGTTGTTTTTTTATTTTTTATTTTTTTTGGTAGAGGCGGGGTTTTGCCACGTTGCCTAGGCTGGTCTCAAATGCCTGGGCTCAAGTGATCCACCAGCCTTGGCCTCCCAAAGTGATGGGATTACAGGTGTAAGCCACCACACCTGGCCTGGACTGTTCCTTTTCTTATTGTTGAGTTTTAACAGTACAGTTTTGAGGTTAAAGTGGTCATATACAGAACATGGCCAGGGCTGGTCCTAAGAGTATGCACACGGAAAGACAAGATGTGAATTTCACCTGTTTCACTGTTTTGTATTCCGTTTCACGGTTGTTGAGAGCAATCCATGCATGAAGTAGGACATAGATGTGGAATTCAATTTCTCTTCCTATCAGCCAATGATGCACACCAGCTTCCCCCAGTTGTTATAAAACAACAAAGAGCTGGGTTTTCTTAACCTGGCAGTAGCAGGACTTGATTATTTAATCCCATTGTCAGCTCTACCTAATCATGGATAAGCTAGATATCCTTGTCTGATCCTCAGTTTCCTTGTAAGATAGAGGTAATAATAGGACCTACCTCATACAATTCTTAAGAGAATTAAAGAGGATAATGAATGTAAAGCACTTAGGAAAGCTCTTGGCATGGTACACTCATAATGAAGATGAACTATTGTATTGTTACTTCCCAGTCTCCCTGGAAACCAAAGCTGTGGGCAAGCTGACGCTTGATGAAGCTCCTAATGGCCAATCATGGCCTCTCCTCTGCTTTACAAAACACTGAATCTGAAATGTTTCAAGCTAGTGTTCTCGATAGGTTTCAGACCACCTGCATTCAAATCATAGCAAGCAATTATTTAAAATGTGGATCACTGGCCAGGGGTGGTGGCTCATGCCTGTAATCCCAGCACTTTGGGAGGCCAAAGCAGGTGAATCATTTGAGGTCAGGAGTTCAAGACTAGCTTGGCCAACATGGTGAGACCCTGTCTTTACCAAAAATGCAAAAATTAGCCAGGTGTGGTGGTGCACACCTGTAATCCCAGCTACTCCAGAGGCTGAGGCAGGAGAATTGCTTGAATCCGGGAGACAGAGGTTACAGTGAGCCGAGATCATGTCACTGCACTCCAGCTTAGGCGACTCCATCTAAAAAAAAAATGGGATTAGTAAGGCCTGGGCAATTCTTAAGAACACTGACATTTGAAAACTTCGGCCTTAAGCTTGCCTTACTGGTCGTGGAATGACTTACCCAACCAGAGAGAAACCGTGGTGCCCAAAAGTGAAGATTAGCAGAGGGGACCCGGGACCTGGGATCATGAGGCTAGCAGTGGACCCTGGCCACTTGTGGAATGGAATTAACAAGAACTCCCTCATGGGGCCACAGCTACATATATTCCATTAATTGATTAATGTACAATGTCACTTGTGTTATTATTTCAATTCCAAGAACCTAAATATAGAATTCCTACTTGGTGCTTCCAAAAGAAGACCATGTGGCCTAGTGATTTCCATAACAAAGGACATCACTCATGAGAGTCTCACCCATTCATTCATTACCAAATATTTATTGAGTGTCTATTCTTTGCCAGGCACCATGCTGGCAACAAAACAGGGAACAAAGTAGCCACATCCCCTACCCTCTTGAGTAGAGGGCTCTGAAATATTCACAAAGAAGGGATGGGAGAAATGTAAAACAAAGCTTACAAAATCCAAAAACTAGAAAAGGACCTTCATGGGTACAAGCTCCAATTCCTTCAATAGAACTGGTGAGGAGACACAGAGAAGGAGATGAAGCAACTCCACGCCCAACTCAAGTCGGCAGCTAGGAAGGCACCTTGCCCCTTAGTTCTCAGAACTCTTCTTACCCTGTTTGTTTTGCAAAGAAGCAAAACAAATAGGGAGTTGCTCTTTCTCTGTGTCATTGGAATGCTCTCTCGAGTTGACAGCAGCAAAATTGTTCCCACTTAATGCAGTCCTATTAAATTTTAATTTTTATCTTAATTTAAAAGCATGATATAAAACAGTATACAGAGTGGAATCTCATTTTTGTAAAGAATATATATGTGGTGTTTGTGTGTGCATAGAAAAATGGCTGTAAAAATGAAAGATTATCAATAGACAGCCCCTAGGGGCTAGGATTATGGGAGCTTTCAATTTTCTTCTTTATTTTCTTGGAACTTTCTCTGAATTTTCTAAATCTCCAAGAACACAAATTACAGTACTTCTATAAGAAATTAAAAGGTTGTTTCAAAAATAATGTTTGCTTTTTTCTTTTGAAGTCAGTGTGTTTTGCTTTTTTGACAGTAAATCCAATCTCATAGGAGGTTTCGAGAATCTTCTTGTCCAGATTACACCCAAAAGTTAAACTCATGAGAGACGCAGCATAAAACAGTGACCTGTTGCCAGAACTCCTCTAAGATTTTTTCTTTTTTCTTTTTTTGAGATGGAGTCTCACTCTGTCACCAGGCTGGAGTGCTGTGGCATGATCTCGACTCACTGCAACCTCCAACTCCATGGTTCAAGCCATTCTCCTGTCTCAGCCACCCAAGTAGCTGGGACTACACGCGCATGCCACCACGCCCAGCTAATTTTTTGTTTTTTTTTTTTTGTATTTTTAGTAGAGACAGGGTTTCGCCATGTTGGCCAGGATGGTCTCGATCTCCTGACCTCGTGATCCGCCCACCTCAGCCTCCCAAAGTGCTGGGATTACAGGCATGAGCCACCGCAACCGGCCTCCTCCAAGATATTCTTAGGTGTACCAGGTGAAGACTAGCTGTGGTTGTGAATGAAATCAACTAATCTACAAATATTTCCAGACCCCTAACAAGTACAAGGAATTGCACTGTGCCCTGTGTCAGGAGGTCAAAGGCATGATCCTGGTCTCCGAGAAACTTGCAATCTAGCTGAGCCACAAAGACATAAACATATGCAAAGTGGATTAACAACATGTGCCCAGAAGCGTGATATTGGGACACACGCCATGTGCTGCAGTGGCAAAGGGAGTTTGTTTAGGAAGCCATGAGAGCCAAGAAGTGGACAGAAGGTGAAGGAGGCTCCCGGGGTCTGGGCCTGAAGGCAGTGGGGAGCCACTGTGGGTTTTTTCAGCAGGGCAGTGACGTGATGAGATCTGTATTTCGGGAAGATTAGGTCAGTGGAATGTACAATCCTACTGGAGCAGGAAGAGACTAAAGAGAGAGGAAAACAATTGCAATAAAGGCCCAGTGGAAAGAACACTGGGTGTCAGGTGTGGCTCAGACACCAGGCAGGCCACTCCAAACATGCCACTTCTTCTGCCTGGCACCAGCTGCCTCCCCTGACAAGCGAGAGAGTTAGGCTACAATCTTTAAGGTCCTTGTCAGCTGCTAAAATTCTTTAGTTCCACGATCCAGGTAGGAGTGCTAAAGGCCCGAACCAGTGTGCTGACAATGATGAGGGCAGAAAGGATTTTATTCTAGCAAATGCCTCACGGCAGAAGCTACTAAATCATCTTCAACACAGGCACCCACACAATGAAGTCATGTTTTTTTCTCTTACTCTTATTTTAACCCCACGGGAGGCTTATGCAGCGTTTTCTTTTTACTTTTTTTTTTTTTAATTGAGATGTAGTTTACACACTATAAAATTTCTCTCTGAAACTATACAATTTAGTGTTTTTAGTATAGTCACAAAGTTGTGCAACCATCACCGTTAATTCCAGAATATTCATCACCCCAAAAAGAAATCAACTAACTAAAGCTAATGCCTTACCCGTTAGCAGTCACTTCCCTTTTCCCTTCCCCGGACCCTGGAAACCACTCATCTGCTTTCTGTCTCTACGGGTTTGTTTTTCTGCTGACACGTCATATAAATGGAATCATACAAGTAGACTTTTGTGTCATCTGGCTTCTCTCACTCAGCATCATCTTTTCTTTTCTTTTTGAGCCATAGTTTTGCTCTCGTCACCCAGGCTGCAGTGCCATGTCACGATCTCGGCTCACTGCAACCTCCGCCTCCTGGGTTCAAGTGATTCTCCTGCCTCGGCCTCCTGAAGTAGCTGGGATCACAGGCGCCTGCCACCGTGGTCAGCTAATTTTTTTTTTTTTTTTTTTTTTTGTATCTTTAGTAGAGACAGGGTTTCACCATGTTGGCCGGGCTGGTCTTGAACTCCTGATCTCAGGTGATCCACCCACCTTGGCCTCCCAAAGTGCTGGGCTTACAGGCGTGAGCCACTGCGCCCGGCCAGCATCATCTTTTCAGGGTGGTAGCATGTGTCAGTACTTCATTCCTTTTTATGGCTGAATAATATTCCATTGTATGGATATGCCAGATATTGTTTACTCATGCATCCATTGATAAATATGTGAGTGGTTTCCACTTTTTTTCCAGTGCAGTGAATCTTATTCTCTGGTTTACCAGCAGAAAGCTGTCACATGAGCTTCCATTATTTGAATTGTTTAAAAAGTGGAACTTGGGGGTGAAGGGGAGTGTGATCACTTCTGGACAGAACAATCGTGTCTTCATCTGCATCAATATTCATTCTGGTAAGTCTTACCAGAGATACTACTGGGGGAACTGAAACATTTGTACCTCCAAAAGAGTGTGTGACTTTAAGTGAAAATTGCTGAGCACCAAAGCCCATTCCATGGATTTTAAAATGCCACGGGATTAGGGGTAATCTTTAGCTTTTATGTTCTGCCAGTGAGAGGGCATTGAGTTTGTAGATTCCCAGGCATGACTGAAGCCAAGTCTCAGCTTATGTGGAACTCGCTTTTCATTCTGTAAACAACATACTCAGGCCTGTGCGTATCAGAGTTTCAGCTTTACTTCTTTTCCCACAGTCCAAGCTGTTGATTTCCTCACTGTATTTTTATGAGTTAGAAAAACATGAAATATCACAGAACTGTGATTACAACATGACTCTAGATGTCCTTGTCTTTTCCTAAATCACACTAAGTTAAGAATAAGGCCAATAAAACAATTATCCAGTTGACATGAGACCTCTGAGTTCAGACTTTTCTAAATGGGAGAGGAGGGGGAAAAAATCCAACTCAGCTGTATGTCGTCTTCTTCTAGATGTTTAACACAATTTTTTTTTTTTTGAGATGGAGTCTCGCTCTGTCACCCAAGCCAGAGTGCAGTGGTGTGATCTCAGCTCATTGCAAACTCTTCCCCCCGGGTTCAAGTGATTCTCCTGCCTCAGCCTCCCGAGTAGATGGGATTATAGGTGCAAGCCACCACGCCTGGCTAATTTTTGTATTTTTAGTAGAGACGGGGTTTCGCCATGTTGGCCAGGCTGGTCTCGAACTCCTAACCTCAGGTGATCAACCCACCTTGGCCTCCCAAAGTGCTGGGATTACAGGCATGAGCCACCGCACCTGGACTATAATTTTAAAATTATCACATATGCCAGCAAAAAGAGTAGAAAGTCTTAATTGAAAGCTTTATCACAAAAAAAAAAAATTTACTAAGTACCTACTATGTGCCAGAAAGAGTAATGAGTTCCATGGTGTCTTGTGATGTAATTGAAAAGATTTAACCATTAAAACCGTCAGAATTTGCCAGGGGCTGTGGGGAAGAAGGAATGGAAAGTGACCGCTAATGGGTATGAAGCTTCTTTGGGGGTGAAGAAAATGTTCTAGAACCAGATAGTGGTGATGGTTGCACAACCTTGTGAATATACTGAAAACCACTGAAATGTAAGCTTTAAAAGAGTACAGAAATTTTACGGTATGTACCATACCATAAAATTGAAAATAATTTTGAATAATTTGAAAAGTGAAATAATAATGACACATCATAGTATCATTAAAAGAAAAACTTCAGCCAAATTAAATTTAAAGGAGTTTAATTGAGCAATGAACAATGCACGAATCGGGCAGCCCCCAGGATCACGGCAGATTCAGAGAGACTCCAGGGATGATCGCTTCTCGGCCTTTTGGCTAAGATCAAGTGTGAGACTCCAGGGATGACTCGGGTCTGAACAAATTTATAAAAAAAAAAAAAAAAAAAAAAGGAAGTGACGTACAGAAATCGGAGGTGAGATTCTGAAACAGCTGGATCGGTTACAGCTCGGCGTTTGCCTTATTTGAACAGAGTGTGAACACTCAGCAGTGTATGAGCGGTTGAAGTAAGGCTGCTGGGATTGGCCAAGACTCGGCAATTGTTACAGCTGCATACTCCTCAATTAGGATTTCAATCTTGTCATAATCCTAAATTAGGGTTTCAATCTGTTTCAAAGTTAGGTTGCAGTTCGTCCACAAGGACTCAAATATGGAAGTAGGAAGTCCGGGGCCGGGCACGGTGGCTCATGCCTGTAATCCCAGCACTTTGGGAGGCTAAGGTGGGCAGTTCACTTGAAGTCAGGAGTTTGTGACCAGCCTGGCCAACATGGTGAAACCCTGTCTCTACTAAAAATATAAAAATTCGAAAAATTAGCTTAGCATGGTAGTGGACACCTGTAATCCCAGCTACTCAGGAGGCTGAGGCAGGAGAATCTCTTGAACCCAGGAGGTGAAGGCTGCAGTGAGCCAAGATCGTGCCACTGCACTCCAGCCTGGGCTACAAAGCAAGACTTCATCTCAAAAAAAAAAAAAAAAGAAGAAGTAGGGAGTCCTTTTCAGGCCATATCCATATATAGTTTGCTTTAACAGTATTTTTTAAAGACTTAAAAAACATGCCTGGGGGTGAGGTAGAGGAGAGATTCTCTTTCAAAACAGTTTTGCTACTGAGCAAAAACTAGAGTCAATTTCCCTGTCCTGTTGCCACTATCCAGATTGGCTGCAGTCCTCCCCTAGCTGTTCCCACTACAGGCCTCTGGCATCCCAAAACCCCCAGCTTTGTCTGGTTCAGTGAACACCCCAGTCCACACACTGCAGTGGAACCTCTCTTAACTGCTTTGCCCCCAAGGATGTATGTTTCAAGAGAACGCTGCCTGGCTTACAACGTGATTTGGAAATACGCTGCTGGCTGTGTTTTATGCGTTTTATCAAGTGTTTTTACCTTTGTGCTAGCTGGGACCATGAAGGGCACAGTTTTAGAAGGTTGAAGTTAAATAATGATTTCACACCAGAAAATGTTCAGCAGGGGCCCCCAAGCAGCAAGCTGCCAGGCAATGGTCAATATTCTTGAACCCTGGAGGCAGCCACACAGCCAGAATTTGCACAGTGGCCACTGGTAGAGTTTGGGGTTGGATAATATAGCAGTTAAGCCCAGGGTCTTTGGAGGCAAGCTAACTGATTGGCCATGTAGTCTTGGGCAAGATCATTCACCTCTCTAAACCTCAGTTTCCTCATCTGTAAAATGGGGATGATTTTACCTATAGGCATCCTATAGGTTTGGGGAGGATTACATGAGTAAATGAACATGAAGTGCTTAGACAGTGCTAAGTAGATGCTGCTGTTAGAATTATTATGACTTCCTGAGCTGTTGTTTTCTTACCACCCTTAAAGAAGGAAGGAAGGTGTTTGCCACATCTAACAACCTTCAAGGATGCTGGCAACTTCCCAGCTGGGTCTATTTTGATTGTCATCCCACTTAGACATGTCACATTCTAAACTAAGACATTTCAGCTGAGGGTCATGGGTCCAGGGACATTCTGGGGGAACTCAGTTGAGATTCCAGGGTGAAACCAACAAACCGGGTCTTCACATTCTGCCACTTTTCATTGTCTTTAGGCTTTGAGCAATTTAAGCCCCATTTACAGGTTCTCAGAGACCCGTGCCAGATAGCTCAGAATCACATGAGGAGCTGGTTTAAAATAGGAAATTCCTGGCCCCACCCAGGACTACTTCACAGAGCCTCTTGGGAGAGAATCTGCATTTCAACAGGCTCCTCGTTGCCTCTTCTGTGAGCTGGAGAGTAAGAACTGCAGCACTTGGGCCAAACACAGTGGCTCACGCCTGTAAACCCAGCACTTTGGGAAGTCGAGGTGGGAGAATTGCTTGAGCCCAGGAGTTCAAGACCAGCCTGGACAACATGGCAAGATCCCATCTCTACCAGAAATAAAAAAATTAACTGGATGTGGTGGTGCACACCTATGGTCCCAGATACTCGGGAGGTTGAGGTGGGAGGATCACTTGAGTCCGGGAGGTTGAGGCTGCAGTGAGCTGTGATCGCACCACCGTACTCCAGCCTGGGTGACAGAGCAGACCCTGCCTGGCTCAAAAAAAAAAGGCAAAAAGAACTGTAGCAGTTGAACTTGAGAAACTGACCTCTACAGCCCAAGGGCATAAAACCAAGTGCCAGGCTCACACAAGCACTGAAGACCCTTTTTTTTTCCTTTATGAATACAAAAAAAAGACTAAATAAAATTGAAAAATAAACTTTCAAAGGCTAACCAAAAATCATGAATGAGTAAATGAAGCAGCCACACGTATCTCGTTTCTTCTTTGCTGCTCCTCACCATGTTGTCCCTGAAGGGGAAAGCATTAATATTTATTGAGGGGATTCTTCCTCAGTACAAAAGTAACGTGAGATTAATGCTTAAAACTCCAAAACCACAGAGAAACACTAAAGAAAAGACAAACAGGCTGGGTGTGGTGGCTCATGCCTGTAATCCCAGCACTTTGGAGGCCGAGGCAGGTGGATCACTTAAGGTCAGGAGTTTGAAACCAACCTGACCAACATGGTGAAATCCCATCTTTACTAAAAATACAAAAATTAGCTGGGTGTGGCAGCAGGCACCTGTAATCCCAGCTATTTGGGAGGCTGAGGCAGGAGAATCCCTTGAACCAGGAGGTGGAGGTTGCAGTGAGCCGAGATCGTGCCACTGCACTCTAGCCTGGGCAACACAGCGAGACTCCTCTCAAAAGAAAAGAAAAGAAAGAAAAGAAAAGAAATATGAGAAATAAGGGGGATCATATATAATTGTTAGCTCCAGGGATACTTTAGAATAATGTGTTTAAAACTGTTTTGTCTGGAGACTTAATGTATAGCATGGTGACTATAGTTAATAACAATGTATAGTACACTTGAAATTTGCTAACAGAGAAGAACTTAAGTATTCTCACCATACACACACATCCAAAAGTAACTGTGGGAGGTTATGAATACGTTCATTAACTTGATTGTGGTAAGCATCTTGCAATGTTTATGTATATCAAGTCATTACATTCTGTACCTTAAATATATTCAATTTTACTTGTCAATTATGTCTCAATAAAGCAGGGGGCAATACAATTTTTTTTAATTTAGCATGCAAAAATTTTTTAAAAACATCAAAGCTGAGTCCACAGTGTTGATTTTACTTGTATAAAATATTTCTGCAAAATTTATCCTATCAAGATATTTGGTTCACTCCAGTCCCACCCTAGAAACCTGTCACACTTTCAGTTCAGGACCTACAGACCCATTGCAACCGGCCAGCTGTCTCTGCTCCCATAAGGGGAGGTCCCAAGTCATCAAAGGGGACACTGTCCCTAAGGTCAGCTGTAACCTTCCATTTGGAGTGTCTTCTTTTTATTATGAAACATAACTAAGGCTGGGCATGGTGGCTCACACCTGTAATCCCAGCACTTTGGGAGGCCAATGCGAATGGATCACCTGAGGCCAAGAGTTCGAGACCAGCCTGGCCAACATGGTGAAACCCCCGTCTCTACTAAAAATACAAAAATTAGCTGGGCATGGTGACCATGCCCGTAATCCCAGCTACTCAGGAGGCTGAGGCACCAGAATTGGATGAATCCAGGAGTTGGAGGTTGCAGTGAACCAAGATCATGTCACTACACTCCAGCCTGGGCAACAGAGCGAGACTCTGTCTTAAAAAAAAAAAAAAAAAAAGACAAACAGAAATCATTGCTCAGAAGCCAACACTGTCAACAGTTTTTGAGGTTCTTTCTGGCCTTTTATATAATGTGTATAAATACACAATTATTTAACAAAAACCTCATTTATACACAGGCTACTCTTTCTTGAATTTGAGCCTGCTCTTTTAAAAAAAAAAAAACTTAGCAAGGCATTATGAATATTGTCTCAGGTCAACAAATTCTTTTTCACCATAGTTTTAAACAGCAGCATAGCGTTCCACCATAGATATGCTGGGATATTTAATCCCTGTTCAATCACTGAATATTCAAGCTCAACAATTAATTAAAAATAAAATAAGGCCAGGGGTGGTGGCTCAAGCCTGTAATCCCAGCATTTTGGGAGGCCGAGGTGGGTGGATCACCTGAGGTCAGGAATTAGAGACCAGCCTGGCCAACGTGGTGAAATCCTGTCTCTACTAAAAATACAAAAATTAGCTGGTGCGGTGGTGCATGCCTGTAATCCTGGCTACTCAGGAAGCTGAGGCAGGAGAATCGCTTGAACCTGGGAGGCGGAGGTTGCAGTGAGTTGAGATCGTGCCACTGCACCCCAGCTTGGGTGACAGAGTGAGACTCCGTCTCGAA
Source organism: Homo sapiens (assembly GCF_000001405.40). NCBI lineage: Eukaryota > Metazoa > Chordata > Mammalia > Primates > Hominidae > Homo > Homo sapiens. Next base: position 33,933,815 of record NC_000021.9, on the reverse strand, counting down.
AAAATAAAATAAAATAAAATAAGGCAGATTCTAATTCATAGGCCTTTGGTGGACATCTGTCATTTTTTAAGCTCTACAGTTGACTTCAATCAGTAGCCAGGATTGATGGCTACCATGAAAGACTACTTCTAGAATATTCTCAGGAAACCTTTAGAATTGGAACACAAATAAGGAAAATTTCCAGGCCCTGAGGACATCAGCAAATCTGGATTATATAAACCCCATTAATTCCAGGGTGAGCAGTGCTGTCACACATCACAAAAGGAAAGACTACTACTCCTTTTGTCCTTGTCACAAATGGACTGACTTGATCCAATGTCCCTAAGATGGTGCCAACTTCATTTCTGATGAACAGCCACTTTGAGAACTGTACTGTGAGGCTCTGCCAACTGGAATGACTTGTTTTTATCATTTTTTTTCTCTCTCTTTCATTGCTTCATTTAATTGCCAAGCTATGACTGGAGTTTGCTGTGTCTTTGGGGCTCAGGTGTACAAGGAATTCCCACAAATTAAAAAATATATTCAAGAAAGCTCAGAGTTTATGAAATTATATGCAACTTAGCTTGATGTTAGTCTAATGCCCATCTCAGTGTCTTCTTGAATGTATAACAAAGAAAAGGTGATTTTTAAAAGTTAAAATTGGTTCAGGCCAAGCATGATGGCTTACATTTATAATCCCAGCACTTTGGGAGGCTGAGGCAGGTAAATCGCTTGAGCTCACGAGTTCAAGACCAGCCTTGCCAATATGATGAAACCTCATCTCTACAAAAAATACAAAAAGTAGCCGAGTGTGATGATGTGCGCCTGTGGTCCCAGCTACTTGAGAGGCTCAGGTGGGAGGATGGCTTGAGCCCAGGTGGCAGAGGTTGCAGTGAGCCGAGATTGCATCACTGCACTCCATCCTGGGTGAAAGCCTTGTCCCAAAAAAAAGAAAAAAGTTAAAATTGATTCAAAGGGAGTTGGTGACAGCTCCTTATAGGGTCAGTCTTGGTTGCTTCTCTATTCCCTACAATTTCTATCATGATCTCAAATAGGCCACTCATATTTGTTTAAAGAGTTCATGCCTGCAATGAATGAATGAATAAAGATGGCTTTCTATCCCATTTCAAGCCATACAATATAGATGATCTGAATTACTCTGCTGTCCTGCAGATTTGGCCTTGGTTCCCAAAGACCACCCCACTAATAGCCCCCTGATTGCTTAAAAACTCAAAATAGCCAGTGCTTTTATCCAGCCCTACAATTCTATCCACAGAACCATAAGCCCGTAGAAATATGCTACCAGCCCAGCCTCCCCCAAGGAGGTGTCCTGCAAAATGAAAAGTATGGCATTCTTTACCACTTTCGGGTCAAGGGGCCATCTCCAAGGTCACACTAATTCATCTGCTACAGACACTGTGGCTGCCTTTAAACCTTGAGCTAGAAAAAGCCTCCTTTATTCTCCAGTCACCTCATCTACGCTTTTCCCAGCCTCTCCGTGGGGTCAGCAGTGACCACTTCCTTGTACCAAACTGCACTGCCCCAACAGAACACCAGCCTGATTTACCAGGATCCTCAAAGCAAGTGTTCCTTTCTGTGTGTTCTTTATGCATAAAAAGAAACAAAATGATTCCTCTGTCACCAAACTTTGCCAATGGTTTTTGGGGTGGTGCATCCCACTGTGGGGTCCAGGAAGATCATATTCTCTCTGGAGCATTTCAAAATCGGACTCCGCCACTCGCTGTCCCACGTTCTGGGAGCACTTCCCCACATCTGAATGTGTTTCCTTGCCCCAACTTTTACTTTCACTTTTGCTCCAGCTAAATAATTATATAAAGAAAAAAATGTAGAATTTATCTTTCTTTTTTTTCTTTTTTTTTTTTTTACCATGTAATTTCCTTTTTCGTGGTGAACTCCTACAAAGCCTCGGCCGTTCTCACATTTTTGTTTGAACCAAACATAAACGCTCTTTTTTATAAAATAAATCTTGCTCTGTGCTTGCTTGCCAATGTGCCCTGATTGCTGATTGTTCTAAAATCACTAGTCTGTCTTCCCTTGTAAACCCCCTGATGAAGACACCCAGTTGTGACTCACCTAGCTGTGGTCCCCTGCAACCAGGTGCCTCCAAAATGGGGCTGGCGTTGACAATAACCATTTCCCAGCTTTTAGAAAGAGGTGACAGAGCTCTGTTGTAGTGTCTGAGCCACAACTCAAGAAGGTAATGAGAATAAGGAGCCAAGATGGCCGAATAGGAACAGCTCTGGTCTACAGCTCCCAGCGTGAGCGACGCAGAAGACGGTGATTTCTGCATTTCCATCTGAGGTACCGGGTTCATCTCTCTAGGGAGTGCCAGACAGTGGGCGCAGGTCAGTGGGTGCGCGCACCGTGCGCGAGCCGAAGCAGGGCGAGGCATTGCCTCACTTGGGAAGCGCAAGGGGTCAGGGAGTTCCCTTTCCGAGTCAAAGAAAGGGGTGACGGACGCACCTGGAAAATCGGGTCACTCCCACCCGAATACTGCGCTTTTCCGACGGGCTTAAAAAACGGCGCACCACGAGACTATATCCCACACCTGGCTCGGAGGGTCCTACGCCCACGGAGTCTCGCTGATTGCTAGCACAGCAGTCTGAGATCAAACTGCAAGGCAGCAGCGAGGCTGGGGGAGGGGAGCCCGCCATTGCCCAGGCTTGATTAGGTAAACAAAGCAGCCGGGAAGCTGGAACTGGGTGGAGCCCACCACAGCTCAAGGAGGCCTGCCTGCCTCTGTAGGCTCCACCTCTGGGGGCAGGGCACAGACAAACAAAAAGACAGCAGTAACCTCTGCAGACTTAAATGTCCCTGTCTGACAGCTTTGAAGAGAGCAGTGGTTCTCCCAGCACGCAGCTGCAGATCTGAGAACGGGCAGACTGCCTCCTCAAGTGGGTCCCTGACCCCTGACCCCCGAGCAGCCTAACTGGGAGGCACCCCCCAGCAGGGGCACACTGACACCTCACACGGCAGGGTATTCCAACAGACCTGCAGCTGAGGGTCCTGTCTGTTAGAAGGAAAACTAATAAACAGAAAGGACATCCACACCAAAATCCCATCTGTACATCACCATCATCAAAGACCAAAAGTAGATAAAACCACAAAGATGGGGAAAAAACAGAACAGAAAAACTGGAAGCTCTAAAATGCAGAGCGCCTCTCCTCCTCCAAAGGAACGCAGTTCCTCACCAGCAACGGAACAAAGCTGGATGGAGAATGACTTTGACGAGCTGAGAGAAGAAGGCTTCAGACGATCAAATTACTCTGAGCTACGGGAGGACATTCAAACCAAAGGTAAAGAAGTTGAAAACTTTGAAAAAAATTTAGAAGAATATATAACTAGAATAACCAATGCAGAGAAGTGCTTAAAGGAGCTGATGGAGCTGAAAACCAAGGCTCGAGAACTACGTGAAGAATGCAGAAGCCTCAGGAGCCGATGGGATCAACTGGAAGAAAGGGTATCAGTGATGGAAGATGAAATGAATGAAATGAAGCGAGAAGGGAAGTTTAGAGAAAAAAGAATAAAAAGAAATGAGCAAAGCCTCCAAGAAATTTGGGACTATGTGAAAAGACCAAATCTACGTCTGATTGGTGTACCTGAAAGTGATGGGGAGAATGGAACCAAGTTGGAAAATACTCTGCAGGATATTATCCAGGAGAACTTCCCCAATCTAGCAAGGCAGGCCAACGTTCAGATTCAGGAAATACAGAGAACGCCACAAAGATACTCCTCGAGAAGAGCAACTCCAAGACACATAATTGTCAGATTCACCAAAGTTGAAATGAAGGAAAAAATGTTAAGGGCAGCCAGAGAGAAAGGTCGGGTTACCCTCAAAGGGAAGCCCATCAGACTAACAGCGGATCTCTTGGCAGAAACCCTACAAGCCAGAAGAGAGTGGGGGCCGATATTCAACATTCTTAAAGAAAAGAATTTTCAACCCAGAATTTCATATCCAGCCAAACTAAGCTTCATAAGCGAAGGAGAAATAAAATACTTTACAGACAAGCAAATGCTGAGCGATTTTGTCACCACCAGGCCTGCCCTAAAAGAGCTCCTGAAGGAAGCGCTAAACATGGAAAGGAACAACCGGTACCAGCCGCTGCAAAATCATGCCAAAATGTAAAGACCATCGCGACTAGGAAGAAACTGCATCAACTAACAAGCAAAATAATCAGCTAACATCATAATGACAGGATCAAATTCACACATAACAATATTAACTTTAAATGTAAATGGACTAAATGCTCCAATTAAAAGACACAGACTGGCAAATTGGATAAAGAGTCAAGACCCATCAGTGTGCTATATTCAGGAAACCCATCTCACATACAGAGACACACATAGGCTCAAAATAAAAGGATGGAGGAAGATCTACCAAGCAAATGGAAAACAAAAAAAGGCAGGGGTTGCAATCCTAGTCTCTGATAAAACAGACTTTAAACCAACAAAGATCAAAAGAGACAAAGAAGGCCATTACATAATGGTAAAGGGATCAATTCAACAAGAAGAGCTAACTATCCTACATATATATGCACCCAATACAGGAGCACCCAGATTCATAAAGCAAGTCCTGAGTGACCTACAAAGAGACTTAGACTCCCACACATTAATAATGGGAGATTTTAACACCCCATTGTCAACATTAGACAGATCAACGAGACAGAAAGTCAACAAGGATACCCAGGAATTGAACTCAGCTCTGCACCGAGCAGACCTAATAGACATCTACAGAACTCTCCACCCCAAATCAACAGAATATACATTTTTTTCAGCACCACACCACACCTATTCCAAAATTGACCACATACTTGGAAGTAAAGCTCTCCTCAGCAAATGTAAAAGAAGAGAAATTATAACAAACTATCTCTCAGACCACAGTGCAATCAAACTAGAACTCAGGATTAAGAATCTCACTCAAAACCGCTCAACTGCATGGAAACTGAACAACCTGCTCCTGAATGACTACTGGGTACATAACAAAATGAAGGCAGAAATAAAGATGTTCTTTGAAACCAATGAGAACAAAGGCACAACATACCAGAATCTCTGGGACGCATTCAAAGCAGTGTGTAGAGGGAAATTTATAGCACTAAATGCCCACAAGAGAAAGCAGGAAAGATCCAAAATTGACACTCTAACATCACAATTAAAAGAACTAGAAAAGCAAGAGCAAACACATTCAAAAGCTAGCAGAAGGCAAGAAATAACTAAGATCAGAGCAGAACTGACCTTCAAAAAATTAATGAATCCAGGAGCTGGTTTTTTGAAAGGATCAACAAAATTGATAGACCACTAGCAAGACTAATAAAGAAAAAAAGAGAGAAGAATCTAATAGACGCAATAAAAAATGATAAAGGGGATATCACCACCGATCCCACAGAAATACAAACTACCATCAGAGAATACTACAAACACCTCTATGCAAATAAACTAGAAAATCTAGAGGAAATGGATAAATTCCTCGACACATACACTCTCCCAAGACTAAACCAGGAAGAAGTTGAATCTCTGAATAGACCAATAACAGGCTCTGAAATTGTGGCAATAATCAATAGCTTACCAACCAAAAAGAGTCCAGGACCAGATGGATTCACAGCTGAATTCTACCAGAGGTACAAGGAGGAACTGGTACCATTCCTTCTGAAACTATTCCAATCAATAGAAAAAGAGGGAATCCTCCCTAACTCATTTTATGAGGCCAGCATCATTCTGATACCAAAGCCAGGCAGAGACACAACAAAAAAAGAATTTTAGACCAATATCCTTGATGAACATTGATGCAAAAATCCTCAATAAAATACTGGCAAACGGAATCCAGCAGCACATCAAAAAGCTTATCCACCATGATCAAGTGGGCTTCATCCCTGGGATGCAAGGCTGCTTCAATATACGCAAATCAATAAATCTAATCCAGCATATAAACAGAGCCAAAGACAAAAACCACATGATTATCTCAATAGATGCAGAAAAAGCCTTTGACAAAATTCAACAACCCTTCATGCTAAAAACTCTCAATAAATTAGGTATTGATGGGATGTATTTCAAAATAATAAGAGCTATCTATGACAAACCCACAGCCAATATCATACTGAATGGGCAAAAACTGGAAGCATTCCCTTTGAAAACTGGCACAAGACAGGGATGGCCTCTCTCACCACTCCTATTCAACATAGTGTTGGAAGTTCTGGCCAGGGCAATTAGGCAGGAGAAGGAAATAAAGGGTATTCAATTAGGAAAAGAGGAAGTCAAATTGTCCCTGTTTGCAGACGACATAATTGTATATCTAGAAAACCCCATTGTCTCAGCCCAAAATCTCCTTAAGCTGATAAGCAACTTCAGCAAAGTCTCAGGATACAAAATCAATGTACAAAAATCACAAGCATTCTTATACACCAACAACAGACAAACAGAGAGCCAAATCGTGAGTGAACTCCCATTCACAATTGCTTCAAAGAGAATAAAATACCTAGGAATCCAACTTACAAGGGATGTGAAGGACCTCTTCAAGGAGAACTACAAACCACTGCTCAAGGAAATAAAAGAGGATACAAACAAATGGAAGAACATTCCATGCTCATGGGTAGGAAGAATCAATATCGTGAAAATGGCCATACTGCCCAAGGTAATTTACAGATTCAATGCCATCCCCATCAAGCTACCAATGCCTTTCTTCACAGAATTGGAAAAAACTACTTTAAAGTTCATATGGAACCAAAAAAGAGCCCGCATCGCCAAGTCAATCCTAAGCCAAAAGGACAAAGCTGGAGGCATCACACTACCTGACTTCAAACTATACTACAAGGCTACAGTAACCAAAACAGCATGGTACTGGTACCAAAACAGAGATATAGATCAATGGAACAGAACAGAGCCCTCAGAAATAACGCCGCATATCTACAACTATCTGATCTTTGACCAACCTGAGAAAAACAAGCAATGGGGAAAGGATTCCCTATTTAATAAATGGTGCTGGGAAAACTGGCTAGCCATATGTAGAAAGCTGAAACTGGATCCCTTCCTTACACCTTATACAAAACTCAATTCAAGATGGATTAAAGACTTAAACGTTAGACCTAAAACCATAAAAACCCTAGAAGAAAACCTAGGCATTACCATTCAGGACATAGGCATGGGCAAGGACTTCATGTGTAAAACACCAAAAGCAATGGCAACAAAAGCCAAAATTGACAAATGGGATCTAATTAAACTAAAGAGCTTCTGCACAGCAAAAGAAACTACCATCAGAGTGAACAGGCAACCTGCAAAATTGGAGAAAATTTTCGCAACCTACTCATCTGACAAAGGGCTAATATCCAGAATCTACAATGAACTCAAACAAATGTACAAGAAAAAACAAACAACCCCATCAAAAAGTGGGCGAAGGACATGAACAGACACTTCTCAAAAGAAGACATTTATGCAGCCAAAAGACACATGAAAAAATGCTCATCATCACTGGCCATCAGAGAAATGCAAATCAAAACCACAATGACATACCATCTCACACCAGTTAGAATGGCAATCATTAAAAAGTCAGGAAACAACAGGTGCTGGAGAGGATGTGGAGAAATAGGAACACTTTTACACTGTTGGTGGGACTGTAAACTAGTTCAACCATTGTGGAAGTCAGTGTGGAGATTCCTCAGGGATCTAGAACTGGAAATACCATTTGACCCAGCCATCCCATTACTGGGTATATACCCAAAGGACTATAAATCATGCTGCTATAAAGACACATGCACACGTATGTTTATTGCGGCATTATTCACAATAGCAAAGACTTGGAACCAACCCAAATGTCCAACAATGATAGACTGGATTAAGAAAACGTGGCACATATACACCATGGAATACTATGCAGCCATAAAAAATGATGAGTTCATGTCCTTTGTAGGGACATGGATGAAATTGGAAAACATCATTCTCAGTAAACTATCGCAAGAACAAAAAACCAAACACTGCATATTCTCACTCATAGGTGGGAATTGAACAATGAGAACACATGGACACAGGAAGGGGAATATCACACTGGGGACTGCTGTGGGGTGGGGGGAGGGGGGGAGGGATAGCATTGGGAGATATACCTAATGCTAGATGACGAGTTAGTGGGTGCAGTGTACCAGCATGGCACATGTATACATATGTAACTAAGCTGCACAATGTGCACATGTACCCTAAAACTTAAAGTATAATAAAAAAATAAAAATAAATAAAAAATAAATAAAAATTTAAAAAAAGAAGGTAATGAAACAAAGCATTAACATTCCAAAATGGAAGGCCGGGGGCGGTAGCTCACACCTGTAATCTCAGCACTTTGGGAGGCCAAGGCGGGCAGATCACTTGAGGCCAGGAGTTCGAGACCAGCCTGGCCAACATGGTGAAACCTCATCTCTACTAAAAATACAAAAAGATTAGCCGGGTGTGGTGGGGCGCATCTGTAGTTCCAAGTACTCTGGAGGCTGAGGCAGGAGAATCGCTTGAACCCAGGAAGCAGTGGTTGCAGTGAGCTGAGGTCATGCCTCTGCACTCACTCCAGCTTGGGGGACAGAGCGAAACTCCGTCTCAAAAAAAAAAAATCCATAATGAAGCATGATCCATGTTTGCATTCATCTTGCCTCTATTGAAAGACAAAATACTGCATTTAGAGGGGACTGCATCCTGGGGATGAGAGTAACAGCTCTAGTTTGTGGTGTGCCGACTCCTTGCCCACGCTGCGTTAAATGTTTTGCAGGCATTACATAATTTACATGATATATACCATCACTATCTCCATTCTCCAGGTAAGGAAATGAGGCAGGAGGTTAGGCAACTTGCCCAAGTCACACAGCTGGTGAAGGGAAGGGCTGCAATTCCAACCCAGGCCCTGGGGCTGCAGAACCTGACGCTGCCTCTGCAGGAACAACAGGATCATAACCAGACTCCAGTGACCCAGGTCCCCCAGGCCCCAAGGCTTGGCCGCAGCTGGAACTGCAGAGTGCTTCATGACATCAAAAAAGGGCACCAAGCAGGTCCAGTTTACTATTAATACATTCATTCCTCATCTCAATTTACAGTCTGTTTTGATTCAAATCAATGAACAGAAGAATGTTCTGCTGTTTATCATTTGTTCATTCCTACAGTCATTACCGTCTTCCCCAACAAGGCACCCATTTAGTGGCATAACTTCTCCCTGAACTGCCCTAGCCCCAAAAGAAAAAGGACTTTGATATCAGAGTTACGGATCTGCTCCAAGCCAGCAGCACTTTTCTGTGAAGCCCGTGGAGCAGATATGAAAACCTGGGCGAGATGACTCCAACCTGGGTTGCTATGGGAAGTCTGAGGGGCTGGGTGGGCAGGGGCTGTGGAGCTGAAACATTAGAAGGGGTTTGTTTCTAGGGTTTCTAAAGCTAGAAACTCCTAGAAGGTTTGCAGCCAGGGGACAACAAACTGTAGCTATCTGGGCCCGCAAACACCAGGAGCCTGGATTAGAGCATTTGGCAAGGGACCCTTTCATTTGCAGACCTCACAATACTCCGATTCTTTCTTGCATGTGAGCGAGAACAACACCGAGGTTTGTAGAAGGAAAGCTCTAGAACAAAATTCATCCCGATGCCAGAGGCTTCCTCACAATGTGAGGAGATGGCGCCCCCTCGTGTCGAGATGATCCTTCAGCACCTGGACCAGGCTGAGAGCGGTGACCTTGAGCACTAAGCAGGTGGTGGCTTCAAGATGGGCTTGACCTGCAGTGGGGAGAGGCCTGGGCCCCACAGTAGGTGACCAGTTCCCACGGCTTGGGGTCCTCCGTCTGTCACCTTGCAGATACAGGAGGTCTATACTGCAGACCCTCCTAAAGCAGCTTTCTCTAAAGATGCAAAAAACCACCAAGCTGTTTTTAGATGTGCTATTTGCTGTTTTTCTCTAGCAGATGCGCCAAGTCCTAAAGATAAACAGTTTAAAATGATATGGATTCAGTACCTGGAATCCCATTGTCCATTTCTATCAACACTTTTTTTGTTGAAAGCCTGATCGGTTCCAGCCCAGTGACCTCCATAGATTGGCATGACTCCCCTAAAGCCCCCTTTTTGTAAGTGCTAGAGATCCTTGCTGAAAGCTGTCAAGGGCACTTTCCCATCCTTTGGGTTTAAACAGAAAGACCAGCTACATGTAAAAGCCCATCACCCCAAGACAACAAGTGGCTCTGGTCTGCTAGAAAGGATTCATGCAGTTTTTTAAAATGAACTCAGAAAAGAAAAGAACAGAAAGACAAAATTGAAGCAGAATTCACTCCAAGATAAATAAATACTTGAACAATGCAAACATTTCTCAGGTCCTTCTGGTGTGACAAAATGTATAGGGGCCAGACATGGTGGCTCACATCTGTAGTCCAGCTCCTCTGGAGGCTGAGGCAGGAGGATGGCTTGAACCCAGGGAGGTCGAGGCTGCAAGTGAACTGTGATGGTGCCACTGCACTCCAGCCCGAGGGACACAGCAAGACCCTGACTCAAAAAAAGAAATGCACAGGGAAATTGTTATTACTATCCTTTGCTCTGAACAAATACCATCCTTATCTGCATTCTGCAGAGCTAAAGAAAATTCCCCCAGGTTGGAGGAGTCTACGTTAAAGCTAAGCTTTGGAAGGAATTTAAGAGGTAATCTGATCCAATTCCTCAGTCTTTCATGGATCTCCTTAACTTGAGGCAATTGCCTTTCATATCAGAAGCTGTGTTATCAGAAACCACAGAGGATGTATCTCCCCTTTAAGGGCCATAGTCATTAATAAGTGACAGGATCGTGTCATCCTTTTTTTTCTGATTATAGTAGTGACATATGCTCACTACTATAGTGTAGTGAGCATTTTTCACTGTGTAGAAAAACACACAGTGTGGTTTGTAATTTTTCCTCATGTCATTAAGTACTTTTTATGTCATTAAATACTTTTTGAAAATCTCTGTATCTCTTTTTTTTTTTTCAGACAGGGTCTCACTCTGTTGCTCAGACTGGAGTGCAGTGGCACAATCACAGCTCACTGCCACCTTGACCTCCTGGGTTCAAGCAATCCTCCCTCCTTAGCCTCCCAAGTAGCTGGAACTACAGGCATGATGTGCCACCATGCCTGGCTTTTTTTTTTTTTTTTTTTTTTTTGGTAGAGATGCGGTCTCACTATGTTGCCCATGCTGATCTGGAACTCCTGGGCTCAAGTGATTCTCCCTGCCTCGACCTTCCAAAGCACTGAGATTATAGGCTTATGCTTATAGTCCTGCATCCAACCCTGAAAAATCTCATTTTAGTGGCTACATAATATGCCATTTAAAAAGCCATTTTCTTATGTTCAGACATGTGTTTCTAGTTTTTTGCCGTTTTAAAGCTGAGTGTGGTGAGCATTTTCCACATTAACACTGGTCCAGATTTCTGACTAGTATAGATTGGAAGCGTTCTTTCTGGGTTAAAGGAAAAGTCACTTTTAGCCGGGTGTGGTGGCACAAGCCTGTAATCCCAGCACTTTAGGAGGTGGAGGGGGGAATATCGCTTAAGCCCAGGAGTTCAAAACCAGCCTGGGCAACATAGTAAGACCCTCATCTCTACAAAAAGATAACAGAATTAGCTGGCGGCATGGTGGTGCATCCCTATAGTCCCAGCAACTAGGGAGGCTGCGGTGGGAGGATTGCTTGAGCCTGGGAGGTTTAGGCTGTAGTGAACCATTATTTCACCCCTGCACTCCAGCCTGAGTGACAAAGTGAGACCCTGTCACACAAACAAAAATTTATTTTAAGTCACTTTTTTTTTTTGAGGTGGAGTCTCACTCTGTCGCCCAGGCGGGAGTGCAGTGGCACAATCTAGGCTCACTGCAACCTCCGCCCCGCGGGTTCAAATGATTCTCCTGTCTCAGCCTCCTGAGTAACTGGGATTACAGGCATTCACCACCATACCTGGCTAATTTTTGTATTTTTAGTAGAGATGGGGTTTCACCCTGCTGACGAGGCTGGTCTCAAACTCCTGACCTCAGGTGATCCGCCCGCCTCGGCCTCCCAAAGTGCTGGGATTACAGGTGTGAGGCTTTAAGTCACTTTTTAAGCCTTTGAGTCACTTTTTTAAGAGCATGTACAGTGAGGGTCTGATGCCACCACACTGCTCATTTCTACCACTGCATATGGTTTCTTTGTAGAGAAAATAAAACAGCGAGCAATATTTATTTTGAATTGAAGGTCAGTGTAAACAAAAACATCGAGATTAGATGTCCGAGTTTTGCCCTGTGGCCTTGGGCAAGTACCTTTGACTCCATTGGCCTCAACTACTAAAATATTAAAATAACTCATTTTTAAATGATTTGAGTTTGTGCAGAGAGAAAGCGCGATAACTGCAGAGTGCTAAGTCTCTTCACTTCTTTTTCTTTTTTTGTTTTTTTTTTTTTTTTTTTGAGACAGGGTCTCACTCTGTCACCCAGGCTGGAGCACAGTGGTGCGATCTTGGCTTACTGCAACCTCTGCCCCTCAGGGTTCAAGTGATTCTCCCACCTCAGCCTCCCAAGTAGCTGGGACCATACGCCCAGCTAATTTTTTTTTTTTTTTTTTTTGTAGATACATTGTTTCACCATGTTGCCGAGGCTGGTCTTGAACTCCTGAGTTCAAGCCCATCTGCCCACCTCAGCCTCCCAAAGTACTTAGATTGCAGGTGTGAGCCACAGCGCCCGGCCTCTTCCCTTATAGGATACAACTTTTTGTTCCTTTCCAAATGCTCTGTTCTTGCATAGCAGAGGGTGTGGCAGTGTCACAGCTGGGAAGTTTCTGCCAGTTCCCTCCACATGGGAGTTTGCACATGGCGCCCTGGCCTGACATCACAGTGATTTGCCTACAGGCACCCAGAAATCCAAGAGCAGGCAGGAGGGAGGTGTGGATGCAGTGTTATCAGGCTTCAGGGCTTCTGTGTTTCTCCCTTTGCCCACACCACTAAAATACAGGCTAGCTTCAAAATCCCATTCCAGAAACACATCCTGAATGATTCACTTATTCTTTCAACCATAGAGATGGAAAGAGATGGGACTTGGTGCAGGTGCCTGGGTTTGAGATGCAAATTGCCATTTCCTAGACAAGCTGCGTAAGCAGGATCCAAAACGTTTTCACCATCTATAAAATGGGGGAATACCAAGCCCATCTACATCTCGAGTCATCCTAAAACTCAAAATAAAAATGAAACCATATATGTGCAACCAGTTAACAAATCCTAAAATTGAAATGACCATAAACCACTATTTTGGAGATGTGCAAGTGGCTGGAAATTATTCTAGATATGAAAGAAAGTGTGTCTTAATATGTTTAGAAGATTCAGAATTGTTTAAAATGTCAAAAAGTTGGGGGCAGGGCACCAAGCGCGGCGGCTCACACCTGTAATCTCAGCACTTTGAGAGGCCGAGGTGGGTGGATCTGGAAGCCAGGAGTTTGAGATCATCCTTGGGTAAATACAAAATAAACAGAGGGTATTTCTCTGCTGCTGTGCAACCTTACAGTTTACTTATAATTAATTTTTTTTCCTTTTTTCTCCTTATAATTAATTTTCCATGCAGCTTTTCAATTTTCTCTCACCAAGTTGTGTCAGTTTTGGAAATCTATTTCAAAATTTTTCTAGATATAAAAAAAGATGCTTAGAAGATTCAGAATTGTTTAAAATGGCAAAAAAAAAAAAAGTGGGGGTTGGTGGTGCCAAGCAAGGTGGCTCACACCTATAATCCCAGCACTTTGGGAGGCCAAGGCAGGAGGATCGCTTGAGCTCAGGAGTTCGAGACCAGCTTGGGCAACATGGCAAAAACCTGTGTCTACAAAATACAAAATTAGCTGGGTGTGGCTGTGTGCACATGTAGTCCCAGCTACTCAGGAGGCTGAGGTGGGAGGATTGCTTGAGCCTGGGAGGCTGAGGCTGTACTCAGCCATGACTGTGCCACTGCACTTTAGCCTGGGCAACAGAGTGAGGCCCTATCTCAAAAAATAAGCAAATAAATAAAATAAAATGGCAAAAAAAAAAACAAAAAGCAGAAACCATCTGAATTATATTCAGAGTCTAGAGTTTCCCAAGTATAGTTGACCCTAGAACTTTTTATTTGTATTACATCTGTTAACACCCACACTTCAGAAAACACAGGTTTTGCAGTTTAATTTCTCATAGAATATAAAGTTTATAAAGGTAGGCACTGTGTCTTGTATCCTGTTGTAGCCTCAGTGAATAGAACAGCTGGCTACATGTAATAGCTGCTCAATAAATTGTGTTAAATAATGTGTTGAATACTTTTCATTAGGCTTATTTGAAAATAGTCTCTGAAAGTTTGCAGAGTAGAGTGAAACAAGGGTTTTCATGTGCTGCTACGGAAAGTATAAATTGGTTAAAATTTTGAAAAGCAGCTTGGCCTCATGCATCAGAGGCTCTTAGAGTACTCATATTCTCTCACCAAGTTGTGTAAATTCTGGAAATCTATTCGGAAATTTTCCTAAATATGAAAAAAAAAAATGACTGGGCATGGTGGTGTGCACCTGTAGTCCCAACTACTTGGGAGGCTGAGGTAGAAGGATTGCTTTAGTCCAGGAGCTCTCAGCTGTAGTGCACCATGCCGGTCAGGTGTCCACACTAAATTAAGCATCAATATGGTGACCTCCCAGGAGCAGGGGACCACAAGGTTGCCTAAGGAGAGGTGAACCAGCCAAGTCAGAAACAGAGTAGGTCCAAACTACCATTTTTAGGCCGGGCATGGTAGCTCATGCCTGTAATCCCAGCACTTTGGGAGGCCAAGGTGGGCAGATCACCTGAGGTCAGGAGTTCAAGACCAGCCTGGCCAATATGGCGAAACCCCATCTCTACTAAAAATACAAAAACTAGCTGGGTGTGGTGGCATGCACCTGTAATCCCAGCTACTCTAGAGGCTGAGATAGGAGAATAGCTTGAAACCAGGAGGCAGAGGTTGCAGTGAGTCAAGATTGGGCCACTGCACTCCAGCCTCAAAGACAGAGCGAGACTCCATCCCAAAAAATAAATAAATAAATAAATATAAAAATAAAATAAAACTCCCATGCTGATCATTAGTGGGAATCATGCCTGTGAATAGCCACTGTACTCCAGGGCAAAAGAGCCAACACCATTTCTTTTTTTTTTAAAAAAAAAAAAAGAAGGCTGGGCACAGTGGCTCATGCCTGTAATCTCAGCACTTTGGGAGGCCAAGGCGGGTGGATCACCTGAGGTCAGGAGTTCAAGACCAACCTGGCCAATATGGTGAAACCCTGTCTCTACTAAAAATACAAAAAAATTATCTGGGAATGGTGTCACATGCTTGTAATCCCAGCTACTTGGGAGGCTGAGGCAGGAGAGTCGCTTGAACAACAAGAGCGAAACTCCATCTCAAAAAAAAAAAAAAAGAAAGAAGAGAAATATATGTCTAAATATGCTTAGAAGATTCAGTATTGTTTAAAATAGCAAAAAGAAAAAAGGAAATCATCTGAATTATGTTCAAAAATCATAGAATAATTAAGTTGCAGAATATTCACTTGATGGACTACCCTGCAGCCATTAAAATGATACTTAGAAACTTTTATAATTTGGAAATATGCTTATATTATAAGCATGAATGCATAACTCATATGTAATTTTGCATCCTTTTCTTTCTTGCATTAAAGAAAATGGCAAAATACCAAACTGTATAAAGATTGTTAATCTGCATGTATAATAAAAGCAAACAAAATAAAGAGCTAACATAACCGGGTGTGGTGGCGTGCACTTGTAGTCCCAGCTACTTGGGAAGCTGAGGTGGGAAGACTGCTTGAGCCCAGGAGTTGGAGACAAGTCTGAGCAACATAGTGAGACCCTCATCTCTAAAATAAAAAAAAATGTTGTATTAGCCAGGCTTGGTAGCATGTGTCTGTAGGCCCAGCTACTGGGGAGGCTAAGGTGGAAGGATTGCTTGAGCCTAGGAGGTCAAGGTTGCAGTGAGTCGTGATCACACAACTGCACTCCAGCCTGGTGACAGAGCAAGGCATTGTCTCAAAAAAAAAAAAAAAAGACTAAATTAATAAGCACCACTCTCTCAGGCAATTGTTCTAAGCACTTTACATGTATACCTTTTTGTTTCTTCTAATGACCTATAGGCAGATACTATTATAATACCCATTTTATAGATAATAAACTGAAGCACAGAGAAGTTATATAATTGGGCCAAGGAACTGATTGGGATTCAGGCCAGGGTAGTTCAGGCCACAGCCTAAACAAATATTGAGAAACAAGACACCAAAATATTTACAACAATTGCCTCCGAGTGGAAGAAAAGAGGACAATTACTTTCTTTATCTTTCTCTACGTTTTAAAAAGTTTTTAGGGGGTTGGGTGTGGTGGCTCACACCTCTAAGCTTTGGGAGGCTGAGGCAGGCGGATCGCTTGAGGTCAGGAGTTCAAGACCAGCCTGGCCAACATGGCAAAACCCCATCTCTACTAAAAAGAGAAAAATTAGCCGGGTGTGGTTGTGTACACCTGCAGTCCCAGCTACTCGGGAGGCTGAGGCAGGAGAACCGCTTGAACTCAGGAGGCAGAGGTTGTAGTGAGCTGAGATCACGCCACTGCACTCCAGCCTGGGTGACAAAGCGAGACTCTGTCTCAAAAAATAAAAATTGTAATAATGAGAAAACTGCTCTCTAAAAGGGCAAAATAGTGAATTAACGTGTTTCTATAATAAATCTGAGCAGAGAATTTTTCTTTTAAGTTGATTACAGAACCCCCACTATTACAACCAGGAATACTGACCCTTGCTCTGCCAGCCAGTCTCTTCTCTGACAGAGGAGAAAATTCGACCAAGTTCTATTTAGAGAGAATGGGTTGAAGATAGGTTGTTTTTATGGATGCAGACAAACTATATCCAAGGCTAGTACCCAGTTCTCAGTTTCAATATCAAATTTGCTCAAACCCGGGTTCTCCTATTTTAGGCCTGATGCTCAGATAGCCACTCTGCCCTAGCCAGAATCAAGAATCTAGGTACCAGAATCCCATATGCCCTCACAAACCAACAGCTCAGTTCTATACTCAGGTGAGATGGGGGAGAGGGGAGGGGAATGGAGGGCCACAGGGATTCTTTGCTTTTGCTTGGCCAAACTTTAGTGAGACTTCTGAACCTTCTCGTAGTCCTATCTATGCACCTCCTTGTAAAGTCCAGTTTTAGCAAAACTGCTAAGTCAGTTTAGCCAGAACCCCCAATCTTCGACAACCGATCATCTTTGATATCTGATCAGGGTCTTCATCCTTCACCATCCCCCAGGTGATGTCTGATCACCCTGGCCTGTCTTCTACAAGATTCCTCTAGGTCATTTTAGCCAGAATCCCTCTTACCCCAGTTTCCTCTAAGTAATTTTCTATCCACTGACCCCCGCACTGCTCCTTGGCCATAAATTCCCATTTGCCCATTCTGCTTTCGGAGTTGAGCCCAATCTCTCTGCCCACTCCCAGACCCTGTTGCACTGGT
The DNA here is from genome assembly GCF_000001405.40 of Homo sapiens. NCBI lineage: Eukaryota > Metazoa > Chordata > Mammalia > Primates > Hominidae > Homo > Homo sapiens. The sequence goes on along the minus strand of NC_000021.9, from coordinate 33,916,354 downwards.
CCTATACCCATCGCTATGGTCCTGAATAAAGTCTTCCTTATCATGCTTTAATAAGCATCACTGAATAATTCTTTATTTAACAATGGGTAGTCATGGCCCAGGTAAGAGAGACGTGGTGTCCGCTCCTGGAGCTGCAAGGCTCCTGGGGGCTTTTTGTTTTGTTTTGGTTTTGTCTTTGTATGCAACGTGAGAAAAAGCCATTGATGCAGGCTTTAGCATGCTGGGAAGGAAGTGTAAAGAAGCCAGTGACGCTGGTAATAACTGTGAAATGGAACAAATGCCACCATATTTATCTAAATGTAAATTTTAAAACTGGGGACAGCAAATCCATTCTACAGTGAGCGCCGCTTGGCCAGTAACAATGACTTCATTTTCAGATGCAGTCGAAGCCCTGTGGCTCCACCCCGAGGGTCCAGCCCTTACCACTGCTAAGAACTACAACTCCCAGCCCGAGGGAGGTCTCTGCGCCTGCGGCCTGACGCCCTACGCCTACACTTCCCAGAGAACCTAGCGGTTACGCCAACGCGCGCGTGCGCCCTTGCGCGTTTCTCTCTTCCCACTCGGGTTTGACCTACAGCCGCCCGGGAGAAGATGGCTGCCCCAGCAGTGTCCGGGCTCTCCCGGCAGGTGAGAGAAAGGTGGTCCTGAGAGCCAGTGGGAGGATCCCTCCTGGGATGACCGGTACCAAACCTCGAGCACCAGGGTGCGATGCTTCGGCTGGGGAAGTCTGGCAGTCTTCAAGGTTATGGGACCTGGCGAGTGGGAGCGACTCAGGACGACCCAGCGTTTGTCCCCCGGGATGCCTACGGGGCAGTAGGCGCGGGGCTGCGCGTGCCGTAACCTTGGCGTCTTCCGAGCACAGCCCCTGGAAGCTGCTAGCCTGAGGGGCGCAGGAGAGGGGGTCTGCCCTTCGCTGAATTCCGGGGAAGGGGCATGGACTAGCCCCCAAATCAGCTTCCTTTGCCATTGTGGTAAAACCTGTCAGAGATCACTTACTAGTAATGCTAAGGAATATTTGTAAAACACATTTCACAGTTTTATAAATAAAATGAGGCCGAAAAGTTTAAATGAGTCTTTGGCTGCTCAGTCAGTAAGTGGTAGAATTGAGATTTGAACCCACGGAATCACCCAGAAGATCGAGTTTGAAAAAATGTTATGCTGTTTGTGCTGCATCTCACCATGGTGCTTTACATATCATGACCCCTTCCTGGCATCTTAGGTAATTTTTTCATAAGCATTAAAAAGTCTTAATCCTCACAAGCAGTTTTGATAAAACACGTTCCATAGCTGGAGTATTTGAAGGTGACCTGTGATCTGTGACCTGTGCGCTTGCAGGTGATTTTTAAACTGTGTATTCCAGCTCTGTCTTTTGATGGGCAGGATAGTGTCTCTCAGAACTAAGGCTTCTTGTCAGATCAAACTCTGCGGCAGTACTCAAAAAATTCATCTTTATTTTCAGATAGCATTTGCATTCCGAGGAGGGTACGTCTGTTGCAAATGATCTGCTCAAGGGTCTGTTAATAGAAACGCCAAAATTTTGGTTAAATATTTTTGAAACATGCACTCCTTGGAAGTTAGTGTTTTTCTGTCTTACGGGTATGCTAGCCTCGGTCCATTCCTAGCAAACTAGGAGGTTCGTGGGAAGGTGATTTCCCAAGCAACTTGGCATAATCCTCATTGGGTAAGTTTACCCCTTAGTAATAGTAAGTAGCTCACCCTCATGTAATATGTGAATATACAAAGAGACAAAAGTAATGATTTTAAGGTTATTTAAAATTTTTTGTTGTTATTGAGTTAAATGCAGAAATCCTTCAAGTAATTTTGTTTGATCTATTTTCCTTTATTGCTTTGAAGGTGCGATGCTTCAGTACCTCTGTGGTCAGACCATTTGCCAAGCTTGTGAGGGTATGTTAATTTATATTCTTCTGTAATGATAAAGTACGCGAAAGTGTGAGTCAAACAGCAGTACAGTCAGGGCGTGGATTTTTGTGTAGTTACTATCTAAACCTTTTTGCGTGACTTGTGGTTCCCAAAATGTGCTGTGTGCATAGGGTGGGGAAAGGAATGGTGTTGAGTATTTGCTTTTTGACAGGCCCATGCATAATCTTTAAATATGAAAACTTTTTAATCATTTGTTTTTCCATTAACCCTCTAAAATAGGCAAGCTAGCATTTACTTACTTTTTTTTTTTAATGAAAGAAACAGGTTTAACAAAGTGACATGCCCAAGTTATCACAGGAAGTTATTACAGGAGACGATATTAAAATCAAGGTACCGGGCTGGGCGCGGTGGCTCACGCCTGTAGTCCCAGCACTTTGGGAGGCCGAGGTGGGCAGATCACGAGGTCAGGAGTTTGAGACCAGCCTGGCCGACATGATGAAACCCCATCTCTACTAAGCATACAAAGATTAGCCAGGCATAGTGGCGCATGCCTATAATCCCAGCCACTCGGGAGGCTGAGGTAGGAGAATTGCTTGAGCCCGGGAGGCGGAGGTTGTAGTGAGCAGAGATCATGCCACTGCACTCCAGCCTGGGCAATAGACCAAGACTCTGTCTCGAAAAAAAAAAAATATCAAGGTACCTGGGTTTCTAATGCAGTTCTCCATGTTCCATTCTGGTGAGAAATATTCATACTCTTCACACCCTTTCTTTCCAGTAGGCACCAAGGAGGCTCACTATTTCAGGGAGTTGCCAGTCCCTTTCTTTTCAAACCAGAAGTAATCCAGTTGACCCCGGATAAAGAGGACTATTAGTGACACATAATAAATGAAGTTCCCCAGAAGGCCCCCTGAAATGATACATGGCTAACAGCTGGAAACAACCCTGTTGGAACATGAAGTCTGATTCCATTTCTATGGGTTATTTTGAAATTCTTTATTTGATTAAAGAAAGTTCCTGTGTGATAGAGAATTGGTTCAACTGTCAAGGAGCAGGAACTTTTCTAAGATGTGCTGGGCAGACTATACTACCCACGCTTTTCCCCACCAAATCAACAGTGAGCCAGTCCGCCCCTTGGAAAAATCGTGTAAAGGAAAGATGATCATACCAGGTCTGTGTCCTTAATGAGCCCACGTCAGGTGGAATTTAGGAAGATAATTATCCTGTCCCGTCCTCATTACCAGCCCTAAATCTCAAATCAAATGATCAAAATCATTTCGTCCTTCATGTGAGACCTTAAAACTTCATAACAGTGTTAAGGAGTAACTGGTCTTCCCATTTTACAAAAGGGGAAACTGAGGCCCTGGGAAAATTTACCTGAGGTTACTCAGCTTAGTCCTAGAGCTGGACTGGAACTAAATCTTTCTCATCCAAGCCTGAGCTTTCCCACTACAACCATACAGCACCACTAAGAACATGTAGTCATACATTGATGGTAGAAAAAAAGTCTATAGTTTATTGTGAAAAATAATTCAAGCATCAGGTTTTTTTGTAAACTGCCAAAGGGCTCTGTTACACTGAACATCGATAGGGAGGCTATGTAAGGGAAAATGTGTAGTGTTAGTATGAAATGTATAAAAGTATACTTGTGTGTTTCATAAACACCTGTTTTCCTAGCTCTAACATACTCGAAACTGTCTATCAGTGTTCACAACCTCCCATACTTGAAACTAAATAGTTACTGAGTTCAAAGGAAACATAAGCTTATCTCAAAATTAAAGTACAAGTAATTGATAAAGGTATGTAAACCTGGAAGGGACTTTAGACAATGCCTACTAAGCCCCTCATTTTACAGATGAGGAATTGGAGGCTCAAAGATTGAGTGACCTGACCAAGGAAACATCGCTAATTTATTTGCAAATTGCCATTTAGGACAGCTCTTGAATGACATATTTAAACTGTTTTGTGTTAAAGAGATACATTTTTTAAAATATAAATTTTAAATTCTGCTCTTGAGAGTATACTATTAACTGATTTTCCTTTTTCTTTCCTCTCCTATTTCACCTTTTTTTTAAAGCCTCCTGTTCAGGTATACGGTATTGAAGGTCGCTATGCCACAGCTCTTTATTCTGCTGCATCAAAACAGAATAAGCTGGAGCAAGTAGAAAAGGAGTTGTTGAGAGTAGCAGTAAGTAGCTTTCCTATTCATTACATATGAAGTTCCTGTTTGTATATTTTTTCCTTTGGTTGTTTGTGCATTCCTAATGAGGTGTATCCTACAAGAAAAAACTGGGAAAAAGCCATTGTCTGTAAACACATTTTTAGTAATAATATTGGGTTTTTATTATAAGACATATAAAAAGAACAAACAGATACATATAAGGATATTAATATTAGGAACCAAGATTAGGGGCTAAGAAAAGGTAGAAATATAAGATTAAAATGGATGGTAATTTAGGAAAATTGCTATTTCAGAAGAGAATTTAAAAGCTACCTTTAAAAATCTATGCTTATAACTGGGCACAGTGCTCACGCCTGTAATCCCAGTACTTTGGGAGGCTGAGGCAGGCAGATCAGGAGGTCATGAGTTCAAGACCAGCCTAGCTGACATAGTGAAACCCCATCTCTACTAAAAAATACAAAAAATTAGCGGGACGTGGTAGTGAACACCTGTAATCCCAGCTACTCCGGAGGCTGAGGCAGAATTGCTTGAACCTGGGAAGCCGAGGTTGCAGTGAGCCGAGATCGCGCCATTGCACTCCAGCCCCGGACGGTACGAGACTCCGTCTCAAAAAAAAAAAAAAAAAAAAAAAACCTATGCTTATGGGCTAGGTGTTTAGAATATATTGTGATTTGGTTTTACTGAGAATTTGTTTTCATGAAACCTTTTCCTCAGGTTTTAATTGCCATATTCTATGCTTGTAGAATCAGAGGAGGCTCAGATATGTCTTACAGGTTGTTTTCATTTGGTAGAGATGCCTTTGCAATTGCCAGAACCCCAGAAGTAACCATGTAGACCTTTTCATTGTTTTGGTAAACCTCTTAATTATTTTGTTCCCAAAATGTGAGGGAAGAATAACAGGGTGGGGCGCGCTGGGCAGCAGAGTTAGTAAAGGGGCATGGGCTTCCCAGTAGTAGTAGAGGACTGACAGGCAAAGACTGTGAGGCTGCTGCAAGATGTTTTTTACTTTTTTTTTTAAACATGAAAAGCAGAATAAATAAACCGTATTACCAGAAGCCTACATTGTAACTGAATAGGAGAATGTCTGCTTTCGTTTTCACCGAATTTTCTAGTTAACAAGTTTCTACACATTCTGTTGCTTCCTTCGATTTTCTAGCGCCACCACTGGCAGTAAGGTCTGCATTAAAAAAGGTGAGGGAGACGCAGTCTGGTATATAGCCTCTTCAGAGGAAGTTTGGTTTTTTCTTCATTTTAAGATTCTTCATTCTTTAATTCACATATCTGCAAGTTTTTATTGTTTAGAAAAAACAATTCATAGGCCAGTTGTATAGAGTAATAATACTTACGTTCTATATTAATCATCGTATGTATAGTCTATAAGTATTACTGTTCTGTACTGTTTATGTTTTATTCATTTTTCACTTGAGCTTCTATTGGAACTTCCGTCTTAACAGGCAGAATAATTTTAGCTCCATATTCCTTCCTTGATCCATTTATCTCTGCAGATAATGCTTAAGGTCTTAGCTGGTGTGATAAACTCTTATGATTCTCTCAGAGCCCAGGAGCCCAGCCCTGTTGTTGGAGACATTTGGGGGAAGGGCATGCAGGAACAGACGGGGTCTCACACAGGCATTTTTGGAGGTGATGGTTATTGTCTGCTACTTGTCAGTTATGCCCATTTTAAACGGAAACAATCATGTTTACAATGGAGAGAATTACTTGGATTGTGGATATTAGAATAGAGTTTGTCTAAAGCCTGGAAGTCAGTCGAGACATGGAGAAAAAGGGAGGCAATTACCTTAAGACACTGAATATTAGCAGGGTTTTGGCACTAAGAGGGAAGGATGATACAAGGATACGCACTGTCCTCTGGATGATGCAGGAGACACAGATAAACATGAAAAACTAGGTAACCCAAATTCCAGAATGCTTTAAATCTGTATATTCCTGCATTTTTTATGGAAAAATGTCATTTCTGTGGGGTCACTCAAGTGGAAATGTTAGCATTGGATGATAGTATCTGACCAGTATCCTGGATCAGAGGCAGGATTCTGGCCAGGAGCCTGGGAGGAGGTGCTAGGAGCGTAATTGAAAAGCATAGAGAGGTGTGTTAACTGAAGGTGCTCAACTGGAAACTGCTGTTCGTTTGTTGGAACTCTGGAGCAACATGCTGGAAGCTGCACTTGGTCACTGAATTCAGACACTGTGATACAACAAAATGAGAAGAACGTTGTTTCCCATGATGGTTGTGCTCCTGTTTTATTGTCCACTCTGTCTCCCAGACTCTTTGGGGCCGCTCTGGCAGCACCAGAGGCCTCACAGAATCTGCTGGGTTCCCTGGACTCTGTAAGAGGCAGGGCCCCTCCAAGGGAGCGGTGCGGAGGCCTCTGTGGTCAGAGCACAGTTGTGAGGTCTGCACTCTAGAAATAGCACTGCTAGAAAACCAGACGACTCCTCTCTTAAATATATTAAAGTATGCAGTCTAATGAAGGTTTGGCTGTTTAGTGTTTTATAATCTTTCTTGAAAAGCAAAAACAAATTTAAGAAAGTTCGTACAGTATTTTTAAATTTTTTTGAGGAACATCATTCTATATAAAATCCTGGTGCAGTGCACAGTGTATTCTGAAAGGCAGTCAGAAAATTGTTTGATTATAATCTTTTTTTCATATGTTCTTCGGCAGTGCTAATTTAATTCATAAAATATTTAATTCATAAGAAAGTGTTTGTATGGCCGGGCACAGTGGCTCATGCCTGTAATCGCAGCACTTTGGGAGGCCGAGGTGGGTGGATCACTCGAGGTCAGGAGTTTAAGACCAGCCTGGTCAACATGGCGAAACCCCGTTTCTACTAAAAATACAAAAATTAGCGGGACATGGTGGTGCAGCTATTCGGGAGGCTGAGGCAGGATAATCGCTTGAACCCGGGATGTGGAGGTTGTGTGAGCCAAGATTGCGCCACTGCACTCCAGCCTGAGCGACGGAGCAAGACGTTGTCTCCAAAAAAGAAAGAAAGAAAGTGTGTGCATGGCACATCCTTCATTTGTGCTCTAAAAAATTTAAGAAATTATTTTTTGATGCTTTCAGCAAATCCTGAAGGAACCCAAAGTGGCTGCTTCTGTTTTGAATCCCTATGTGAAGCGTTCCATTAAAGTGAAAAGCCTAAATGACATCACAGCAAAAGAGAGGTTCTCTCCCCTCACTACCAATCTGATCAGTGAGTATTAGAACTTTTTCATTTGAGGTGTCTTGAAACTATGACTGGAAATGTGGTCCATGGACTGTGGGCGGCATCAGCATCACCTGGGAGCCTGTTGGCAGTGAAGAATCTCAGGCCTCACAGCAACCTGCTGAATCAGAGTCTGTATCTTAACCAGCTCCCTAAGTGAATCGTTTGCACATTGAAGTGTGAGGAGCATCGTCTAAAGGATACTAGGACCTAAGCATGTCTAATTGTATAGTCAGTAGTTTCAACTGTGGAGGCGGCCAGTGTGATACCTACCAAGAAAATGGTTCGTGGCCTGTGGCTATACCTTGATCCTTGGATACATTTGCATTCTTGGGTACATTTGGACTGCTTTTCTCTTTTTGAGACAGAGTCTTACTCTGTCACTCAGGCTGGAGTGCAGTGGCACGATCTCAGCTCACTGCAGCCTCAACCTCCCAGACTCAGGTGATCCTCCCACCTCAGCCTCCCTAGTAGCTGGGAATACAGGTGCATGCCACCACACCCAGCTAATTTTTTGTATTTTTTGTAGAGATGGGGTTTCTCCATGTTGCCCAGCCTGGTCTTGAACTCCTGGGCTCAAGCCATCTGCCTGCTTTGGCTTCCCAAAGTGTTGGGGTTACAGGCATGAGCCACCATGCAGCCTGGATTGCTTTTCAGATCCTCATAGCCAGCTCAAAATAAAAGTTGCAGAGAAAGTGTGTTCATGATATCATCTTTGAATTTGTAGCCAAACATACAATCTGTAACATAAATATGAAAATCAGATTGCAAGCTGAGAACCCCCCATACCTACTAATTTAAATCCTTGTCAGTGCAGTCTATTTAAAAAAAAAAAAATTGGATATGCGTTTTAAATAACAAGTTGTATCTTCTCCATTCTTTTTTTTTTTTTTTTTTTTTGAGCCTGGGTGTCCCTTTCTGTCACCCAAGCTGGAGTGCAGTGGCACAGTCTCAGCTCACTGCAACCTCTGCCTCCTGGGCTTAAGTGATCCTTCTGCCTCAGCCTCCTGAGTAGCTGGAACTGCGCGCATGCGCCACTAATTTTTGAGTGCCCAGCTAATTTTTTAGTTTTTTTTTTGTGAGGCAGGGTTTCACCATGTTACCCAGGGTTTCACCCATGTTACTCCTGGACGCAAGCTGTCTGCCCATCTCGGCCATCCAAAGTGCTGGGATTACAGGCATGAGCCACTGCACTTGGCCTCCATTCACATTGTTAAAGAACATTGAATATACTGTGATTTTAAGAGACAAGATCTTGCTCTGTCGCCCAGGCTGGGGTGCAGTAGGACAGTCATAGCACACTGCAGCCTTAAACTCCTAGGCTCAAGCAATCTTCCTGCCTCAGCCTCCTGAGTAGCTGGGACTATAGACATGCACCACCAAGCCCTAACGTTTTTTTGTAGAGATGGGATCTCACTATTTTGGCTGGTCTTGAACTCATGGCCCCAAGCAATCTTTGCACCTCAGCCTCCAGTAGTTGGGATTATAGGCATGCGCCCCTGTATATGGTGTTTTAAGGCCACAAATCTAAGTTTGTTTTTTGGGTTGAGTATACAACTTCATGAATAACTTGTTCAGGTGAGTTTCTTGTTACTGAGACACCTTCACTCTGGCAGATTTGCTTGCTGAAAATGGTCGATTAAGCAATACCCAAGGAGTCGTTTCTGCCTTTTCTACCATGATGAGTGTCCATCGCGGAGAGGTACCTTGCACAGTGACCTCTGCATCTGTAAGTAACGGGTTGTTGCTGCTGTGTTTGCCTTGATATTACATGTGTCACCTTTTGCAGGAAGAAAAGGGAAAAACAGGGTAAAATCAAGAAATTGGGAAAGGTAACTTGTCACCTGGGATGTTTGTTTCATTTTTATATCAGCTTCTGTGACCCTTTGCTTTGGAAAAGCCAGCGTGTATCTTATTAGTGCTTCTGTAACCAGTGATTATTCATAAGGCCTGGGTTAAATGTAAAGTACATCAAAATGTGTTGGAAAAGAGTGGTTTAGACTCTATTATATGTTTGAATTATTTTATGAATACCACTTGAAGTAGTTTCCTGAAACTAGAATTCTAGAGTTTATTTTTTTGAGACAGAGTCTCACTTTGTCACCCAGGCTAGAGTGCAGTGACACAGTCACACCTCTGTAGCCTCAACCTCCTGGGCTCAGGTGATCCTCCTGCCTCAGCTTCCTGAGTAGCTGGGATTACAGTGCACCCCCACCACACCCGGCTAATTTTTGTGTGTTTTTTATAGTGATGGAGGTTTTACTGTGTTCTCCAGGCTTGTCTCGAACTTCTGGGCTCAAGTGACCCACCTGCCTTGGCCTCCTAAAGTGCTGGGAATAAAGGTGTAAGCTACCACACCTGGCCTGAAACTAGAGTTACTAACCTTTCATCTTTGGTGGTGGTGAGTGGGAAGGAGTAGAGCCGTTGGGCCTTTGTATCTTTTTGACTTGATAGTGGGCTATAATTGGCTACCGTTTATTGAACCCTACTATATGCTGGGTGCTTTATTATGTTATTCAGTATCAAAAGATTCATGTGAGATAGAAGTATAATTAACCTCATTTTACAGATGAGGAAACCGAATGCAGGGAGATGAAGTCGCTTGCCCAAAGTCATACGAGGTGGGACTAGAATTTGAACACAGGCCTCAAGGCCTCTTAGAAGTCCATTTTCCTTAGACTACACTACATTGCCTCCCTAGAATTAATTTTGTTGTTGTCTTCAATATGTATTTTCTTCCCTATGTAACTCAGTCAAATGTAGTGTAGCTTACCCTACAGGAAAACAGGGGAGTGTGGTAGATTGACTTGGAATTCGTAGCACCTGACCTCATCTAGATTAATAGATGTAGCATTTAAAGGACAGTCTAACCTTCTAGTTAGCACAGATTCAAGGAGAGGCATCCTAGCACATCATACTTACTTGCACGTTTGTAGTTCAGTAGTTGGTGCCCCCAAAACATGTGCCTGGCTGCAAATCATTACAGCTCAGACATAGGCAGGGAGCCCTCTGTGGCTGCATCAGTTATCCCTAACAGTGTGGCACAGATTAGACATTCACCTGCCCCACGGTCACCCATCATGAAGCACTGGTGCAGGCCATTCTTCAGTGAACACAAGGACATGATTTTCTTTTTTTTTTTTTTTTTTTTCTTTTTTGAGACTGAGTCTCACTCTGTCACCCAGGCTGGAGTGCAGTGGCACGATCTTAGCTCACTGCAACTTCCGCCTCCCAGGTTCAAGCAATTCTCCTGCCTCAGCCTCCCAAGTAGCTGGACTACAGCACCTGCCACCACACCCGGCTAATTTAGTGTATTTTTAGTAGAGATGGAGTTTCACCATGTTGGCCAGGCTGGTCTCGAACTCCTGACTTCAGCCAATCCACCCACCTTGGCCTCCCAATGTGCTGGGACCACAGGTGTGAGCCACCGTGCACAGCCACAAGGCCATGATTTTCTTTTAAAGGATGCTTGTTTTTGCAAAAGATTTTAGAACCAACTGTTACTAATGCTTTTGATGTTGATACTGTTGGGTGCGTGAGTCTGTACTGTTTGAAAAACGTTATGTCTTGATGAGTGACTAAGAGCACAGGCTTTAGAAATACACAGACTGGTTTCAAATATTGGGGCTGGTCCTCACCTGCTGATGTGGCCTTAGGTGAGTTTCTTACCCACCCTGAGCCTCCGTTCCCTCATATGTAAAATGGGCATAATGACCGGTGGCCTTTCAGGGTTGCCCACATGAAGGGAGATAGTAGGCATGAAATGTGCCTGGCATAGACAGGTACCTGGCAGTTGGTACATGTCTCAGTGGAGGGTATGTATATTTCAGAATTCTGTAACCTTTTAGTCTCAGTAAATCATGTTTTGAACACGAATAGATTCTGGCCACCACCAGCACCCCCCACCCCCAAAAAAAGGATATTGTTATATCTTTACAAAGACATAAATTTTTCTGCCAAATTTTTTTAGGCTCTTAGAGGAGGGGCCAGGGAGGTAGGATTTATGACAAGTTAAAAAAAGGCCTTTTTAGCAGGGTGTGGTGGCTCACACTTGTAACCCCAGCATTTTGGGAGACTGCAGCGGGTGGATCACTCAAGGCCAGGAGTTCGAGACCAGTCTGACCAGCATGGTGAAACCCCGTCTCTACTAAAAATACAAAAATTAGCCGGGTGTGATGGCATGCGCCTGTAATTCCAGCTACTTGGGAAGCTGAGGCAGGAGAATCACTTGAACCTGGGAGGCGGAGGCTACAGTAAGCCGAGATCTCGCCACTCTACTCCAGCCTGGGTGACAGAGCGAGACTCGGTCTCAAAAAAAAGGCCTTTGGTTTAACAGCCTTCTTCATTTTCACCATTAGAACACTTAACACTATAACATAACTAACCAGGAGTAAGAGTTGGGGCCGAGAGGAGAGTGCAGTCTGGACATTTGAGGTGCTTGCTCTAAAGTAGGTTATGGAGCTGAGCTGACTTCAGGAAAAGCCAACTGCTCCAGGTTCTCTCACTGGGGTTCAGAGAGTGGAGTGGCCTGCCAGAGCTCCAGGTAGCTGTGGATGCGGGGAGATGAACAGCCAGCAGAGCTAGGCAAACATGAAGATGTAAAACCAGGTTAAAATGGCAACTTTTCAGCCAAGGACATGATAGATGCATGTCGTGTCCCCAGGGCTGCACCCAGGAGAGGCCTGTGTCCTCCTGCATTGATGGGGCTGCATCTTCAGGCATTAGAAACTTGAAGGCCTTTCCTTGTTAGTTCCAAGTTGTACTGCTAGCACACAGAGCAGAGGCAGGGAGGGAGTGGCATTTACAGGCCGTCCTTGAACGGCTGAGTGGGAGCTGCCCGGGTGATGCTGTGAGGCAGGGCCTTCCTGTGCTCCCTGAACCTCCAGCGTGAACAAGGAGTGAATGCTGCAGAGCAGCTCCATGATGGGCCCAGGTAGCAAAGGGAGGAGCTCACAAGGCCTGTCTTGGTGATGTGGGCCTGGGGTATTTTAACTCTGGAAGTTTCTGTTTTGCTTTATCTAAATTGAAAGGATGGTTTTGCCTTTCAGCCTTTAGAAGAAGCCACACTCTCTGAATTAAAAACTGTCCTCAAGAGCTTCCTAAGTCAAGGCCAAGTATTGAAATTGGAGGCTAAGGTAGGTTTTAAATTATTTATGGTACGTTTTCTCGGGTTATTTTAAGCTTAAAATGGCTACAGAAAGTACTAGTGAAATATTAGATCTAACTCTATACTAATTTTTCTGTAGTTAAAATTTTGTATTTATTTTAAATTTAAATGATTATCTGACTGTGCAGTTTTACTTTTGCCTTTTTCTAGGTGTAATTATAACCTCTTACATTTGTGCAACACATTTAGCCTTTCAAAACACTTTTTTGTGTGTCCCATTTGATTAGCGCGTTTTCACATTTCCAGTCTTACTTCTTTTGTAGACTGATCCGTCAATCTTGGGTGGAATGATTGTGCGCATTGGCGAGAAATATGTTGACATGTCTGTCAAGACCAAGATTCAGAAGCTGGGCAGGGCTATGCGGGAGATTGTCTAAAAGTGTTGGTTTTCTGCCATCAGTGAAAATTCTTAAACTTGGAGCAACAATAAAAAGCTTCCAGAACAGATCATATTATGTTCACTGTCTTTTAAACTGGAATGTAGAAGGCTTTATTTTTATGTCCTTTTTTGGTATCCCCTGAGTATAAAGGCCAAAAAGCCCTTTTGGCCTAGAGAATTTGGTTTGAGTAGATTATGTTTAGGAATTAATTGGTTAGACACAGCACCTAACACATGGTCACTCAGCAAAGTCTATCTGGTCCTGCCTGCCAAAATCCCGTGTCTTTAAGGGTTTGTTCAGAGTTCCTGGTCCCTACTAGATCATCGGATCTGTGTTTGATCCATAGCCCTCCAGGGAGGCCTCTTGCCCTTGATCCTAACATGAACACACCTAGTTGTAGGCTGCTCTGTAGCTTTCAAGGCCATTTCATGTACATCTGAAGCTGCATGACAGCCTTGTCACACGGGTGGGAGAGACATCACCCCACTTTACAAATGAGGAAAGAGATTGAGGGGCCCTAGAGATGTGCTCAGAGTCACCTGTCTGGACAGCTGGTGTCAGGCCCTACAGCCCATGTTTTTACCACTGTATAACTAACACCATGCGCCGACACGTTGCTGGAGCAAACGGGCAAAAGTTACCTTAGGTAGGTCCCCTGCCCCTTCCCGCTTTGTCCCTAAGATGCTCCCAATTCACCTTTTAACCAAAACCAGTTCCCAGGTCAGCTCTTCCACTACATTTTACCTTTTGGTCTTCTAGAGAAAATAGTTACAGAGTTCCCCACGCAACAGCCCGCTCAGGTGCCTGTTCCTTAGTCAACCTCCAAGAACTTTTGGCCAACAAACCAGTTCCCTTCCCAGAACCACCCCTGGTTGGGCAGAGGCAGGACCATTGCAGCAAAGAAGTCCTACAGAGCAATGACATGGCCCAGCGCTGCTCCCTATGTGCTAGTGCTGGGACTGGCGTGCCCTCCATGTGGCACAACACTCCTGACACTCATGCTTGGCTTCAACTCCAGCTTCCTCCTGGCAAAGCTTTTAATACATGATCACCTAATGTGACAACCAACGGAGACACCACGTGGCCCCTCAGCCTTTCCAGGAACCAGGAGTGCTGAGGCCCCTCAACCTTTCCAGGAACCAGGAGTGCTGAGGCCCCTCAACCTTTCCAGGAACCAGGAGTGCTGAGGCTGCTGGCTGGCCCGAAGACCATTCAGCCACCTTTTAGGTGGGCCTAGGGCTACTCAGCTAGAGACCACATTCTTGAGCCTCTGGCAGCACCTGACCTTGGTGCTGAGTTCTGGCAAATGGGAAAGGAGAGGAAGCGAGGTGTGCCTTCCTGGACTGCCCTCTTGAGCAATCCTTAGTCCATCCCTCTAGCTAGATGCAGACAAGATGGCAAGCGATGCCAAGGGCAGAGCCACCCTGCCAAGCCTTACTGCTGCCCCTGGGCTGTTAAACACGATGAAGAAATAGACCTCTCTTCAAAGCCACGGGATATTGAGTTCTGTCTCCGCAGCTGAGTCTGCAACCTAACCATGACCACATTCCAGGTTCCCCCAGACTCACTGCCTGCCTCCTGCCTGCAGTGAGGCCTGCTCTGCAGAAGGTGGCGTCATACACACAATCACAGCTCCTACAGACATGTGACTGCCAATGGACAAACCGTCTTTGCGGGAGCCTCATGCTGCTGATGCTGCCCAGATCCTTCAGAGTCAAACTCAGCAAGCTTCCTGTTGATCAAGCACATACAATCTTGGGGAATGATGAGGCCCTTCATATGTCGCCTTACGAGGTCACCAGAGAGAACCTAGAGATCTATGTACAATGATTTGTTTTGTTTTTTGAGACAGTCTCACGCCATCACTCAGGCTGGAGTGCAGTGGCACGACCATGGCTCACTGCAACCTCAACCTCCTGGGCTCAAACCATCCTCCCACCTCAGCTGAAACTACAGGCAGTGAAACTAGAGGCAGTGCGACCACACCCAGCTAGTTTTCATATTTATAGTAGAGACAGGATCTTGCCATGATGCTCAGGCTGGCTTTAAACTCCTGGGCTCAAGTGATCACTGGCCTCAGCCTCCCAAAGTGCTGGGATTATAGGCTTGAGCCACCACACCCAGCCTACAATGATTTTCTTCACAGTATTTTTTTAAAATCAAGGTGAAAGTTTTACAGTCCCTTGTATATGGGATATTTTCGATGCATATTAGCTATTAAATAGTACAAGAGGCCGAGCGCAGCCAGGGTGACAAGAGCAAGACTCCGTCTCATAAATAAATAAATAGTACAAGAGTATTTAAAATGCACACACACACAAAAAATACAGAAATGAAGTGCATCAAAACCTTTATTTTTGTGTAGAAGAACATCTCCATTAAGTGATTTTATTTCCTTTGTGTTTTTCTTTCCTTGCTGAATTTTCTGCATTAACAAGTATTACTTCTGTAACAAGAAGAAAAACTAAATATTTGAGAATAAAAAGTATTGCCTTGATTATGCTGGCTACTAACCGTGGTTAAATAGGTAATAATTACATGTTTTGTACTAGTGATTCCATCCACTCTCTGGTCTGTGTGAGGGGGCCCTCATCAGACTTGGAGAGAACTAGGTATAGTTGGGAAAGTTAATTATTGCATTTGTTTTTAATGGCATTTAACTTTTTATTTTTAAGACAGGGTCTCACTCTGTCACCCAGACTGGAGTGCAGTGGCACAATCATGGCTCACTGCAGCCTTGGCCTCCTGGACTCAAGAGATCCTCCTGCCTCAGCCTCCCAAATACCCGGGACCATGAGCATGTGCCACCATGCCTGGCTGATTTATTTTTTGTAAAGACAAGGTCTCACTATGTTGCTCAGGCTGGTCTTGAACTTCTGGATGCAAGCAATCCTCCTGCCTCAGCCTCCCAAAGCACTGGGATTACAGGTGTGAGCCACCACATCCAGCCTTAACTTATTTTTAAAACTTCAAATAACAACCAAGAAAAGGGCATACGATTTTATGTTCTTCAAAAATGGGGCATACTAGTTTTAAAAAGGCAAAGACATACTGCTGTAGGGTCAACTTTTTAAAAATGTGCTATGTCACAATTCAACTAGTGTCCAAGCCAGCTAGAGAATTTAAAGGACTTATTTATAGTCAGTTAAATCAGTGATGAAATAGGTAGGAATGGCCTTAAAACCAGAACAGGAGGAAACAACCTAATACAATTCAGCGTTGGGTTTTATGGAACGCAGAATTATAGATCACCCAAGTGCTGAACACGTGGAGTTACGTGTGTTAGAAACTTCTTCCTGGAAATTCAGCGACCCTTCTGAATGTCTTTATAAGAAAATCAGCTTTTTGCACCGCCCTCTCAACCCCACCCTCAGAATTTCTTATGCTGTACAACACAAAACTTCTCCTGTTCTCACAAAGACTTCGTACACAGAAATCTATTTCTGCTTGGTGTTAGCTAACATTTATCTGAAGCCGCAGGACAGCTGAAAGGGTTGTTGGTTGGTTTTGTTTTCTAGGTTTATTTCTGCACAATTTTCCTTGCACAGCTACAATCTTATCTGTGGGAAGAGGAAGAGACACCATTTGCAGGGCTGTTAGCTTCCTGTGCTCTCAGAAAAGAGTGAAGCAGAAAGAACCCAAAATAATCCACTATAACAGATTGGCTTTTCTCCTTTTATTCATGAACTATTTGAATTTAAACCACACAGGTCAAAATGACCAAAGAGTTGTTTTTTGTTTTTGTTTTTGTTTTTGAAGAGATTGTTCTTTTTAGGTTCAAGATACACAGGAAGAGCAATTTGTACTGATGTTGCTACTGGTTTAAAGAAAGGTCTCAGTTACCATCATCTTAATCGGTAAAATTTAACATTTCACACATAATAAGTTGCCAAAGGAACACTCAAACAGCAAAAACAAACCTCAGCTTCTTTCAAACAAAAAAGAAGAAACAATGTTTTGGCCCTGCTTCATCAAACCTTTAGACAAATACGTAAGTCTACAATTTATAATAGTGTCTAGTAATTCTTAGAATTCCATTAACATTACATATCAGACAATATAGTCTCTCTTTTATGGAAAATTAAACAGTACCATTATTTGGCAACAGAAGTATATTACAATCAACAGCACATCCATCAAGGGGCGGGCCTGGTCCTACCCCTGGGCAGGGCTGTGAGGGAAGCAACATGCCACCAGCACTGTGGCCCGCTTGTCACTGGAAGCACAAGGAGCTCACGTTCTGATGGATTACATTCTTTTCCAAACAGGCAAAGGCTATCTGGGAGGGTTCGCTAGCACTCCTGGGAAGGGAGGGCCCCATGTTCTAGCTTTTCTTGTCCCCAGACTTTTTTGAAACAACCAAGGCCCAAGGGACAGTTGACTGGCTGACTTGTTTCCACTCACAGCCCTCTTGCCACCCCAGCCAGAGGGCATCGTTCTAAGGAAGGAGAGTCAGGGCCTGTTTGGGGTTGGTAGACCAGAGCTCATCTCCTCTGCTGGCAGGCCTTAGGTGGCCTTCCAAGGCTGCGCCTGAACAAAGAAATCTCTGAACAGCTCCATCTTTGGGAATAAAGCCAGTTATGGACCACATGGACAGTGCCTCTAAGTGATTTGCAGATTATTCATGCACCTAAATAGATTCCAGGAAGCTTCCAGAAATCACAGCTTCCCATACTCCTGAAGTCAGCAGCTTTACTGGTTCGGGCCTCTCAAAAAAGGGGCTCCAGTTGCTGGTTGACAGCATTAAGATGCACGCAGCCTGTTCAAAGAAATGTTGAAAACCTAACACATTCTTCAGATGTCTTTTCAGACCACAGGCCCTCAACCTTCCACCAGCGGTGTCACCCCCAAACACAATGCATTCAGATCACCAGAAACCAGCTCTTTTTGTTACTGCAGTATTTCCAGGCTGCCAGGGGAGGCTGGACTCCTGGGGTTGCCCCCTCCTGAAATCATTTCTGAATGCCTTTCTCAGGGGTTTAGACATTGAGTTTCACAGAATCCTCCTTAGGTGGCCTAAGGGGCACTTCTGGTGGCCAAGTACAGAAAGTCTGTGCCCCAGAAGCAGCCTGGACTTCTGATCCTTTTCTGGGAATGCAGACGGGAGGAAGGCATCTTCCCCCTGGGGTCTCCATGGAAACATGGGCATCCAGAAGCCTGCCCCAAAACGGCTTAACTCAGAAACCCTAAACCATCCATCCACCCACCTGGCTATGCAACAGTTGAAGACAGTGAGGATGCATCAGGAAATTTCATGGAAAACGCAAACGCTAATTAGGGATAAACTGAATCAATCCAGATACAGAAGTAGAAAGGGCGACCTGGAAGTCAGAGAGTGGCCTCTCTAGTGGGATAGCTGCGTCAGCCCCAGATCCCTAACAAATCCACTAGAACCCAAGGAAGCCTGCGTGGCACATGGATCTGATGAAAAACAGGCTCCCTATCCTCTCATCCTTCCTGACACAAGTACCCTCTCAGATATGTGATCTGCAAAAATCCATTTTTAATGCAACACCAAGGTCCCATGCGAGGTCATAGCTACAGGATACTTTTCATTTGATCACGCCACCATCCATTACACTGAAATTTATCATATTTCCTGCAGGAAAAAAAATGACTCATTTGATTTCTAACATATACAACTTGGAATTTTTTTTTAATATAAGAAATTTAGTTGAGTTGAACCCAAGTAATCTCATTAAGCATTTTCTACTCTTGGAATAGGTTTTAAATTTTTTTCTATAGTTTTATGCACTTAAATTAGATTCCTAAAATACTCTCATATACATACAGAAAAATAATCTCTCAATGACAAATCACATTTTACAATAACAAGTTAAATATTTTTGACTACAGAATCTGTGTTAGTTTATGCAACATTTAACAGCATGGCCTCTTACATACCATATATACATTTAGTCATGGCCATTCCATAAACATACAGCAGAGATTTCATGAGGAACATGAAATGAATACAACCTTTTCCCTTTATATAGTGGGAGTTCGCCTTTTTCTTAGCTGGAAACAGCACAGAATGTAGAAAACCGGAAACTGAGCTGATTATCATCCACAGGACATTTTTGTTGCAGTTTCTCATCTGTACACATGTATTTACACATAAGTTCACCACCTATACGTGTGAGGGTACAAAGCTGATGGAGCTAAGGCAATACAACACGGGGTGGGCAGGGGCCAACTCCCCTATCTATGCAGGGCCACCAAGGGATAAGAAGGGTCATGGAGGGCACAGACTCCGGCTTGCGGGGCTACAGCAGATGAGATCTGAGGTTGATTTCACAGTTCAAAGATACTTGGGCTATTGGCCATGTAGGCTTTAAATGCATGTCTAAAATTAAGTAGCATTAACATAGATCTTGCTAAAATATCTACTTTCTGTCACAGTGAATGTTTAGCAGATGACATTTTAAGGATATTGATTTATAGAATGTACCTCAAATGTTCATTCATTAAAACTAATGCTGACACGCTATTAATGAAATGCCCCTGGAGAACACTTGCAGAACTTCCCGTAGTCCGGAAGATTGCATGACGCATGAAAACAAAGCCATAATTTGTTATGTCATTCAAGGTGACTCAATCAAATCCAGGTGAGATGAGTTTGCAATTTCTGTCAACATTTTTACTTAGCAAATATAATCCCAGACAGAATCAGGAAACATAGTGAGGATTATTGCTCAATGTATATGGAGATGGGGACCTACTTGCAAAAAGCAAATGGAACTGCAAACATTTTGGAGCGTCCAGCCCAGGAAAAGTAAAAGCTCGTGAAAGAAAGCAACAACAGGAAGCCCAGCTTCATGGTCAGCTGCCTCCCGGGGCCATGGTCTTCTAGAACTTGAGGCTACTTACACAGAGGGATCTTTTCTCTCCTACCATCCCCATACATGGGATCCTAAGGGGAGAGTCTAGCTGGGAGGTCGCAGCCTCTCCGAAGCAGGTTCCTCCCAGACACCCGCAGACCAGATCGTGTGGCCCAGCTGGGCAGGGAGGCACTGGCTCCGCAGACTCCCCTTCTCTCCAGGGGGTGAAGGCTGGAGGAGCAAGTGTCCAGCCACTGGGGAAGGGACACTGAGCACTTCTATGACCCTGCTTCTCTTTGAAGGCAGAAGGTTGGAAAAGGCTTGCTGTCCTCCCAGGAAAGGGGAGAAAAGCTCCCAGTGGATGCCCAAGGCCCAGAGGAAGGGTTTTATTTCCAAGCAGTGAGCTCAATGGTAAAGGCTCACAGCTGCTTGACGCCCTGTGGCCCATCCTGAACTGGGAGCCCAGAGCTCCTGCCACCACCGGCAACCCCCTCTCCAGCCTTGGGGTACAGCTGTGAACTAGGGGCTCGGTTCCACACCCACTAGCTAGTCCAGGCCATTTGTGCTTTTAGGAAATAAATGCAGACGTTTAGAAAAGTGTATCCGCGCAGCTTGCCACAGCCTGCCGGGAGACCTTTCAAAGTAAGAAGACCTAAGACAGAGCCCATCAGCTTCGGGAACCAGCAGAGAACAGTGTGGTCAGGGCCGGCCTCCTGGGTGTGCTGCCTGGCAGCCACAAGGGGCTATGCACTCAGAAGGGACCTGAGCTTGGCTTAATGCTCTCCTCTCACTGTCTAGAAATGCTTCATCACCTGAACAAGGGGCCTCGCATTTTCATTTTGCACTCTGTCCGCAAACCACGCGACTAGTCCTGACCAGGATGACAGGACTGTGGAGCAACGTATTTCCTGTTTCCCTCTCCAAGGCACAGAGCCATGCATCCCCCTAGGTGTGGGTAGGTACACACGCATGCGCACACATGCACGCACACGCACGCGCACACACATACACATATGCACGCACACACAAACATGCACATGCATACACGCACATACACACGCACACACACGCACACACACAAATACGCACACACGCACAAACACATGCACTCACAAACATGCACACACGCACACATACACGCACACACATGCGTGCACACACACGTAGACACACACACATGCACACACAAACACGCGCACGCACACACATGCATGCACGCAAACCCATGCACACACACGCACACGTGCACGCACAAACACATACATGCACACGCACGCACAAACACGCATGCACACACCACGCACTGAGCTGCTGCGTCCCACCAACAAAAATTCCCTTCCACCTAAAATTCCAGAAGTCAAAGTCTACAAGTAGAGACTGTAATCCAATCCCAATAGAGCACACCGTAACTCCTAGAACGCTTGCTGGGGAGCAGGGCCTCCTCCAGGTCACCTGCCCTGCAGTCCACCCAGCCGACAGACACTAAAGCTGATGCAGAAAGGGTGGGAAGCCTGAGGACCTCCGTGCAGCCCCAGCCTCAGCGGCAGGGAAGAGCAAGGTCTCACTGGAGACCCCTGGCGCGCTAGGCTTGAACCCTAGGCTCGCCGCGAGCTTCCTTCCCACCCAGCCTTCGGTCTCTGCCAGGCCCACATTCCTAGCTCTGAGTCCGTTTTCCTGTCTTCCCCTACACCCCACATCACCAATAACTCCTTCTGCGATCTACACAAGAGCAATGCCTAGCAGCTGCGGTAGGTGGAGCCGGCACCTTGAAATCTGCCAGTGAAAACAGCGAGTTTCCTCCTCCTACAGGGAGACCCTCCACCCCCGCCGGTGACAGTGCACAGAATGGCAGCGGCTGCTGCTCACCCAACGCTGCAAAGCCACTACACCCTTTCTTTGGTTCCTGTCTGCCTGAGGCCCCCATTCTGTTTAGATACAGGAACGGCAGGAAATAAGAGATTTGAGTTAAAAAAGAGAAATGCAAAAGCGAAGAGAAGCAGAGTCGCACAGGAATGTTATTCTTTCAAAAGATAAAAGTATAAAACCAGAACTTCTGGAAGAAGAAAATACGCATTCTTACCACTGCCTAAAAAGAAACCTTAGTTTCTGGTTAATCCTCAGGAAATATCAGAGAAATGCTGATTTTTTTTTTTTCAAGGCTGACCAAAAAGTCCACTTCTGAACACAGCTTTATCTGGTGGGCTTTGAATACTAAAATATTCATACTAGGCAGATGATAGTAACAATATAGGCTGGTATAGAAAATCGAACAGAATCCTATTAAAACACAACTCACAAAACACCCCTGACATCCAATAAGGGGAAACTGACCCTGAAATTTGACAAGCACACATAGTGTCAGAAAAATTATGATGTGGGTGTAATATGGCTCCCCCAGGGCCAGGGTAAAGAGGGTTCCTTTGAATGGAGGAACTGATTGAGGCTGCATGGAACTAAAGAAGTTATTGGGAGGTGGATATGAACTCTTTTATAAGCGTTGGGTCTTATTTTAATGACTTAAAGTTAGTTTGCCATCAAAAGCAATGGCAAAAACCGCAATCACTTTTGCACCAACCTAATCCAATTAGGCTTGCTTGAATGCCACCAAGGCAGGCCCGTCCAGCTGCCGCCCAGCTTCTAGGAGGGTGGCCTGGACCAGGATGGGGACTCCCTAAATGAACAGTGCATTAACTACTAAGATGTTTCTGAGAGATCACAACCCAGAGATGGACTGTCTAGTGTGTCTTGGTGTCTGGGTTTTAATGCTCCCAAGACAGACAGCTGTTAGATGTCTTCTGTCTTTCATGTGGACTAAGTTTCCATGCCTATCAGGAATAGATTTTTTTTTTTCTGGCTCCTACAGATATAAGGTTATGTATCTTACTTGATCCTGATGAAATGCAGACATATCCTGGATCTGATACAGTGCAGGCTGAGGAAACAGGAATTCTAGAACTTTCCTTTCCTCTAGCTCAAATAAACTGTGTTCCAAGTACAAAGAAGCAGGATCCAGAGGAAGCTGTGGGGCGCCATTAAGTTGACCAGCCAATTACTTCCTCCGTGTCAGGTCTAACCAGAAGAGGTCTGCATTAGCTCTTTTTTTGTTTGTTTTGAGAAGGACTCTCGCTCTGTTACCCAGGCTGGAGTGCAGTGGCGTGATCTCGGCTCACTGCAACCTCCGCCTCCCAGGTTCGAGTGATTCTCCTGCCTCAGCCTCCTGAGTAGCTGGGATTACAGGTGCCTGCCACCACCCCTGGCTAATTTTTGTATTTTTAGTAGAGACAAGGTTTCGCCACGTTGGCCAGGCTGTTCTCGAACTCCTGACCTCAGGTGATCCACCTGCCTCAGCCCCTCAAAGTGTTGGGATTACAGGTGTGAGCCACCGCACCTGGCCGGTTTGCATTATTTCTCTGAAGAACCCCACACAAAGCAACATTAATTGATCGGAACCATTCAAAATAGAATAAAAATATCCAAGGGCTCGAGGGAAACATTCACTCTAGAAGGCGGGCCCTGGGCTACTGCACATGAAGTACAAGCCACTGCGACAAGGAGAGCAGGGACTGAGCCACGTCTTCATCAGAAACCGGGCTGGCAGGCACATGGCAGTGGCAGGGGATGCAAACGGGCCTAAGACTGCTTCTCCTGGAATGGGCTGACCTGTGGGTCCCCCAGGAGGAAGCTGCAGGGAATGCATCCCTTGGCCCCCAGGATAGCTCTCATCAGGCTCCTCTAAAGCCTGTAAGGTCACTGGGCAGAAGAGCTAGAGGGAGCTGCCCCGTGAATGGCAGCTGTGGTTTCTTTGCACCCTCAGTCTTTCTGCTGCTTTACGATATCACCTCATGAGTGCAGCCTGACGGACAAGGAAAGCCCACCTTCCTCTAGAAGGGGCCCAGGCAGGTAGGCAATTACACTGTAGCTGGGGAAAAAAAGAAAGAAAGAAAATGCCCCCCATTTGATCAAGCATTGAACGTCCCTAAAATGAACTGAGTGTCTACGTGCAGGAGGCTGCTAGATCAATGTCATGGGAATTCCTGAGCCCCCCTCACTAGTGCAGGTTAGGGCTGTTCTAGAGAAGTACCTGCCACTCATACTTAATACAAGCCTGTTTCTGTCCCTGAGATCCGCCCCAGAACCTAGGCTGGCCTAGCAATCCTCATCTGAGCTCAGCCTTCCCAGAAATGGATTCATCTTCTGGGTCATTTGAACAAATGAACTGAAAACATAGAGAAACACAAGCATTTGGTCTCACTGGTCCACTCCAGGGAAAAGGAGGAGAATGAACATTCTAATGATATACTAAGCAGCCCCTGGGCCATTCATGGAAGTAAGGGGAAGTCTCTAGCAGGAATTTCAGCACCCCACGGTGCAAAAAGAAGGAGGTGTTAGTTTTCCCTAATGCCTCTTATGGTGGCTCAGACTATACTGTCTGAGGGCTTCATCATGCTACCGGTTTCTGGGGCTACTGGTTATGCTTCTGCCTGGTGTGAGCTAAAGCTCTTTTATCTAAAAGCAAAACAAAGCAATCCAGGTGCCTTTGTTTTCATCTCACTTTCTGGCATAGGATGCTCTAAACTTGTAAACAAGCATATCTGGACCAAGCAGACCTGCTGCTAATTGCACACTCACCTCGAGCCCAAAATGACCCTGTTACATCCAAAGCACACCAGGTATTCATGTAAAAGTGCTAGTGTCTGCTATAAAGCACATCGCTAACCTTGAAAAGGAAGGGAGAACTTAGAAATCAAATCAAATCAAATCATACTTTGTTTCCAATGGAAATTCTTAAAGTTGTTACACGTACAAAACACATTTTCTTCTTATCAATCAAAAAGGCCCAATCAACTAGAAAAAAACGACTTGGAGTGGAGATAGAGAAGTCTTTTTCTGCTTATACAAGGTACTGGCCTACTCTAAAATATACTCCAAGAGCTTCACCTTTTCAATAAAGCCAGAAGTGCCTTGTCCATTTCTCCCTTCATCTTCAGCCCCATCAGATTCTAGAACATCCTGGTTCTGTGTGGTCAGTGGCTTTACACTTGTCCTAGCCAGTTCCTGGAGAGACAGCCGGCCTGCTTAGCCTTGGAAGGCAGACCTGCAAGTGTCCTTCCCTGCTGGCGCTAGCACCTAATCCCCCTGCCACCCCAGAATACTCCCCTGGAGGACACCTGGGCTTTGGTACCAGGTCACCGAGATAAGACTTAATGTGGGTGGTCAATTTACTCATAGTCTGATGGGATTTTTTCCCCAGTTAAATTCAGGGCTACTCTACCCAAAGAAATCAGTTAGTTTCATACACTTAGGTCATACTTTAGGTTGTTTAAAAAAAGCAAAGAAGAAAAAAATGCCTCCTCTTACATGAATGTTCTTTGGGAGCAGAGCTCTTTCCTCTGCTATCAGAGGACAGGGACATATTATCCAAACAAACAAGGAAGTCTGGCTCTAGTTTCTCAAGCATCCCTGGTGACCTGCACCTAGAAAGTCCCTCTTTCCAGATTAGTCCAGGCCTGGATCCGAATGAGCCACATCTTCAGGCTCTCATGGTCACAGCAAACCTGGTTCCAGGAGATGATGCTGTCCATCCACCTGCCAGGGTGATGCCAGCAGCCAGACAGGCCCTGCCCCAGAGGGACCAGGATGTGGACTCTGCCTTCTAGAGAACTGCTCTGTGAAGAAGGCTCAGCCCAAGAGGTCCCAGGATAGTTCAGTTCTCAGGGAAGACTGAGGGTTACAGCATAACCCTATGACCAGCACAGCCCCTTCTTGGGCTAAAGGAGATCAGAGTGTGCAGGAGAAGCTAGCAGTGTGGCTCAGAGCAGAGGAACGCTTGCAGGGGTGTCTAAAAGGCTGGGATCAGGATGCCGGGATGCAGTGGCCTAGAGAACTCCTATATTTAGAAAACAAAGAGCTAGGAGACAGACTCCTTGTTGGCAAGGAGCATTTAATTTCTATGAAATATAGCCCAGGTGGTCAAGAAGGTAGAGGTGAAGGAACAGAGAGGCCCAATGGTTTGAGACTCCATGCATCACCCATGTTTCTCAATCCCTGTGACACAACTCATGAATCACAGCTGGGTCCGAGGGCCAGCCCGACTCCTCCATACGGACAATTGGTTACATTACAAATTACACCAGTAAATACAAGGACACTAATCCAGAACTTGCTACATGGCAGGAGCATCTCAAGGATGCTCAACAGAGTCACTTGAGGAAAAAGAGTCACATATTGCTTTCTCATGCTACATTAATTCCAATAATAGGACACTATGAGTGGGTGACCTGGGACCTAAAACGATTGTTTGTCATTGTGCATACCATACGCTACCTACATGAACAATGATGTCCAACATTAACACGCAAATAAAGTCAATGAAGAAAAGACAGGACAGAAAACAAAAAGAGATCGGAATGGTGACCCACACTACCCCATTTACACATTGAATACTTTTCTTTCTACCATGGTAGCATATCTTTCATAAATACACTAAACAAACGGTGTTGGTTATAGAAATAGGAAAGCATGAGTTGCATGTCTATTTATAGATTTAATTTAAAAGTTTCTTAACAACATCAAAAAATATAAACTTAAAGTATTTTAACCATGTTTTCTGCTGGGAAATGGTAAACAAATGCATGCCTGAAGTTAAACTTGGTCTCTAACATGTTCAGTTGAAAGTTTCTAACTACAGGGTATATTTGCTTGTTTCAAAAAATACTTATGTCTGTTGTTCTTGATACAAAATTCTACACTATCTTCAATAAATAAATAATAAAGTATTTCTTAAAAGTATGAAATGTAAACTTTGTTGTCCTTTCCAACACACACTTTTAAAAAAATTGCTTGAAGTATGACCGGGCTCTCATGGGAAATGATAACACTACACATTCAGTTCCCAGCAAAGGAGGTACTCTGCCACAACGCTGATGCTATCATTTAGAAAGCACTTTGATAACCCTAATTAAAGTCTAAGGACCTACAATCAAAGAGAACACCATCTAGTACAGGAAAGCTAGACTCCAGTACCAACAGAACATGCAAAGGACATTTCATGACCACAACAAACTAGGATTATGAGAATATTAACATGCAAACAAAACACGGCCCCCACTTTTCATTAGCAAATCAAGTTACTATCTAACTAACCAGATGATCTCCTGGCATTTAAGGGAAAAAAAAATTAAAGAACTCAA
Organism: Homo sapiens; assembly: GCF_000001405.40. Taxonomy (NCBI): domain Eukaryota; kingdom Metazoa; phylum Chordata; class Mammalia; order Primates; family Hominidae; genus Homo; species Homo sapiens. Next base: position 33,889,511 of record NC_000021.9, on the reverse strand, counting down.
ACCAAACAGCTTGGCACATAGTCATAAAGTCCTGACTCTTGCAACAAGCATATTATGTGAGGTTGGGGTGGTGGAGGGTGGAAAAGTGTCTTAGGTCTTTGCCCCGGGATGTGCGGGGCTTGCATCCTCCTAGGGTCTTTCACCCACCACATAATGGACTGCCTTCATTTTCTTTCCCAACCTCCAGCTTGATATTTTTCCTTTTCACGCCTTGGGGATCTAGGACATGGCTTTTTGGGGAACGTACCAAAAAGAGCTGTTGAAATGTCCTACAACAATCAGGATTCAGCACATTCAAGCACAGAACAGGTCACCAGCAACGACTGCTGCTATGAAATATCACAGGCCTCCGAGCCAAAAGAGATTTTTCCAACATGGCTGCCAACCGAGACCCAGTGACCCAACATTGTAAAGTTGCCTTTCCAGTGACCTGTAGTGATCTGATCCAGCAGAGGGGTGACTTTCTAGATAATGACTTTCTGTGACCATATTCTAAGCATGCTGGGAATCAGAACTGAATCCACGCAACAATACACCAGTGTGTTTTCATTGACATATATTAATACAAGGCCTAGAGGGGGAAGGAACGGCTATAACGGTGCACATGCTGGAAACTTCCATAGACCAGCTCTTCAAAGAGCTAAGCCAGGGCCTGATCAGACCGTCTCACCGAGTGATCAGCTCTAGGCAGCATTTCCCTGCAGGAGAGATGGGATTCTGAAGCAATGACAGGACCGTCATAATTGTTTCTAAACTCACACCAAGGACTGGGCATTGTAGGCCAAGAAGTCTACTTGGGGACTGGTGGATGTAAGAAACAGGAGGGTTACATGAGTTCTCCAAAAATATAGACATTGCATTTATAAATCTATTTTATAGTAACCAGACCCATCCCTCAAGCCCGGGAAGGGGCTAGACTCCCAGCTGCACCCTGTTGAGGGCTATGGGATTTCAGCGACCCTAGAAGCCATAATGAGACCTGTAGTGAGGACAAAGGAAAACACAGCTTTGTTTCATGAAACAGGAAATTGTTTCGGGGCAGGGAGGATTGTCGAGAATGATTCCTAGGAGCTTTGAGGGGCCTGTCTTTGCCATCCCATATCCCTGTGACTGAATACCAAATGGTGGTTTCTTAGAAAAGGAATACAATTTCCAGACAGCATGTGTGGCCGTGGGCTGGGACCCTGCTGAGCACACCCTGAGCCCGCTGCCTACGGCTCATCAAACAACTGCAGGTCCAAGCGGACCACAATCTCTCCCGTGGGGACTTCGTGCAGCAGAAGACACTTCGTAACTGGACCTTTGGAGCCCTGGTCTTTCTTGATGTCCGCCACACGGATCTCCGTCCGACCCAAAAAATCTGAAAAGAGAACAAACAGACCCTCCTAAGAGGGACCATTCCCTCTCTTCGAGGCACATGTCTGGCATATTGGGGACCCCCTGATGAACTGTTATGCTCTCCCTTCTTCTCTGGGCTCTGATGTAAACCAACACTAGGATTTCCAACTCGCTCCCCAGCGGAGTTGCCAATGTGTCATGGTATTTCATTACTTAAATAAAAAAAAAAACCCAACCCCAACCTTTATCTCTCAGAATTAGAAGGTGGCCGGGCACAGTGGCTCGCGTCTGTAATCCCAGCACTTTGGGAGGCCGAGGCAGGAGGATCACTTGAGTCCAGGAGTTTGACACCAGCCTGGGCAATAGAGTGAGACCCTGTCTCTACAAAAAATTTTTAAAAATTAGCCTAGCATGGTGGTTCATGCCTGTCATCCCTGCTACTTAGGAGGCTGAGGCAGGAGGATTGCTTGAGCCTGGGAGGTGGAGGCTGCAGTGAGCTGTGATTGCACCACTGTGCTCCAGCCTGAGTGACAGAGCGAGAACAACAAGAAAAAAGATAAATAAATAAAAAAAATAAAAAGAAAAAAGAATTAGAAGTTGACAGTACACATAGTAGTTAAGAGCCCAGACTTGGGAGCCAAACTGTTCCAGTCACACTCAAACATTTAACCAGCTACCACAACGAGTACCTAACTCACAATGAGATAATTCATATAAAAAGTACTAAAAGATGAAGGCCATATGGAGCCATTTAAACCTTGTACAGATAATGCTAGCATTTGACCCTCACTTCTTCGGTTATAATTAAGTTGAGACCATAATCTTTTAACTTACTCTGTGATTTTTTTTTTTTTGGAGACAGGATCTTGCTCTGTTGCCCAGGCTGGAATATAGTGGTACCATCATGGCTCACTGCAGCCTCGACCTCCCAGGCTCAAGCAATCCTCCTGCCTCAGCCTCCCGAGTAGCTGGAACTACAGGTGCATGCCACCATGCCTGGCTAAGTTTTGTATTTTTTTGTAGAGACAAGGTCCCACTATGTTGCCCAGGCTGGTCTTAGACTCCTGGGCTTAAGCGATCCTCCTGCCTCAGCCTCCCAAAGTGTTGGGATTCCAGGCCTGCAGCACCATGCCCACCGGTGATTTTTATTGGGTTGAGGGAGAGACAGGTAGTTTCTTGGAATCATTGGGCTGAGACTATTCTTTTCCAGGCCCAAGCAGAAACAGAAGGCTGGCTGAAGAAATGATTCATTCAACATGACTGCATCCCTTTGCCTACTTAATAAGTGGTACAAAAATGCCACCCAAAGGGACCTGGCCCATTCTGCGGCTCCTGTTGTGGGCTAACATCCTTGTTCCATTGGCCAGTTTCATCCATTGCCAGCACAGCTTTTTGCCAAGGACTGAAGAACTATGCTGAGGCTCTTAAACACACCCCTCTCCACAGTCACCTGCTTTGGAAAGCAGAAGATGGACGTGTTTGCCCAGGGCAGCTGGCACAATTCTAGACCAAGCATGCTCTGTCCACATGCAATGAGACGCCTCCAGAAGACTCCTCCAGGGGAGACAGAGCCTCGTCTTGTGCCAGCCAGCCTCATCTCTCAGGAGGGAAACCGAAGGAATCCTGGCACCAAGTCCCCAGGTAAGAAAACATTAACCCACGCAAACGAGTGCCAGGGAAGGAGGAATAACCACAGGGCCGCGTTCCACTCACCATCTGGTGAGAACTGGTCCCTCTCGAACACAGTGATGCAGAGGACTTCCTGCTCCAGGTCTCGGATGAAGAACTGGCAGTTGGAATTCCACTTGGGGTTCAGAGTGTCCTGGATCGTCTTGGTGATGTGGCACTGGGAACCCATGGTCACCTCACAGTACGGGTTGCTCTTTCCTGGAGGGAACAAAAGCCTTCGCCAGGTGGAACTCACACCTCATTTTGATCTCCACTCTTTTTTTTTTTTTTTTTTAGATGGATTCTTGCTCTGTCGCCCAGGCTGCAGTGCAGTGGTATGATCTCAGCTCATTGCAACCTCCACCTCCTGAGCTCAAGTGATTCTCCTGCCTCAGTCTCCTGAATGAATAGCTGGTATTACAGGTGGCTGCCCCCATGCCTGGCTAATTTTTTATATTTTTAGTAAAGACGGGCTTTCACCATGTTGGCCAGGCTGGTCTCAAACTCCTGACCTCAGGTGATCCACCTGCTTTGGCCTCCCAAAGCACTGGGATTACAGGTGTGAGCCACCATGCCCGGCCGCTCCCCACTCTTAATAACTGCTATGCTTAATAAGTGTCATTCGGTGGAGAATCCGGGTGGAAACTCCCAGAAGTCAGCTTCATCCTTAAACTAAAAACAAATACTTAATTGAGTGGGCTTTGAAACTAGGCCCTTCCTGTCTCGTTACTTTGGCCTGATCTTGTGTCACATCCACTGTGAATGCAGCCACTCAGATCCCTCGGAGAAGCAGAATGGTAGAAAGGATGGAAAAAAAAACACAAAACCTCCAGGTTTTTAACAAGTGCTAGTTAAACCAATTCTGGAAGGAGATCAGGGAGTATGGAAATAGCACATTTGATCTAGAGCCAGGTGGGGGTGTGGGGAACCCGGACCCTACTCCCAACCCCAAAGCAGGAGCCGGGGGCGCCTCACAGCCTTACCATGTGACCGACAGGGTTTCAACTCGATGCCTTCAACCACGTTCACCATCAACCTTCCAATGCCTGTTGCCCTTTGGGAACGGACTATGACGGCAGGAAAAACACAAAATGCTTCATTTGAACGTGCCACACCTTTCCCATCTCTGTGAGCCTCACAATGCATTTCATGTACCTCTCCCGACTCAAAAGTAATTCTTCCCTCTCCTTAAACACTTGCTTCCTTGCTCCTGGAATTTGCCCTCCATCCCCATCTGCATCCCACCCCAAGCTCACTTCCATCTCATTCCATGCCCCTCCTCTAGGTCCAGGGGATTCTTCTATTCTGAGGATTTTCAGCCCAGCCAAATGGCCCTCCCTCCTGCCCAGCTGTGCAGGACACCCCGCGGGGCCATGCATTACCCAGGTACGCTTTCTCGCGCTTCTTTTTCTCAGTCTCTATGTAGAGTTCAGAAGCAGCTTTGATTTTCTGCACCCAGGCAGTCCTTGGACAGAAAAAGACAGAAAGTTGCCAAACAGAAACTCAGGAAAAAGGCTTCAGGTCTGTTCAAACACTGTTGCCAGGACTCTGTTTCTTTGTTCATTTGATTTTAACAACAAAGGCTCGGGAAAGAAAATCTGATTTTATGTCACGTGACGCTAATACTTATTCCTGCCATCGATAAGAAAGGCATGAGGGCCATTTCCATGGATGTCCTCAAGACCTGCGATGATGTCCCCGGGGAAGAAAATCTGTGATAGATGCTGTCTTGGAGGCAACATCGGGACACGACTCCTCTTCCTTCCTTACCGAAGAGCAGCACATATTTGCCTAATCCAACAAAGCCAGAAGGATCTCGCTTATGAAATCACGCAAAGAAAGAACAAAAACCACTTCCCAGATTGGGAACCACTTCACACGAAAGACCAAAACGCCTTGGGGGAAGGCATTTGTGGCCGCGGTTTTCTCCTTCATTTTTTCTGAGAACCATATGCACAAAAGCTTTAGCCAATTTTCTTGCTTGGTGCAAATGCTCTTTGGAATGATGCTGGCCTTGTGTCAAGTTCACCCTTCAGAAAATGATCTATTTCATTTGGCTCCAGGGCAGTGTCTTGAAGACAGATTGAAGCAAAATACCCACAGCCCTAGGTTCCAGAATGCCCATTTAAGTCAGCCAAGGTGAGGAGAGGTTTGGGTTTGCGTGGTCCTATTAACCCCGAAATTACTTTCCTATTGGTTTCTGCCACCTGGGAAGCCAGGGGAAACCTGAGATGCTCTGTTTACCTCAAAGAATGCGAAACATTTCTTAATAAAACAACAACAACAACAACAACAATGCCAGGTGCAGTGGCTCACCCCTGTAATCCCAGAATTCTGGCATTCTGGGAGGCCAAGGCGGGTGGATCCCTTGAGCCCAGGAGTTTAAGACCAGCCTGGGCAACATGGCAAGAACCCATCTCTACAAAAAAATATAAAGAATTAGCCAGGCTTGGTAGCACATGCCTGTAGTCCCACATACCTGGGAGGCTAGGGTGGGAGGATTACCTGAGCCCAGGAGGTTAAGGCTGCAGTGAGCTGTGACTGCACTACTGCACTCCAGCCTGGGTGACAGAGTGAGACTCTGCCTTAAAAAAAAAAAAAAAAAAAAAAACTCAAGCAAAATTAGTTTGAATCCATGTTATTTTGGAAAGGGCATGCCATGTGACAGATTTTTGAGAGGCTGTAGAAAAAAGTAATAGCCCCATCCCCACTCCCAGCTAGGGGTGATGGCATTGCCACTTGGGAAACATTGGCACCTGATTAATCACCCGCCCCTTGTGTGTCCTAGAGCCGTGGAGCCCTGGGGCCCATGCTGGGGAGGCGGCAGGTCTCACCTTTCATTTATGCTTTCTGCTCGGAGAGTATAGACGCGGTCAATGTGGGAGATGTGGAAGATGGGCTCGTCTCCAGAAGGGTCGGTGGGTAATTTTACTAGAACCTCATTTAGGAAAATAGGCTGGAAAGTAACACACAGGCATTACAAAGCGAGGCTGGGGGTCTGTGTGCTCCGGTAAACCGTGAGTGTGTGAGCACACTTATGCCAATGTGTTCTAGTAAACGAGACTGCAAGTCAGCGCGTGTGTGCACACTCGTGCGTGTGTTTCAGTAACCTAGACTGAGCATGTGTGTGTGTTTCTGGGTGTGTTCCAGTAAACCAGACTAAGGGCGTGTGTGTTTTCCAGTAAAGAATCCCAGAATAATAATTTTGGGTTAGCATCAACTTTTACATATTACAAATTATAAATATGATAAATATGGGTTCCCCCGCCCACGATTTTGCGGGTATGTTTTAAGTCTTTCAGAATAAGATCTGGCTGGTGTCGCTTTTCCTGGTGTATTCTAAACAGCAGTTTTCATCCACTTTACATCAAGCAATTCCCTCCAAAGATTTTCACATGAAGTTTCTAGTAACTATATAACTACATAGCTCTTTTTTTTCCCATAATAAAGCTAACTGCTGCCTCAGAGAAAATTCTTCTGTAAAAACACCCCCATGCAGACAAATTTAGAAAAACAACGTCCCGTGACACAAAGACACACAAACACAGCCATGCACGTATGAGCAGACCATATAAACAGCTGAGGGAAATTCTCCACGTATCAACTGTTTAGAGAGACTTTGCTAGAAAGGAGGGGGCTCGGATGTTTCAAGCTACCTGGAGAAGTCTGGCAGGGGACTTAGGACTGTTTGGAGGCGACGGTGGGCCCTGGGTGCTGTTTTGCACCTCTTCTCCCGAGCTTTTTCACACCTGCCTCATCTGTACCCTAGACTTCGCTCCTACAGGCTAAAGCATGCCTCTGTCACATCCCAGGGGACCACAGCAGCCATTTGGCAGCCAATATGTTCCACCGATAGCACTGAGTGTCACTGACACTGCGGCGGGATATGGATCGTCCTCCACTCCGGACACCCTAAATCGCATTTCAACTCCTGGCCTTCTCCTGCATGCCACAGCCCCTGACCCTGCTAAAACTCTACCTCCTTTTTGGAAACTTCTTCCTCCCCAAACACGTCAACCCTGATAATGCAAAATCTAGAATCCAACTTACTGTTTTATACATTTTATACTGCAGGTTTGATTTGGGGCTGAAGACTTTGTCGGTGCCAGAAGACCCCAAAGGCTTCGTGATCTGAGTCAGCAGGAGGAAGTCGTTGAAAAGGAAGCCATACAGCTCCTTGTTGCTCTTGGCCTTGTAGAGCTTCCCACTGTGCAGAAATTTGCGCGGCCCCAAGCAATTGGTCACTGAATTGAACACAAGTTGCTGAGAAAGGAAAACAAAACCCAAAGTGTAGCATTTTTGTTTCTCCGCATCTGAAAGCATGGGCTCCATCAGAATCAGAGGCCAGGCCCCAGCAGACTCGGATCTCAGGCAAAAGTCAAGGATAGCTTTGAAGACTTTGGAGCCAAGAGATCAAAGTCAGACAAAGGCACAGTTCAGGGGATTCCAAGTATCAAGAAGAGTCTCAATGGTAATTTCTAAGGCTTTTCCTCTAGGAGCATGCCAGTGTCTTATGGTGCAACTGGTGTGTTTTTTCTTTTCTTTTTTTTTTTTTTTTTTGAGACAGGGTCTCACTATGTTGCCCAGGCTGGAGTGCAGTGGTGTGATCATAGTTCAGGTAGCCTTGACCTCCCAGGTTCAAGCAATTCTCCCATCTCAGCCCCCCAACACATGTGAAAAAAACTTTTGTAGAGATGGGGTCTCCCTACTTTGCCCAGGCTGGTCTTGAACTTCTGACTTCAAGCGATCGTTCCACCTCAAGCTCCCAAAATACTGGGATTACAGGTGTGAGCCACTGGGCTTGGCCATTTCTCTTTTTTATTTACTGGGGAAATGGGGCAGCAGAAAGAAAAGTGCCCACCTGGCTCCCACCTTGGGGACTCCCTGCTCTATGCAGGGTCTGTGCATGAAACAGCTCCAGGGAGAAAACCCCACACAGATTCAGACAGTCCTTTGAGCTTCTGGAAAGCAGCAGCCCCCGTCTCTCTCCAATTCCATGGACAAATGCTGCCTTCCAAGGCACAACTGCAGTCCGGGCCCCTGGCATGTGTGTGACTGCACAAATCAGTGGTGTTAATTTTTTTTTTTTTTTTTTTTTTGAGACAGAGTCTCACTCTGTCGCCCAGGCTGGAGTGCAGTGGCACAATCTCTGCTCACTGCAAGCTCCGCCTCCCGGGTTGACGCCATTCTCCTGCCTCAGCCTCCCGGGTAGCTGGGACTACAGGTGCTCGCGACCACGCCCGGCTAATTTTTTGTATTTTTAGTAGAGACGGGGTTTCACCATGTTAGCCAGGATGGTCTCAATCTCCTGACCTCGTGATCCACCTGCCTTGGCCTCCCAAAGTGCTGGGATTACCGGCGTGAGCCACCATACCCAGCTGTAAATCAGTGGTGTTGAGCGACCCTCCAGTGCCAAACAGAACAGACACTGTACTGCGCACATGAAACCTCACCCGACTCACCCGCTCAGCAAACAGGAAGGGAACAGCTCCCTCCCTCCACTGACCCTTAGAGACACGGTGGGCGCTGAAACGCGGCTCTAACACCTCTCGGGGGTCCATCACCTCCACTAGGTTCTGAAGGGGCAGAGGGCACTGAGGTGGAGATGATCCCACAGAGGCCCCCTTTTTGACAGCAAGGGGAGAGGCCAAGGATAGCAAGGCCATGGCTGCGCGCCAGGAGTAAGATGACCCAGTCCGAGGCCAGCCCCTCACGCTCCCCATCTGCCCACACAATTGGCCTGGGGGGCGCTCCGGAGCTCTGTCCTGAGCTACGAGCCCTATGGACCCCTCTCTGAAGAGAGTATTTGTGAAGGAGTGATAGGTTCGTAACATGTGTCCCCCAAAAGAAGCTGATGGCCACCTGTCCATCTCCAATACAGGAGAAACAGTGGCACTTCTGTGAGTGGAGAGCTAAAGGCAGCTGGAAAGGGGCCACTGCACTCTGCTGTCAGCCACGAGGAGGAAAGATGACCTCTGACCTCCTGTGGAGGGTCTGAGAGCCCAAGAAAGACCGAAGGTGGTGCCACAACAGGAACCTTCAAAGAACATTCTTCACCTCTGCACTCCAGGCAGGAGCCTGGAGACCAACCAGCCCTTCCTGCTTGCCAAGACAGGGTTCAAGCCACGTGGGCGCAAATAATCCAGAGAAGGCAAGTGTCATTGGATCCAATGACATAAAGGTGCTCTCGTTCATTCATACTCAAAGCCTCTAATTGGCCAAGATAACACTGAATATGCATGAACTGGGAACAGTATTTAAACTTCTCTATCTTCAGACAGGAATGCCAAAAACAGCATCTGTTTGAAACTTAATCACTGGTGTGTGTCCAGACCTGGGCCACGCATGGTCCACACCGTGATCCTAGGTCAGGAGACAGAAGTCAACACATCCCCTTCCCATCACCATGAACATCATCAAGACAACAACGACGCTGTGCATGATAGCCAGGAAGACTGACCAAGAAGGACAGCCATCTGATGGCAAAGGGGGGATGTAAGCTGAAAAAATCAAAGCACAAGAACTAGGCTGGATGCAGTGGATCACACCTGTAATCCCAACACTTTGGGAGGCCGAGGTGGGCAGATCACCTGAGTTCAGGAGTTGGAGACCAGCCTGGCCAACATGGCGAAACCCCGTCTCTACTAAAAATACAAAAATTAGCTGGGTGTGGTTCTGGGCCCCTATAGTTCCAGCTACTCGGGAAGCTGAGGCAGGAGAATCTCTTGAACCCATGAGGTGGAGGTTGCAGTGAGCCGAGATCGCACCTCTGCACTCCAGCTTGGGTAAGAGAGTGAGACTCTGTCTCAAAAAAAAAGAAGGATGACAACTGATTTTACTTTAACATCTTCAGATCCCGGCCTCACTGTGTCCCTCTGATGGCAGCTGTCAGAGTCGGGGAAGGGCCCTTTCTAAAGTGCACATGACTGTGTGTCGGCATTTCTGCGTGGCAGTGCAGGGGCTGCTTGAGTCCCTTGTCTTCAGGATCAAGTTAATGTTCCTTTGCATTATACACAGGCCTTCCTCGGCTGGGCCTCAGCCTGCCCTGCAGCCCTGTGGCCCATCATTCCTCTGCAATCCTCACCAATGCCCTGCTCAGAATCTCAGAATGGTCCTCCACTCCTAATGCCCTGCCTCAATCTTTCTTTTTTTTCTGAGACAGGGTCTTGCTCTGTTGCCCACGTTGGAGTATAGTGGTGCGATCATGGCTCACTGCAGCCTCAAACTCCTGGGCTCAAGCGATCCTCCTGCCTCAGCCTCCCAAGTAGCTGAGACTACAGGTGCATGCCACCACACCTGGTTAGTTTTCTAAACATTTTTTGTAGAGACAGGGTCTCACTATGTTGCCCAGGCTGGTCTTGAACTTCTGGCCTCAAGGGATCCTCCTGCCTTGGCCTCTCAAAGTGCTGGGATTACAGGCCTGAGACACGGTGCTTGGCCTGCCTCCAATGCTTCATCCTGCAACACGCAGTCAAGCATCACCTCCAGGGCCCGAGAGTCCCCCGTACAACTGTCCCTTGCTCCTGTCACATGTCGCCACAGCACTTGGCACCTAGCTCTGCCTCCTTACCCCTCACATCTTGTTGTAAATGTTGGTTTAACCCCCAGCTTCCTCCTGGACCATAAGCTCCTCGAGAGTGGGAGTCACATCTTATTTGTTTTTATGTCCCAGGGTTTAGTACTGAGCCGTGGCACATGGGTGGTTACTCACTAAGTGCTTATTGAATGAATGATGATGAGCGAATAAATGAGCCACCCACTGACAGCAGAGCAACACAAAATCCCAAAATGGGAGCCCACAGCTGTCCTCTCGGCTTCCACGGGGCTGCTTCCACACCTTTGCTCATCCCACACCAACACTGAAGGTGGACAGGAGATGGGGCCGTGGAGGAACCAGTCATGGTGACTCCCTCAGGTGGTGATGGCCTTTGCAGCTTATGAGAGGGAAGAAACCACAGGAGGAGTGGATGAGGGAGACACATTCTCGCTGGTCATTTTGGGAAACCCTAGTGAATGGTGTATGTGTGTGCATACATGCATGTATGTATGTGTGTACAGGCACAAGCACATGTGTATACAGAAACAGAGAGAAAAAATGGGCAAAAAGAATGAATGAGACCAAAGGAAAGGTTAAGTGAAAAGAAGAAAATTAGAAACCAAATGAGAGGCTTCTGGCCAGGCGTGGTGGCTCACACCTGTAATCCCAGCACTTTGGGAGGTTAAGGCGGGCAGATCGCTTGAGCTCAGGAGTTTGAGACCAGCCTGGGCAACATGGTGAGTCCTTGTCTCTACAAAAAAAATAGAATCATTAGCTGGGCATGGTGGCCAATGCCTGTAGTCCCAGCTACTTGGAAAGCTGAGATGGGAGAATCACTCGAGGAGGTTGAGGCTGCAGTGAGCTGAGTTTGTGCCACTGCACTCCAGCCTGGGCAACAGAGTGAGACCCTGACTAAAACAAACACACACACACACACACACACACACACACACACACACAAAGAGAGAGAGAAAGAGAAAGAGAGACAGAGAGAGACTTCTGTTGCTGGAAGTAGAGTGGACTAGATACTCAGAATGACTCACCCAACAAAAACTTTAAAAAAACAGAAAAATGCAAAAATCCACTTTTTAACTCCAAGAAAACTGGCACACACACACACACACACACACACACACACACACAAAATAGAAACAAAGTAAGAAATTTGCAGAGGCTGAAAACAGAATGAAAATAGGAACCTTGGAAGATCACCGAAAGCCAGTGCCACTATAGCTTTGAGGGTCTCTCTTGAATCTGCTGACGCTGACCTTGCATTTTACTCACTACATAGGGTGCAGAAACAGGTGCATCCAGAGCCAACGTGAGGGGTCTACTAGGAGATCTTCACAAAAAGATGAACCCAGAGGAGGAGTGACAGGTAAACTCAAGCTCAGAGGGGATGAGCAATAAAACATTTCTGTTTTTGACCTTGGTGTAGTGAAGGAAAACGTGCCCTGAGAATGTGTGCTTTATCAGGTAGCTCTCACGCAAGTTTACAACCACGATTCACACAAGGGCTGTGATGCCCAAACCCCTCTAAACATAGTTTTGGATAATCACAATAACAGTCCTTCCAGAAGGAATACAACTTCAGACAATAAAGATGCCTGCAGGTGGGCCAGGTGCGGTAATCACGCCTGTAATCCCAGCACTTTGGGAGGCTGAGGCAGGTGGATCTTCTGAGGCCAGGAGTTCGAGACCAGACTGGTCAACATGGTGAAACCCTGTCTCTCCTAAAAATATAAAAATTAGCCAGGCATGGTGGTGCGCACCTGTAATCCCAGCTACTTTTGAGGCTGAGGCAGGAGAACTGCTTGAACCTGGGAGGCAGAGGTTGCGGGGAGCCGAGATCACACCACTGCACTCCACCCTGGGTGACAGAGCGAGACTCCATTTCAAAAAAAAAAAAGGTGCCCACAGGTAAAGTTCTAAGGAACATTTAGTTCACAGTCAAAAATCGTAATACAAGAAACAAGGTAGTAAGTTTAGCAAGAGCTGGCAGAAACAACAGACAAAACAATAACACCCATAACTTCAGGTTATGGGTTCTATATCTATATCTATATCTACATCTATATCTATATCTGTTTGTTGTTTTGAGACACATTCTGCTCTGTTGCCCAGGCTGGAGTATAGTAGCGTGATCATAGCTCACCTTACCCTTGAACTCCTGGGCTCAAGCAATCCTCCCACCTCAAGTGTGAACCACTGCACCCAGCTAATTTACTTTTTATTTTTTTGTATAGACAGGGTCTCACTCTGTTTCCAGGCTGATCTTGAACACAAACTAGCCTCCTGCCTCCACTTCCCAAAGCACTGGGATTACAGGCGTGAGTCACGGCACCTGGCCAGGAATATCTATGTTTAAAATGTGTTAAGAAATAAATAAGAAGGATTAACATTTGAGCAAAAAACAAGATACAAGAAAGAAACCAGCATAGCTGGGCATGGTGGCATGCACCTGTGGTCCCAGCTACTTGGGATGCTGAAGTGGGAAGATCACTTGAGCTCAGGTGGTCCAGGCTGCATTGAACTGGGATTGTGCCACTGCATTCCAGCAGCCTGGGTGACAGAGCAAGATCCTGTTGAAAGAAAGAAAAGAAAAAAGAAGAGAAGAGAAGGAGAAAGGAAGGAAGGAAAGAAGGAAGGAAGGAAGGAAGGAGAAAGAAAGAGAGAGAGAAGGAAAGAAAGAGAGAAAAAGAAGAGAGGAAGGAAGGAGAAGAAAGAGAGAGAGAAGGAAAGAAAGAGAAAAAGAAGAGAGGAAGGAAGGAGAAAGAGAGAAGGAAGGAAGGAAAGAAAGAAAGAGGGAGAGAGAGAAAGAAAGAAAGAAAGAAAGAAAGAAAGAAAGAAAGAAAGAAAGAAAGAAGGAAAGAAAGAAAGAGGAAAGAAAAAGGGAGAAAGAGAAAGAAAGAAATCAGCAGACAGGAGAAAATAAATAGAACTTCTGGCAATGGGAAATGATATAATTTAAATTAGAAACTCAGTGGATGGCCAGGCGCGGTGGCTCATGCCTGTAATCCCAGCACTTTGGGAGGCCGAGGTGGGCAGATCACCTGAGGCCAGGAGTTCAAGACCAGCCTGGCCAACACGGGAAACCCCATCTCTACTAAAAATACAAAAATTAGCCGGGTGTAGTGGCGTGTGCCTGTAGTCCCAGCTATTCAGGAGGCTGAGGCAGGAGAATCACTGGAACCGGGGAGGCGGAGGTTGCAGTGAGCTGAGATGGTGCCACTGCACTCCAACCTGGGCAACAGAGTGAGACTCTATCTCAAATAAATAAATAAATACTCAGTGGGTGGATGAAACAGCAGATGAGAAGCAGCTGGATGGAAATGAGGATGCTATCGGCTGGGGAGGAGAATGGTTCATGCTTTTCTTTGTCCTCCTCCAGGCTGGCAGGCGAGGCTCTGCCGGGGGAGACCAGGGCCCAGCCCCAAGGTTGGCTACCTCAGACAGGCCTTCACACTGCACGTGGGCCTGGATCCACTCCAGCCGGTCAGAGTTCTCCTTCTCCCGCACCCCTTCGTTCACCTGGGAACAGAGCTCTTCCGCCTTCTCCAGGGCGTGCTTCAAGTGGCTGTGGTCCGGGTGGTTTTCAGGGGTGTTTTCCAGGATCTACACAGGAGAATAAAAACAACCACCTCCTTTTAGGCAATGTGGGCGGGCCTGTGATCCAGGGTCCTGCAGGACCAGGCCCAGCGGGGCAGGGCACCATCCTTTCATGGACGGCGCCCACTTGAGCAATCGCAGCTCTGAGCACCCACATGGCAATCACGTAGCAGATGACGGCCACTCCTTGATGGCTCCAGTGGGTGGCATTGCGGGAAGCAGTGAATGGTCCCATCCTTGAGGTCTCAGTCCAGCCCCACACCCTGAATGTCCAGGGCAAGCTATGTGATCTGTCCGGCAAAATGTTAACATCGCAGGGTGGACCCCAAGCCACACATGCAGACTCACAGGATCACAGTGTGTACATATAACCATGGGGCCCTTAGAGTTTCTCTTTGAAAATATTTACCCTTGGCCGGGCACAGTGGCTCACGCCTGTAATCCCAGCACTTCGGGAGGCCAAGGTGGGCAGATCACAAGGTCAAGAGATCGAGACCATCCTGGCCAACATGGTGAAACCCCATCTCTATTAAAAATACAAAAATTAGCTGGGCGTGGTGGCGCATGCCTGTCGTCCCAGCTACTCGGGGGGCTGAGGCAGAAGAATCGCTTGAACCCAGGAGGCAGAGGTTGTAGTGAGCCAAGATTGCGCCACTGCACTCCAGCCCAGCAACGGAGAGAGGCTCCGTCTCAAAAAAAAAAAAAGAAAGAAAAAGAAAATATTCACCCTGTTTCACAGAGGAATAAACTAGTCCCTGAGACCAGGAGCAGAGCCCAGGCATCCCAGGCCCAGTTCCGTGCTATTTTCCCACCTGTTCACTCACTTGGGGAACATACAATGCAATTCTGGCATTTGATGTGCAGTGTTCCATCAACCCACTGATGAGGGTCTAAGAGCCAACAGGTGCCCTTGGAGGGCAGGGCAGGGACAGCGCAGTCTATGCTTAGCATGCAGCCTGGGGCATAAGAGGAGCGGTGGCTGCAGCAAGGGTGGCTCCTTCCTGGGTCCACGCGCCTCTGGAACCACATGCAGACGGGTGCATCAGAGCAAGTGTGCGCTTTTCTAAGCAGACCATTTGGGGTGGTGGCTAAGAATGCCAGCTCCGGAGCTGGACCTCCTGAATTTAAATCCCTGCCCCACCACAGACCACCCATGATTTGGGTTGGTTATATAAATGTTCTTTTTTTTTTTTTTTTTTTTTTGAGACGGAGTTTTGCTCTTGTTGCCCAGGCTGGAATGCAGTGGCGCTATCTCGGCTCACTGCAACCTCTGCCTCCCGGGTTTCAAGCAATTCTTCTGCCTCAGCCTCCCGAGTAGCTGGGACTACAGCCACCACGCCTGGCTAATTTTTGTATTTTTAGTAGAGATGGGGGTTTCACCATGCTGGCCAGGCTGGTCTTGAACTCCTGACCTCAGATGTTCTGCCTGCCTCGGCCTCCCAAAGTGCTGGGATTACAGGCGCGAGCCACCGCACCCAGCCATAAATGTTCTTTTTGTCTCGTTCTGTCACCCAGGCTGGAGAACAGTGGCACGATCTCATCTCACTGCAACCTCTGCCTCCCAGGTTGAAGCAATCCTCCTGCCACAGCTTCCTGAGTAGCTGGGACAACAGGTGTGCGCCACCATGCCCAGCTAATTTTTGTATTTTTAGTGGAGACGGGGGTCTCGCCATGTTGGCCAGACTGATCTCAAACTCCTGGCCTCAAGTGATCTGCCTGCCTCAGCCTCCCAAAGTGCGGGGATTACAGGCGTGAGCCACCACGCCTGGCCCACATAAATGTTCTGAGTCTCAGGTTCCTCGCATGAGAAATGGAGAGGTTAATAGCCTCCTTTATATGGTGTGTGGAGAACTAAATGAGACACGTGGACCTCTTGGCAAAGCACCTGGCCCTTAGAAAGTGCTCAATAAGCAACAGTGATTACCATCAGATCCTCAAAGGACTTCCAGGCCCCTAAAAACAATTATCACCCTGTGCTGGAGAATGAAGAAAGACCCTAAGCCACCTTTGAAGTGTACCAGGAGAATGCCGAGGGCATATTTGCCCAGGCCTTGTCCACATACAAACAATGTAAATGGCCCTGACTCTGAATATCTTATCCCAAAGGCATACCGTGGTTTAAAGTCCTAAGTAGATGCTCAAATGGAGAAAAACACACACTGTTTTCTATGTCTTGTGAGTCCACAAATCAATTCCAAGCAACAACCCCAACCTCTGGGCCAATCCTGACTGTACGTTAGAATCCTTTTGGAAAATCTGAGGCCTCATCCATGACTAAATCAAAATCCCTGGAGGGTGAAACTCAGGCTTAGGGGTTTTCTAGAGGTTTCCAGATGTTCTAACATGCAGTCAAATCTGAGAACCACTACTACAGGCTAGGAACCCACCCAGCTGGCTTGAGTAAATTCATTTGTTTTGTTTAGTTTCAAAATTCAAACAGGTTTATCAATTTTTCTAATGACAAAAGTAATATTGTACAATGTACAAAATTTAGAAAATTCAAAAAGTTATAAAGAACCTAAAAATCACTAATAATCTCCCCATTATTTCAAGAATAAAAATTGCTTTGGGAGGCCGAAGCAGGATGATCACTTGAAGTCAGGAGTTTGAGACAAGCCTGGCCAACATGGTCAAACCCCGTCTCCACTAAAAACACAAAAATTAGCCGGGCGTGATTGTACCTGCCTGTGGTTTCAGCTACTCAGAAGGGTGAGGCAGGAGAATCACTTGAACCCAGGAGGCGGACATTGCAGTGAGCTGAGATCGTGCCACTGCACTCCAGACTGGGTGACAGAGCGAGACTCTGTCTCAAAAAAAAGTAAATAAAAATAAAAATAAAAATTGGATCATACTACCATTTTACAAAAACTACCATTTTATACTGTACTATTTCATACATTGCTTTATAGTACAATGTTCCATGTCCATTTCATACATATTATCATTTTGAGGGTTTTATAATATATCATTATTGGGGTAGACCCCAATATTCATTGAGCACGTTATTGAGCACAATGCGTCTAAATAGTTACCTTCCCATAAAACTTTATGTTGCTTCCAACTTTTCAATATTTCTTAAATTATTTCCTTAGAATAAATTCCTAGAGGTGGAATTGCTGAGCCAAAGAGGAATTATAGTTTGATCTATAATCGCCTTCCAAAAAAGGCTGTATCAATTTAACTTCCACCCAGATCTTTGCCAACACTGGGACCTATAATCTTTTCAATATACGCTCATCTGGCAAGCCAAAATCAAAGTATTTTCTTGTTTTGTTATGTATTTTCTTTTATTACCTGTGAGTGTGAACTTTTTGTACATTTAGCGCATAAGTGTTCTCAATGATAAAACTAACATTTATATACTGCCTAGTATGAGCCACTTTGCATACATTAACTCAGTTAATTCCCACATCACTATGCAGTAGGTACTATCAGTGTCCCTATTTTACAGACAAGAAACTGAGGCCCAACTTGCCCAAGAGCACACAGTGGTTAAGTAGCAAGATTCAAACCCCAGCCAGCCTGGCTCCAGGCTATGTGCTCTTCACTGCTATTCCATACTGCCTACTGCCTCTCAGCAACTTCAAGTTCTATATTCTATCTTTTCTTTTTTTTTTTTTGAGACTGAGTCTCGCTCTGTCGCCAGGCTGGAGTGCAGTGGCGCGATCTCGGCTCACTGCAACTTTCACCTCGTGGGTTTAAGCAATTCTCCTGCCTCAGCCTCCTGAGTAGCTGGGACTACAGGCATGCACCACCATGCCCAGCTAATTTTTGTATTTTTAGTAGAGACGGGCTTCACCATGTTGGCCAGGATGATCTTGATCTCTTGACCTCGGGATCTGCCTGCCTCGGCCTCCCAAAGTGCTGGGATTACAAGTGTGAGCCACCACATCCGGCCTTTTTGTTTTTTGTTTTTTTTTTTGTTTTTTTGAGACAGAGTTTCACTCTGTCACCCAGGCTGGAGTGCAGTGACTCAATCATAGCTCTTTCCCCTCTTCTTGCAAAATGCATCATACCATAGGATTGCTCAGTGAGTTTAGTGTTGCTTTTTCACATAACAGCATTTTCTCAGTGTCTTTCCACACTAATACATGAGTAGAAGTTGCTCTGTATCTTTTTAAATATTTTCATAGTACAGATCTACCATAATTATTTAACCATTCCCATTAATGAACATATACGTTGTTCCCCAGAATAAAATTTGGGTTTTTGTTTTTTGTTTTTTTTTTGAGACAGAGTCCCACTCTGTCACCCAGGCTGGAGTGCTGTGGTGTGATCTTGGCTCACTGCAACCTCTGCCTGCCAGGTTCAAGATATTCTCCTGCCTCAGCCTCTCGAGCAGCTGGGATTACAGATACACATCATGTAGGGAACATGGCTGTGCTGCAACCAGGCAGGCATACGCAGATGTAAACAGCCTGCATGACTCAGGGGGATTAGAGTGCAGGTGCACAATTCTGTGCCATGTCCCATCTACCTGCTGTCTCTCAAGTGTTCTTCCAGCTCCCTGCCCCACGTTCACCCACTCCCCTCAGACCTCAGCTGGGCCTCAAACCTGACACACCATCACTCCCGGCTAATTTTTTCTGTGTTTTTAGTAGAGACAGGGTCTCACCCTGTTGGCCAGGCTAGTCTTGAACTCCTGACCTCAAGTGATCTACCCGTCTTGGTCTTCCAAAGTGCTGGTATTATGGGTGTGAGCCACTATGCCCAGATGAAAGTTTGGGTATTTTTTAGGTTGCTATGATCTAAATCCTTTAAGTTTAGGATTAGCATGTCTTTGAGACCATGCTAAGAATTTCTCCACATCAGTATCATAAAAATATTTAGTATTAGTACTTTAGCAGATTTCATATGTATCTCATAGCTGACCACTGTTTTCAATTCTCTTCTTAGTTCAGCTGGTTTTCAGTTCATTTTTGTGGGTGCTCTGGAAGAAATCAATCGTGTTTCTGCAAATAATGAGTTTTTTTCCCCCTTTTAAATATTTGGGCCATGCAGTCCTTTTCTTGTTTTAGTTTTTCTCCCATTGGCTAGATATAGAACACCTATTTTAAAAGCTTGTTTTCAACTTCAATTTGCAATTAAACATTGGGAGAAAAAAGAGAAGTACTGAGCTAATTAAATAGTAACTGTGGTGTTGGAAGAGAGAAAACAGTAAGTTGAAAACTTACTTCAAAACTAAGTATTTAACTCAGCCAAAGATCCACAGTGTATTTTGTGGAGTTGAGCTGGGGCTGGACTGAGGAGATGGCTTATGTGGGAGGGAGATTTGTCACATGTAAGAAGACTGAGCAAATAAGGAAACACATTGAGGATAATGAGAGCCAGGCTCTTCACAGAGTAGGGAGTTACAAAGGCAGAAGGGGAAAGGCTGGAAAAAATTCTGCAGTATTGGATTAGAATAGGAGGTACTGGTGTGAATTCATGAGTTCTAATATACATGGATAGATGGATCTAGAAATAAATATAAATATATGTGTATATACATTGGCATATGTAAATATGTGTGCATGAAAAGACATTCATATATTTCCCAGCTCTGCCACCGAGAGGAACACAAAACAAAATCACCCCAGTAGCAATGAGCACGCCAGTGCCCACATCTGAGTTTCTAAACACCATTTTCCATTAAAAGGAACCAGATCTAAAACCTCTTTCCAGGAGCTATACTCCCTGTGGTTTTACAAACATAGGCTCAGAGGACATCTAAATCTGTTCACTCATTTTACAGGTGGGGACACTGAAACCCTAATTTTGTTCTTTCTTTTTTCTTTTGGTATCGGCTTTCTCAAAGTGACAGGAGAAGAACAATCATCTAATATCAACACACAGTGTCTGACATGGTTTGGCTGCGCCTCCACCCAAATCTCATCTTGAATTGTAGTTCCCATAATTCCCACATGTTGTGGGAGAGACCAGGTGGAGATAATTGAATCGTTGGGGTGGCTTCCCCCATCCTGTTCTAGTGAGAGTGAGTGAGTTCTCACAATATCTGATGGTTTTGTAAGGGGTTTCCCCCTTCGCTGGGCTCCCATTCTTCTCCTTCTTGCCATTATGTGAAGAAGGATGTGTTTGCTTCCCCTTCCACCATGATTGTAAGTTTCCTGAGTCCTCCCCAGCCATGTGGAACTGAGTCAATTAAACCTCTTTCCTTATTAATTACCCAGTCTTGGGCAGTCCTTTACAACAGTGTGAGAATGGACTAATACAGTGTTTCACAATGGCCTTCTGAAGACAGGTCGTAGCATTACGTTTCTTTCTCTTTTCTGCTAAGAAAATCAAGGCCTAGAGGCACTGGGCCTGTCTTTAAGAAAGAGTCAAGGGAGAAAGGCACAGACCACAGACTGTTTCTGTGATTCCATGTTATTTTCTTCTAGAAAAAAAAAAATTAAAAAAAGAATCAACGACTAAGCTCTCATTTTCTGACTTACAAGGTAGAAGCCACTTGGTCACACATCTGAAGGCTGTGCAGTATTGAGAGGTGACAGCGTGCTGGCAGTCCTCACAGCCCTCGCTCGCTCTCGGTGCCTCCTCTGCCTGGGCTCCCACTTTGGCAGCACTTGAGGAGCCCTTCAGCCCACCACTGCACTCTGGGAGCCCCCTTCTGGGCTGGCCAAGGCCGAAGCCCCCTCCCTCAGCTTGCAGGGAGGTGTGGAGGGAGAGGCGCGAGCAGGAACCGGGGCTGCGTGCGGCGCTTGCGGGCCAGCTGGAGTTCCGGGTGGGCGTGGGCTTGGCGTGCCCCGCACTCGGAGCAGCCGGCCGGCCCTGCTGGCTCCGGGCAATGAGGGACTTAGCACCCGGGCCAGCGGCTGCGGAGGGTGTACTGGGTCCCCCAGCAGTGCCAGCCCACCGGCGCTGCGCTCGATTTCTCAGCGGGCCTTAGCTGCCTTCCCGCGGGGCAGGGCTCGGGACTGCAGCCCGCCATGCCTGAGCCTTCCCCTGCCTCCGTGGGTTCCTGTGCAGCCCGAGCCTCCCCGACGAGCGCCGCCCCCTGCTCCACGGCGCCCAGTCCCATCGACCACCCAAGGCCTGAGGAGTGCGAGTGCATGGCGCGAGACTGGCAGGCAGCTCCAGCTGCAGCCCCGGTGTGGGATCCACTGGGTGAAGCCAGCTAGGCTCCTGAGTCTGGTGGGGACGTGGAGAATCTTTATGTCTAGCTCAGGGATTGTAAAGGCACCAATCAGCCCCCTGTCAAAACAGGCCACTGGGCTCTACCAATCAGCAGGATGTGGGTGGGGCCAGATAAGAGAATAAAAGCAGGCTGCCCGAGCCAGCAGTGGCAACCGGCTCGGTCCCTTTCCACACCGTGGAAGCTTTGTTCTTTCACTCTTTGCAATAAATCTTGCTGCTGCTCACTCTTTGGGTCCACACTGCTTTTATGAGCTGTAACACCGCGAAAGTCTGCAGCTTCACTCCTGAGCTAGCGAGACCACGAGCCCACCGGGAGGAACGAACAACTCCAGACGCGCTGCCTTAAGAGCTGTAACACTCACCGCGAAGGTCTGCAGCTTCACTCTTGAGCCAGCGAGACCACGAACCCACCAGAAGGAAGAAACTCCGAACACATCTGAACATCAGAAGGAACAAACTCCAGACGCGCCACCTTAAGAGCTGTAACACTCACCGCGAGGGTCTGCGGCTTCATTCTTGAAGTCAGTGAGACCAAGAACCCACCAATTCCGGACACAGTATTAGCTCTCTTTTTTTTTTTTTTTTTTAATAGAGATAGGGTCTCATTATGCTGCCCAGGCTGGGCTTGAACTTCTGGGCTCAAGCGATCTGCCCACCTCGGCCTCCCAAAGTGCTGGGATTACAGGCGCGGGCCACCGTGCCCAGCCAGCTCTTTGCGTGATAAACCAGCTTTTCTTTCTGAGTTACCAAGCAGACCTCTGTGACACCTTGTTGTCTCGTGCTTTCTACACAACAGTTACCAGATATGTTCACTGGGAATCTTGTCCATGACCCCAGCCCTCTCCAATGCAGAGAAAGCCGTCCCCTGCTTGAAAAGGCAAGACAGGTACTTACATTTTTAATGATCAGTGGGTATCTTGTTACCCGTTGCATAGGCTTCAGTATAAAACTAGAGAGTGGCATCCCTTTACACCGAGGATCCATTGCCAATCTCTGAAATGAGATGTTTTTAAATGTACTTAAGAAACTTGCAAAATCCAAAGTTAGTGACATCAATACTAATGTCAGTGAGGACTCTCCACCCATTATCTCATTTATCTGGATGACAACTGAGAGACCTGGGGTTGGAAGGGCCTGACTAGTTACCCTGTCCAGGATGACACACTTTCCAGATGGAGAATGGAGACCCACAGATGTGACTCAGCCAGCAGGGTTAAGCCCTGCACTCTGGATTCAGCATACCCTCCATGGCATGCATGGTTCCTTATGCACAGAGATGAGATTCTGGCTTTACACAGAATATTTCGTCTGGATGTCTGCAGAAACTTTATAACATTCCCAGGAACAAGAGTCACAAGACTATACGGTTAGAGGAAAAATTCCCCTTACACCCCAGAACTGCTGGAAGGGCTAAATCTCATTGTCTAGTTTTGAGTGGAGCCTGCACGTGCCTCTGGGAACTCCAGGCAGGGCTGAGAAAGAGGAGCTCAGACAACGGGGGTCAAGACTCCAGTTTCAGGGTCTGGCCACTTAGCTGTCAAAGGCTGTGGTCTGGTTTAATGCCTTAGAAACGGGCAGCTGCATTGACTGGAGCCCTGAGACCTGATAACTGTCTCCAGGGACCGGGACCTGCTCCAGCTGTGGACACCATCATTCCAGGAACACCTCGCAGCTGGCAACGACGTGCCACATTCCCACTGAGAGGAGGTGGGGAGAGGTGAAGAGGAGAGGGGCGGGGAGGGACAATGAGGCCCCTGCTCTGGGCTGGTGTCAGCACTTTCCTGAAGTTCAAGTGCATCCAACAATGAACTCATCTTGCTCGGGCCTAGGAAGAGCCCAGCCCTTGGCTGAAACCCTAGGTGGTCCATGGCGCCCAGCAGCTCAGCATCTGCTCTCTCGTCTCCATCCACCCAAGGCCTCCTTCTTAGCAATCTTTCTCCCCTTGGAATGACCTCAGAGTGCCCCATGCCTTGGCTGGCAAGTCTAGGCTGAGAAACACCATGAGAGGCAGAAACAACAAGCTCACATGAGGCTCTGACCAAGAAGAGGCTGCGCTTGTGCCTCACCACAGTGATTCCACAAGCACCACTCTAGGACAGGTGAGGATGGCCTGTCTCCAAAATGCATGAGATCCAAAGATATGCCTGTTATTATTATTTTGTTGTTTATTCATCAAAAGATACCTGTTTCACAGAAGCTATTTTATTCTCTTCCTCCTTTTTTTCTCCAGGAGATGTGGGGGCTGTTTGAATGGCCCAGCACGGCCAGCAGAGACCCACACTGGCCAAGGCCAAGTCCCAGAGCTGCAGGTCTTCCAGCAGTATCCGCATTACCTCCCCAAACATCCCCTGGTGGACTCCCAACTCTCCAGATCCCTGCTACCTCCAAGGAAGAGGTCCTGGCATCCCACACTGACTCCCACAGGCTGTCTAAGGCGGGAGCACATCAAGCAGAACCAACTGCGAAAGGAATGAAGGGGCCACTGGGAGTCCTGGCCATTCCCTCTGCAAGTGAAGGGCAGAGACCAGCAAAGAACTGAGGATGTGGCGATTAAACACAAGAGGAAATCTAAGACCTGCCTGGGCCTTGCAAATGAAATGAAAGATTTAAACATGCATCCAAATAACACCAATAGCATCTGGAAAACAGATCCCTAAAGACACTTTCAAAGCTTCCAAGCCCAGGGTTCACCCCTCCTCTCCAAGCCCACCCCTTTGGTGACAGCCACACTTGCCAGTGAGTGCCAGTCCCCTAAGGCTTAGCCAAGACCCTAGGCCCTGTTGGCCTCTAGTGGGAACACTCTTGCAGACTTTTGAATTAGCCCCTCACACATCCAGCTGCCCAAAGATCGCCACTCTGGGGCCCAGTCTCTGCACAGCCTGGCTCCTTACTTTGACGAACTCCTTGAAGTCTGGGGCCTCATCCGTCTTCTGCTGGATCAGGGCAGCCCCGTTGAGCTGGCGGCTGCAGAAGCGGATGTAGGGCTGCATGTGCGGCAGCTGTGCGCTCAGGATGTCTCCAATCATCTTCACAGGCATCTTCTCCCCGGACATCTTCTTGCGGACTCTCAGCGCTCTGCACGGAAACACGGGAGGTGAGCCCCCTGCTTTCACGCTATCTGACAGCACCACAGCACACTTAGGTTGCACAGAAACAGAATGTGTGTGAGGGGCACAGCCTTAAGGGCCACTAAAGGATCTATTTGGGAGACAAGGAATGGAGAAAGAAATGAGTCTAGGGCTACAGAGAGGTAGCACCAGAGCATTTTTCTTTGGCAGAGTGGCTGTTTGTTACAATTTGTTTTTCTTGTGCAGAAATATGGAGTTTTTTTCTTGAACAACTCAAATGGGTCCCCTGTGTCGATGCCTCACTACACAGATTATCGGTGGTGAAAGCCCCAGGTTGATGTGGCCTGAGCACTGATCCTATTTCCAGGAGACACTTCTGCCCAAGGGAAGTTGCTATTGCCAGAGGATGGGGAAGGATGATTTTTGGCTAAAAAGAACATAATTAAGATGGCAAAACAAATGCCTTGGCAAAATAATCCCATGAGATTCAGCAAAAGCCAGGTATAAATGACTGTTTGAAGTATCTCTGTGATTCGCTGCTTCATTGCTAGAGCTGAGTTAACTAAATTAAGAGGAGTTCGGAAAAGAGGTCTATTACTATGATAATGGGCCAATGAACCCAAAAAATGTATATCCTGGAATTCAGGAGAGGTGTTGATGGGACTGGGAAGTGTGTGTTCTGGGGTCTGCCTGCAGTGTGAGTGCTCAGAGCTATGGTAACTAGGACTGTGCTTCCCCTCTCCCAACTTCAACATGTGAACCCTTAACACCAGCATCTGGAAGAAGGGCATGGCACTGAGCTTATACACGGTAAGGACAGCAAGGTACTACATGGCAGGACCACAACATGAAGCCATGGGTGTGTTCAGCTATCCTAGTTAGTGATCATGGGTGGATGGATGGGTAGATGGAACAAAATGGTATAACCTATGACTTTAACACAAGGCTGGGAGGATGTCCCTATTGAATGCCTTTGGCTGCTTTCATGGTCATGTTGGAGAAGCCTTTGAGGTACGGGGCGGGCTATTGAATTCCAAGGAAGCTCTGCAATATTTATATTAGGCTTTAAAAACTTCAGATCACTTTCTTTTCTTTCTCCCACATTTTTGGCTAAAATAAAGTCCCTTGGACCGGGCAAGCCAAGGAGAAAAACTTAGGGACCATAAATGATGTGGTGTGAGCAGTCAGCGATTCCACCTGAAGTGGATGCCCTCATGGGGAGATCAGCACTGGCTGCCTCTGGGGTGTGGGGAGCAGTGGCAGCTTGGTGTCCTCAGGATGGCCCAAAGGCCACTGCCCCATTGAGGGGTTGGTGTGAAATACCACAACGAGCAAAAATGTGCTCAAGGGTGATGACACCAATAATTTGGGGGGATGAGAGCCCTGGATAGCCACGTTATAAACTTGCAATGAATGGAAACAGGAAGAAATTCCATCATTCCATCATTTTCCTATGAGGAGTAGTTTTTTTAACAAGTGAATAAAAAGTACTTTCACCCTTTCCTTCTCCTATTTTGTTTTGTTTTGTTTGAGACAGAGTCTCACTCTGTAGCCCAGGCTGGAGTGCAGTGGTGCAATCCCAGCTCTACAACCTCCACCTCAGTCTCCCGAGTGGCTGGGACTACAGGCACCCGCCACCATGCCCAGCTAATTTTTATTTTTTTAGTAGAGATGGGGTTTCGCCATGTTGGCCAGGCTGGTCTCGAACTGCTGACCTCAAGTGATCCACCCACCTTGGCCTCCCAAAGTGCTGGGATTATAGGCATGAGCCACCGTGCCCGGCCCCGGCCGCTGGCCTGTTTTTTATTAAAGGATGAAGGAGACAAGAAGAAAAGAAAAGAAGAAAGAGCATCTGCAGACAGTGATTGTCTTGAGGAATTAGTTCCTGGGTTCTGCAGACCCACACTTGTAGAACAGAGTTACCCAACCAGCAGACAGGCCTAAAATTAAAGCCTGATTTACTATGGACTAGGCACCTATTAGATTCAGTCATGGGTCTTCGTCCAGGATGGTCTACTGTATAGGCAAAGACTTATGAAGACCGCAAGGTGTTACCAGGCCCAGGGATCATGTGACTCGGCTGCTGCAGCCACAGCCCTAAGAGTACTCTGCTTGCGGTGAGCTGATCGGCAGTCTCCTAGAAAGGTTTACAGATGAGAGGACTTGAACTGCAAAAGGCAATTAACTGGCTAACAAATGTTTCAAAGAGCGCTCAATGATTGCTGAACACATGAGTGTCTGTAACCCTCTGAAGTCTGCAGACCAAGTGGACAGTCATGGAACTAGCATTTATTAATGCTTCCTATGTGTCAAACAGAGTTTTACATATATTATTATCCCCATTTCCTATTGGGGAAACTCAGGCATGCAGAAATTCAGTGACTTGACCCAAGTCTCAGAGCTAATAGGTGACAGAGGTAACCCTGGAACCCAGGTCTGACTCCAGAGCCCATGGTTGGGACCACAGCCTCAGAGGCCCCAACCCACCTCCCGCCACGACTGCCTCCAAGCTGCTCTGGGCACCTGCCCATCTTCCCAGACGCGGCTGCCCTGCTCCCGCCATCTCGCCCTCAAGCCTTTCCCTGCTGGTCCCAGCCTCAGCCTCTGCACTTCCCGCCCTGCTGGACTTCCCACCATCTGCTCCATGCCCTCTCTCCTTCCCTCTTCTCCTTCTCCCAACCCCACATCCTTTTCTTCTTCTTTCTCACCATCTGTCATTACCCCAAACTGATTTTTATTTTTTATTTTTCCTTCATTTTCTGCTTAAACAAGATAAAATGGAATCCATTCTTCTTAAGTTAAAAAGAAGATGAGTCAGATATTTAAGAAAAACACTGTTTTGGGACAAGCTCTTATTTTTTTTTTCTTTTCTTTTTCCATCGAGGGGACAGGAAAGCCTCTTGATAAAAAACAGTTCCCCAAACCTGGGTTGGTCACCCCACCTCACTTCTGCTTCCCTTCTGCTATCATTTTTTTTTTTTTTTTTTTTTTTTGTGACACAGTCTCACTCTGTTGCCCAGGCTGAAGTGCAGTGGCACGATCTTGGTTTACTGCAGCCTCTGCCCCCACCGGGTTCAAGCAATTCTTCTGCCTCAGACTCCTGAGTAGTTTGTATTACAGGCATGCGCCACCACGCACAGCTCTTTTTTTTTTTTTTTTTTTTTTTAGTAGAGATGACGTTTCTTTTTTATTTATTTATTTATTTATTTTTTGAGACGGAGTCTCACTCTGTCGCCCAGGCTGGAGTGCAGTGGTGCGATCTCAGCTCACTGCAAACTCCACCTCCCAGGTTCACACCATTCTCCTGCCTCAGCCTCCCGAGTAGCTGGGACTACAGGCGCCCGCCACCACGCCTGGCTATTTTTTTGTATTTTTAGTAGATGTGGGGTTTCACCGTGTTATCCAGGATGGTCTCAATCTCCTGACCTCATGATCCACCCGCCTCGGCCTCCCAAAGTGCTGGGATAACAGGCATGAGCCACCGCACCCGGCCCTTCTGCCATCATTTCTGACAGCTGTCCTGAGGGTCCTGCTCCAGGCTCTGGATATAAAAAGGTTCTAGACCTGTCTGGCCCTACCTTGTCTATGAAAGGCACATTTCTCAGGTCTCAGCTTCCTCGCAAGAGAGCCAGCCATTTGCTCTAACCCTCAATGAGGCATCATTAGTAGGAAGTCCATGTGTTCCAGTTAGCCCTTTTTATTTTCATGTTATTTATTTATTGTTGACTTGTTTGATAACTGCCCTACCCCCTGCCCCACCCCCCAAATACAAGGACTGTAGGATCAGGAGTAGCAGACATATGGCCGCTCACTGGTGGCACTCCAGGGATTGCTGCCTTAACTTCTTATCCTCAAATGCCTCCCTCTCTCGGCTGCTAGGAGCCCTCGATCTCCCCTCATCACAGTTATTCCTTGGCATGAAGAAATTATGTCTATGCAGCCACCCAAATACAGCACAATGTTTTTTGTCCAGTTTATGATGTGGGTGTTCACTCTACAATTCTTTCAAATTTTCTGTATGTTTGAGATTTTTTCTAGTAAAATGCAGAAAAGAAGAAAAAGAAATCAGGTCCCCAGAAGGCTACGGTTCAACATAAGATTTTATCTGGAGGATGAAGACATGAGCCAGTTAGTCCAAACAAGCTAATCCGGGAATCAGAGGAACGGGGATAGAGAACCTTGGGATGGAGGGAAGCCAGCAGCCCCTGTACACATCAGCCCCCTGATGGACGGCGTGCCCCTGGGACACCTGATTCCCTTGCTCTCAGAATGACCGTGCATGGTAGGCAGGACAAGCACCATGACTGCCACCTTAATGCCCAAAACTAGTTAGAAGGGGCCGGAGCCCAGACAAAAACTTGGGATGTCTGACTTCTGGGCCCATGTTTTTTTCCACGGGGGCAGGACTGGGCGGAGTCTCTATTCCGGGACCTAGGCATCATCCACAGAGCAGCCACCCTACTGTGTGACTTTAGGGAAGTCACTCAGCCTCTCTGAGCTTTGCTGCTTCAGCCGTAACAGGGCTGTCAGTTCCCACCTCCACAACTGTGGAGCAAGTCAGAGCCGACAGGAGGAAGAAGCACGCAGGCCTGGCCCCCCACACAGCTCAAGAAAGAGGCTGCTTCTTCCCAGATGGGGGTTAAAAGACAACAGAGAGGTATGGGGAGCTGAGGCCAGCACCAGTTTCCCTCAGGCCAACCCTGAAGTGGGGGAAGCCCTCTCTAAGGGCTACTTGGGAAGCTCAGAAACATCTCCCGCCTCCCCCAGCCCCCACTGATAGCTGCCCAAGGAAAAAGGTTTTAACTTACAGGTATATTTTCTTTTCTTTTTTTTTTTTTTTTTCTTTTTTTGAGACAGGGTTTCACTCCCGTGGCCCAGGCTGGAGTGCAGTGGTGCGATCTTGGCTTACTACAACCTCTGCCTCCCGGGTTCAAGCGATTCTTCTGCCTCAGCCTCCCTAGTAGCTGGGATTACAGGCACCCACAACCACACCCGGCTACTTTTTGTATTTTTGGTACAGATGGGGTTTCACCATGTTGCCCAGGCTGGTCTCAAACTCCTGACCTCAAGTGATCCACCCACCTTGGCCTCCCAAAGCACTGGGATTACAGGCATGAGCCACTGTGCCCAGCTATCGTCTATGTAGACGAGAACACTGAGGCCCAGGGACCAAAGTGACCTGCCAGAAGACACACAGCCAGAGGCAATAGCGGATGTGAGCCCAAGGGTGTGACACCAGACCTAAGTTCGAAAGGCTTCCACGGCATCGGGTGGCAGGGGGCGCGGGCAACGGAGTCCAGACCTTCTCTAAAAGCCTGCCTGATGTCACCTTGGATCATTCGTCTTCTAGAGCACCAAGCCAGCAGACATTATGTATCTTTCTTCATGTCCACCTCTCCACACCTCCTCTCCATCCCTCCATCCACTCCCAAACACACGCTCAGGAAAGTGGGGACCTGAAATTACCTTATAAGAACAATGCAGAGACCACATTTAGGAAATGGGGACTTCCCAATGACACGGATGAAGATCAGGAATGGACGCAAGGCTCTGGAGCCTGCCCTCCATCCTCGGGCCCAGGAAGTGGGTGGCCCTTCCTCCCAGCAGGGAATATCACGCGCCCTGCAGGCTGTGACTTAATCTGTGTTCTAGCAAGTGATGTTACAATGAGAGCGTGGTGGATACAGATTTTGGTTTTTGACTTTTTTTTTTTTCTAAGAATTGGAAGAGACTTTGTGATGATCGAATCCAACCCTTTCATTTTACAGATGGGGAAACTAAGGCTCAAAAAGGAAAGGCAGTGAGTAAGTCAGAATCCAAACCCAGGTCTCTTGACTCCTGGCCCTGGAGCTGCCTCTGCAAACTAAAGTTGGAAGAAAATACGACCAGCCTAGGGCCAGCTTCCCGGAGTGATCCTGAGGAACTGCTGATGTTAGGCAGTGAACAGTTCCACATTTTTCCATCTGCAGGGCCAAGAATGCCTCAAAAGACCAATAATCCCCCATGGGATCCCGCGTCCGAGGGAAAGCGTAGAGGGGGCAGCCCCACGCCCCAGCATGGAGCCAGCACCATCAGGAGCCAGCGTCGCCCTAGCCCTGGAAATTCACAACCACAGTAATTCACCCAACAGCAGGCTCTGGGGTGCCCAGGAAACCTACTCTTGCAATGAGAGATTCGGAGTGCGTTTCCAGAAAGCACGAAGGCACAAAAGGGTGATGGTGTTTGTGAGTGGCAATGAGAAGAAAAAAAAAAAGCCAGAAAGAAGCACAGGGCAGCATGCAAGAAGGACACACAGACCCACAGAGGTGCGAGTGCATGAGAGCCGAGGAGGCCAAGCCAGGCTGGGGATTAGAGGAGAGGCTTACTTTAGTAGTTTGATATTACACATAATCAGCTCCTTCCAGTTCACAAAAATCATAGCAACCTCTTTTTCTGTCAGCAGCTCAGACTCCATCAGGGGTTTTTGAAAAATCTACAGATGCAGAAAACGAAGCAGTTCAGAAAGCAGTTAGCTTAAAACTCACACACTCACACGCCGATCCGCTGAGAGCAGGGAAAGGGCTCAGGTGTCTGTACCTTGGCTGAGAGGCCCAGAGGTGAACGCCTGCTTTCCTGCAGTTTCTGAAGCAGAGAGCCCCTCCTCTGCCCTGGAAACCGGAGGGGGGTCCCCAGCAGGGCCTGCATTGTTTTACAGGGGAAGGAGGGCAGCTGAAGTCTCCAGGAGACAGGTCTTAACTCCACCAGACAAGCAGGGAGGCCGGTACCAAGTCATGCACGCAGGCTAAGCGGTCTCACCTGCGCACTGGGAGGGGCTGGACCGGTGTGAAAAGCGGGGCTTAAAGGTGCCGGTGGCTGTGGACAGTCCCTTCATCTGCATAGGTAAACCGAGGGCCTTCTGAGAGGAGCAGCCCAGGCGGCAGCTCCTCTAATAAGCCAGTGGCCACCTCGGTGACTGACTCCATCGCTGTGTCCTCAGCCTCCTGGGCTGACCCTGGACAGACCCAGCACTTGCAGGCCCGCTACAAGGGGGTGAGTGCTGCCCTCCTCCTGGGCTCTGGAAAATGAATGAGCCCCTCCAAGCTCTGTGTGGTTGAGCAACTCTCAGTAAATCACAGATCTCAGTGGAACCCCGTGTTCCACTTGCAAGCCCCCGCCTGCAAGGAGGTCATTTTCTCCCACAGGAGGCGCTTCTGAAGGCTCTTTAGGGAAGGGGACAGCCCATCTTCGACATAAACTTGGCTGGGCTGCGGCTGCTCCCTGGGAGTCCTATTCCACAGGAGTCCTTAAGCCGACGTTGAACCCGGCATGTACCAGGGCAACCACATATGGTGGTGCGTTTTGCAGAGTGCAAAAAGGAGCCATATCTAAGGAGTGACACTTGCACCCTGGACATCCTGAACTGCATATTTAATAACAGTCAAACACCTTGAGAAAGGGGCACCTTTTTGAGTTTGCATCAATGCTTCCTAAGTATTAATGGTGGTCCTGCAGCTAACAACCCACCCTGTACTCCTCCAACAGCGGCGAGCCCTGCTGCGTCTTTCCTGGATGTTAAGACTATCAGACAAGATGGTTTCACACCCGTTTGGTGTGGTGGTTGCCAGACTACCACAGCACTCTCCAAACTGCAGGTCCATCTCTGCAAATCCCTGTCTCCCAATATGGCATCTTCCCATGGACGTGGACAAAAGGCCTGCTGAGCAGCAGGAGCGCCGGGCTCCGCATCTCCCCATAGTTCTGGATGAGGTGGCCAGGGCCCTTCTGGGAGGACTGACAAGATGAGGAGGCATCACTCAGGTCAGGGGCTTTTGTGGGGGCCTGGGAGGAAACGTTGCCATTCTCAGTGACAGGTTTGTCTCAGGGTAACATATGGCAGGAATGACTCGAGACAGCAGCCAGATGGCCCCCCATTTCCAGATGCCAACACTGCGGGCCAGGAGGGCGGCGTGGCTGGCTCCATGGCACCTC
Organism: Homo sapiens; assembly: GCF_000001405.40. NCBI lineage: Eukaryota > Metazoa > Chordata > Mammalia > Primates > Hominidae > Homo > Homo sapiens. Next base: position 33,857,189 of record NC_000021.9, on the reverse strand, counting down.
CTGGTTGGTGGCTGAGCTGCAGCTGCTCTGAGTAGAGCGTGGACTCCAGACTCTCAGTTCACATGACTCCATCCATCAACTGCTCAGGGACTCACTTGCCCTTGGCTAAGTGATCTCTGTCCCTCTGTGGGAATGACTCAATGTTGGCCATGGATAAGCAACGAACCGTCTCTGCGGTCGCAATCTCCTATAGCATTTGCCATCCAGATGCTCCTCAAACATCAGAAAGTTTCTTGGGCTCAGAATCAGGACATAGACCTCCTTGACGGAACCCTCCCCTCTCCCTCCGTCATCGCCCCCTGCCGTGCCCCCTGCCCCACCAGCTCCCTTACCTCTGTGACCAGCTGCAGGTCATTCACATAGTTCTCCTCGGTGACAATGAGCTCGTGGATGTATCCTTGTCGCTTTCTTTCAGTTGGGGTCAACATATCCAAGAGATGTAAGTCTGAACACCCTGGAAAACACAACCATTTGGGAGAACTTAGCACAGTCTGGGGAAGCCCACACAACTTCACACGGAAGATCCTCGTGGCTGCTGGGTCCTGAGGGCTTGCTCCAGTCCAGTGGGGTCATGGGCTGAAATGTGTCCTCCCCAGTAATATGTGGAAGCCCTACCCCCTGGTACCTGTGAACGTTACCTTATTTGGAAATAGTCTTTTCATATATAATCAAATTAAGATAAAGTCATACTCAGGGTTGGGTCCTGACCCTATATGATCAGTGTCCTTATGAGAAGAAGACAGAGACAGACAGGCAGAACCTGGAGTGATGTGTTTCCAAACCAAGACACACCCCGAGCCCTCAGAGTGAGGCTGGCACCTGCCAGCATCTTCCATTTTAGACTTCCGGCCTCCAGGAATGTATGGCAATAAATTCTTATTGTTTTAAGTCCCCCCGTTTGTGGTCGTTTGTTAGGGCACCCTAGAAACTGATACAGGCGGCACACTCCTGCTTCATCAGAAACACGAAAATAATGTGAAAACAAAACACTCAATGACGATTGGCCAAAACTCTGGAGGGCTCACACCATGTCAGGTGGTGAACTGCATTTAATGCTCAAGTATTATACTAGAATTATCCCCATTTCACAGACGAGGACACCGAGGTTTACACAGGTTGACTGGCCCCAGGTCTCTCAGCTTGGAAGTGGTGAAGGCAAGAGCCAAACCCTGAGACTTGGGCTGCAGAGGCTGTGCTCTATCCCCGAGCTCCAGGAGGCCATGGGTTATCCATGTCGAGGTTGGTTTGTGGAGGATGAGGTGGCTGTGCTGAGGCTCTGATGGTCCTGGGGACCAGGCAGATGCAGGGTGCCTCCAGACAGCACTGGGCACACTCTCCTGGACAAAGCTGCTGCCTGGCCCCTGGGGCAGCTGAGCAGCATGCTTGCCACAGAGAGGGTAGTCCTTCCCACTGCAGAGAGCCTGGCACAAGACCATCATGGAGGCCAAGGCTGCCCGACGGGAAGGGCCACTCCACTGCCCTGAGATGGTGCCTGCACTGGAAGTGGGGCTCACTCATGACTCTGCCCACTTAGCTTGTTATTTGGGGTTTTGTTTGAACATTTGAGCCTCCTGCCCCAGACACACTGGAATGAGCAGGAGGGAGGCTTGGTTCTTGGGAGCATCCCATGTGCAGGCCTGGACCCACCTCTCTTTTTTATCAGAGGTTCTTTATTTAATCACAGAAGCCAGACTTGGAAGACAGACCCAGAGGTGTCCCGAATGTAGGTGGGAGAGTCCGGGCTGAATCCCCTTTACTTGTTCTTCCCATCCCTTCTGTTCCCCTCAAGGGGGCACAATGGAGCACAGTGCAAAACCCCCTGCTGGGGACCAGTGGTTGTCAAAGCGTGGTCCCCAGGCTGGCAGCATCAGCGTCACCTAGGAGCTTGCTAGAGATGCCCCGGCTGAAGTGACTCTGGAGTTGGGGGCTGGGTATCTGTGATGTAACAAGCTCTCCAGAGGATTGTTTTTTGGCGCACTAATGTTCAAGAAGCCTGCTCTGGCCTAGCAGGGGTTCCTCGAGTTTCCATCTTCTCTCAAGGGAGTTATCTGGGGTCATGACTGATCTAGCCTATATGCTGAAAGCTTCTGCAAATTGTATGATCCCTCTGGGCCAAATGATATCAGAGATTTCTTGGCAAATGCTTTGCTGCTTTAGAGGTTAACTCTCGGGTTGTGGTGCTTCCAGCCCTTGGTTTTGTCCGTTCTCTGGGCCAATTGTCCTTTCTGGATGCTGTAGCTTCTCTTGCTGGGACAGGAACAACCCAAGACCAGCAGGAGAATGCTGGGAAAGCAGCAGAAATGAGTCATCATTATATCAACACCCTCGACCTCACTCAGAGTCCCCTGCCCTGAGGTCAAGCAGAATTCTCCAGGGCTGCAAGGTGAGCTCGCACTTTTGCACAGGTCTGCAGATGTGTCTGAGCTTGAGCCCTCTGCTCAGCCACGGGTTTGGCCCAACTGTTCTTCCTGCCTCAGGGCATAGATTGTCTTTTATTAAAACAGCTGCACCAACAATGAACTCTCAGGAAGGAGGCAGGCCACGGGGCTCACTCATTCAGTTCAGCCAAGCTGCTGTGTGAGCTTGGGTTTGTGGCAAGCTGAGTGATGTCTCCGAGTTCTTTGACTTTTATTGGGAAGGTCACCCAAGAAACACTCGAGTTTGGGGGGAAACATATCTTGTTCCTGCCCTCTTTTTACCCCACTCTCCTGTGAGTGAGTGAAAGGGCCCGGGCCTCAGGCCATTTCTTGTTGAAGGGCTGAATGCAGCCCCTGCATTAGGCAACTTGGATGCCCTCTCACGGAAGCAGAGTCCCTGGAGCGTTCAGGATGGTCCCTTCTGCAGGGAGATTAGAATATTGACACAGAGTGGTAGCTCTAAAAGTCACTGCACAAACACGGTGCGGTGATGTTTGCAGCTACAGAAACATCAGGCCCGTAGTGGCCACTGGCTGGACCAGTTTTCTGAATGTCCCTTTAAGGATGCCCCACAGTTGCCTTGAAGAATCTGAGGGAAGTTATGGGTTCTTGCTGCAGCGAATACATGTGTACAATGCACACCTTTAGGGCACACTTTCATTGGGTTCACAGGCCCTTTTGAAGACTGTTCATAGATCTTATTCATTCACTGGGCAAATATTTACTGATGTCCTACTATGAGGCTAGGACTAACCACTCTGGGTGCTGGGGATTCAGGACAGAAGAGGAGAGACTCCTGCCCTCCAGGGCATAGCTAAGAACCTGGGGGACTGGTGGTCCTCAGCAGGCGGTGCTACTGCCCCACCCTCCGCTGAAGGTGGTGCTCTTCCCCACCATGTTGAGGTCAGTACTGTCCCCACTCCCCAAAGGCTGAGGTTTGCCCTGCATCCCACTCCAGTCCCAGGGCTGAGAGTGTGTTCTTGGTTGTCATAGTGGAATCTGGCAGGCTGGCCAGGGCTGCTAAATGACCCACAACATGCAGGACACAGAACTGCCCACCCCAAATGCCAATAGACGAGCACCCTGTTGAGAAACACTAGTGTTACTTGAAACTGACAACCCGACCAGAGTTCCAGTCTGCAGCATGGAGGTGCGAGGGACCAGCAGACACGCGTAGAATGATGAGGAATCGGAAAGAAGGACCTATGGGGAAAAGTCCTGGCTTGCTTTGGATTTCAGAAGCTCTTCTGAGTCTTCAAGTTTTACACGGTGCAGGTTGTGAAGAAGCTCAGAGCCAGAGCAACAGCAGAAGGTTCAGGGTAAATTTGGGCCATTTGTCCAAGAATCCCAGGAGCCTGGGGCCAGTTGGGGACAAGCTGGAGGGCTGCTGCGTGGCCTCCTGCTCCAGGTAGCGTTGGCCTCTGGTCCAAACACTTTGCAAGGCCCAAGTCAGAGCTGATGGAGCTTGGAGGTCAGGGGAAGCGCTGGGCAAGTCTGGGCTGCTTGCCCCCACCAAATTCCACCTCTCGCAGGTCCACCTACCACCCTGCCTGGAGACAGGGGGATGGCCCTGATGGCCACTGCAGAACACAATGAAAAGCAAAAGTTTTGTGGGGAGAGTCTTCTTTACATTATGTGCCAATGATGTTGGCTTGGAATCATCTTTTTAGCCATCAAATTGACCCATGGGAGGCTGCTTTAAAACTTGCTGGTGAATGCCAGACCAAGAGAACCATTAAAGATTTGAAATAGGCATTTTGAACTCAAAAATATTCTTCCTTTGAAAATTTAATATTTAGAAAAACAAGTGAGTTTAAAAACTCCATTATTCAAAGTAGGGTAAATGGAAAAGACATTTCAAATAAAAGCGTTTTCTTTAGGGGTGGAGGGACGTGGCCTTTTCCTCTTTTGGGTCCTAGGATAAACATGGTTTCTGGCCCCCTTTCCCAGGGAAAAACGAGAGGAGAAAACACATCAAATGGTTTTCCATGAACATCTTGGTGTGACAGAAGGATTCTCAAAACTAACTGAAATCCACACACAGCTGAAATAATATTGCAAATGACTCCAGGCGGTTACAAATGATCCCCTATTATAGCCCACATAAAATTCCTAATCTGTGTGCCGTCCCTTAGATGTTGCCTAGTTAGACACATTTACGAAATGGAGAGAGATGTGATGGCCTTCTGGAAGGATTTTTTGAGTCTAGGCCCTGGAGAAAATCACGGGGAAAAAAAAACCTTACCAATAAAAGGTCATCTTGCTTCCCTCAACTGATATTTGTATGAACAGCATCATTTCAAGAACTTGTTTTATTACAAAAGTAATACATAAACACATGCTGATTATTAAAATTTCAAGGGCTACAGAGCATTCAGGGTAAAAAGTGCACCTCACCCATCTCCACACCTCCAATTATTCTACCTTTCCCAATGAGAAGCAGAATTTTGAAAACGAAGCCAGCCCCCACAGCAAGTTGCCCATTGAGCAAAGCAAATAAACAGACCTTGTTCCTGTATGAAAGGGGCCAAAATATGCAATAAGGTGGTCCATAAATATTTATTAAGTTCCTCTGAAGTCCAAGAGACGCAGAAATAAGCAAGATACTGTCCTTGTCCTCAGGGAAACTCACAATCTTGGGAGAGACACAACAGGAAAATTAAATTAAAAATATTAATAGCAAGCAGCTGGGCTTGGTGGCTTATGTCTGTAATCCCAGTACTTTGGAAGGCAGAGGTGGGTGGATTGCCTGAGCCCAGGAGTTCATGACCAGCCTGGGCAACATAGTGAGAGACACCCATATCTACAAAAAATTTAAAAAATTATCCATGCATGGTGGTACATGCCTGTAATCCCAGCTACTTGGGAGGCTGAGGCAGGAGGATTACCTGAGCCCAGGAAATAGAGGCTGCAGTGAGCTATGATCGCACCACTGCACTCCAGCCTGGGCAACAGAGCGAGCACCTGTCTCAGGAAAAAAAAAAAAAAAAAAAAGGAAAGAAAAGAAAAGAAAAGAAAAAAAACGAGAAAAAAAAAAAAGAAATTAAAATAGCAAGCATTAAAAAAAGAGCCCAGGCCGGGTGCAGTGGCTCACACCTGTAATCCCAGCACTTTGGGAGGCTGAGGCAGGTGGATCACTTGAGGTCAGGAGTTCAAGACCAGCCTGGCCAACATGGTGAAACCTCATCTCTACTAAAAATACAAAAATTAGCTGGGCATGGTGACAGGCACCTGTAATCCCAGCTACTCGGGAGGCTGAGGCAGGAGAATCGCTTGAACCCAGGAGGTGGAGGTTGCAGTGAGCTGAGGTCGCACCACTGCACTCCAGCCTGGGTGACAGAGCGAGACTCTGTCTCAAAAAAAAAAGAAAAAAAAGAAAAGAAAAAAGAGCCCGTGTGCTGTGCTGATGGTGGAGACAGTAGGACCTCAGAAGGGAGCAACTCCTCGTGCTAAGGGGAGGCTTCCTCGAGGGGCCCTCCTGAGGCTGGGTCTCCATATGGCTGGGGAGGTCAAGACCATACACTGGGGGCTATGGGCACCAGCAAGAGCAAGCCTTCACCCAGGTGCCAGGTCGACGCGGAGACACTGCAAGAGATAAGGTGGAAAGGTGGGAAGGGCCAGATGACAGGGTGACGGGGATTGTGATGCCAGAACAAATGTTCAGAAACAACATGTGGAAGGACCAGGAGAGAGAGCAATAAGCAAGCCCGGGCGATGGCTTTCATCTTTAAGGGAAAGGATCTACCTTTCCCTTTTGTCTCTGGGGACATTCAGCCCAAATCCTCTGGCTCAATGGCCCCGGATCAGCAGGGTCTATGCTACTTGGGCTCCTGGAGGTCCCATCTATACTGCAGGCTTCTCCCCATGGACCAAGTCTCTCCTGCCAGGTGAGCCCATGCACCCCAGAGCTGCACTGGCTTCTCCTGGGCAAATTAATCTAACTGCACTCCCTTCAACACCCTGGGCCTCTCCTGGTAGGTGTGGGGTGGCCTGTCGTGTAGGAAAAGCAGATGAAGCCACATGGATATGACGTGAAGAAAGTTCTCTGGCCAAACACTATGTCCCTTTACCCTGCAGCTGATGTCTGAAACCCCAGCGTTCTCCAAGCCATGAAGTTGTGTACTCCTGCTGTGAAGCAGCATCCACGCTCGGCCCCGGGGTTCAGTGAGAAGGAGGCAGTCCGGGTCCTTGTCCTTTGGGAGCCTGCTGGTTGCTAGACCTGGGAGTCCCAGGCCAACTTGGATCCTTGCTGAGTTGCAGGCACTTTGCACAGGGCATCACTCCAAGCGGTTATCAGTCCTTGAGACCTCGGAGTTGCAAATCCTCAAGATGCGATTTTTAATGGGGTCTGGAGAAGCCGGTGGGCACAGAGGTGAGAGGGGAAGGAATGCCCCCAAAGGCACCAGAGACCCTCGTGGGTCCAGCAGAGCTCAGGTATCCCACCCAGCCTGTCCTGGTGACACATCTTGCCCCATGTAGCTGGGTCCTCGGGAGGCTTCCATTCAGATGTAACCCAGATGCTTAAAAGTGCCAATGTAACTCCAAATAAGCTTTGTTTTCTCCCAAGGAGGGGAATCCAGTCCACAGGGGTTGCCAGGCAGTTTAATTACTGCTGAGAAGTGGTGAAGATCAAATTCTTCTCAGGGATAAATCATCTCTTAATTTTCCATAAATATGCACATTTCAGAGAGTGAAAGGGTGTATCATTCATAGCTTCATAATGGGCACTGGAATTCCTGGCACAGCTTTACATCCTCTGTGGTAGGTATGCTTCAGCTCATTCCAGGCCCCTTCTATGTCCCACCCCTGACTTCCTGCTCTCACTGTGCCCTCTCCTGTAGTATGAGTAGCTCCTGTTAATAAGTTTTTTGGGTACAAAGGCAGACTGGCATGTTATAATGAAAGTACAAATGCATTTTTATTGGAATATGAAGGAGGAGCCTGTTGGTTTTTGTTTTATTTTTAAGTTTTGTGGGTACATTGTAGGTGTATATATTTATGGCGCACCTGAGCTATTTTGGTACAGGGATGCAATGTGTAATAATCACATCATAAGAATGGGGTATCCGTCCCCTCAAGCATTTATCCTTTGTGTTACAAACAATCCAATTACACTGTTTTAGTTATTTTTAAATGTACAATTAAATTACTATTGTAGTTGCTCTGTTGTGGTATCAAATACTAGGTCTTTTTTTTTTTTTTTTTTTGAGACAGAGTCTTGCTCTGTTGCCCAGGCTAGAGTGCAATGGTGCAATCTTGGCTCACTGCAGTTTCCACCTCCCAGGATCAAGCAATTCTCGTGCCTCAGCCTCCCGAGTAGCTGGGATTACAGGCATGCGCCACCACGCCCAGCTAATATTTCTATTTTTAATAGAGACAGGGTTTCACCATGTTGGCCAGGCTGGTCTTCAACTCCTGGCCTCAAGTGATCCGTCTGCCTTGGCCTCCCAAAGTGTTGGGATTACAGGCATGAGCCACTGTGCCCAGCCAAATACTAGGGTTTTTCTTGTTGTTGTTGTTCTTGTTTTTGTTATTTAGACAGAGTCTTGCTCTGTTACCCAGGCTGGAGTGCAGTGGCGCAATCTCAGCTCACTGCAACCTCCGCCTCCTGAGTTCAAGTGATTCTCCTGCCTCAGCCTCCCAAGTAGCTGGGACAAGCACATGCCACCACGCCCAGCTAATTTTTGTATTTTTAGTAGAGACGGGGTTTCACCATGTTGGCCGGGCTGGTCTCAAACTCCTGACTTCAGGTGATCCGCCCGCCTCGGCCTCCCAAAGTGCTGGGATTACAGGCGTGAGCCACCACACTCGGCCAAATACTAGGTCTAATTCAAGGGGGCCTGTTGTTTTGATGAGAAGGATTTGAAAATATTTAGCAGGGGAGGAGGAATTTGAGTTGGACTTCAGCAGGCTAATATCGGTGGTGAGGGGGCAGGCAGCGGTGAGGGATTCAAATGGAGGGAGGAAGAATGGGAGTAAATAGAAATTGGAGTCGGGGGCGTGGAGCCCTGGGGGCAGGTGCAGAGGAGGGAAGCAGTCTCTGCGTGATGGTGAGTCATGGGCGTTCAGGTGGAACGCCACTCAGAGCTCACAATGCCGGGTGCTGCACATGTGCAAACTCATTGAATCCTCACCAGGAATCCTATGCGGTAGCTATACTGTTGTTATCCCCCACTGAACAGACAGGGAAACTGAGGCACAGGGCGGGTAAGTCAGTTGATAAATGGCAGAGGGAGTCTGACCCTAGAGCTCATGCTCTTCCCCGGAGGCCTCTTCCTCCTCGCTGGTGCGCTAATCTGCTCAGGCGACCATAACAAAGGCCACAGACCCAGCCGCTTAAACAACATATACTTCCTCATGGTTCTAAAGATACAAAGTCCAAGATCAAGGTGACAACAGGGCTGGTTCCTCCTGAGGCCTCTCTCCTCGGCAGGGTCTTTCCTCTGTGCATGCACATCTCCAGCGTCTGTGTGTCCACATTTCCCCCTCTTATTAAGAGCACCCATCAGATGGAATTAGGGCTCACCCTAACAGCCTCGTGTTCACTTCATCACCTCTTTAAAGAATTTATCTCCAAACGAAGTCATATTCTGATGTCCTGGGCTTCAACGTGTGAATCTGAGGGACACAGTTCAGCCCTAACAGGTGGGGAAGTCCAGTCGAGGAGGCGCTGGCTGCGGAGCTGGGAAGGTCTTGGCTGTGTTTCAGGGGATCAGTGCGGCAGCTGTGTGTGGCATGGACGGGGCTGTGGCCCTGGAGTTTGGCCACACACTGGGGTCACGCAAGGAGTTTTTAAAAATCCCAGTGCCCCTGCTGTACCCCAGACCAACTAAACCGGACTGGCTGGAGTGGGGTCCAGGCATCTGTTATCGGCAAAGCTCCCGTGTGGTTCCCATGTACAGCCAGGAGATCAGAGGAAAGATGGCCTGGAAATCAAGACACCTGGCGCGAAAAGCGGGTGGGATTTGGAAACTGATCCGTCCAGGCCCAGGGATCATGAGAGCTGCCACAACTGCTGAGCTGAATCCAGCCCATGGCAGGTCACTCAAGCCATTGTCCAAGAGGCTCAATGGCTGTAACCACAGAACGCCATCTCTCTGAGCCCAGAGACCATCTGACACTCCACTCTTCGGGCCCTCTGAAGCTGCACCTCAGGCCACGCTGCCACCACTGACCCCCAGCCATGGGCTATGGCTTCAAAGGCTACTCTCTCTGCTCAACGCCCTCATCTTATGAATGGAACAGCAGATCCCAGCGATGTACGGTGACCTTCCCTATCAAGAATAAAACCTATGCTGGTGATATGTCAGGAAATGGAATCAGGAGGAAACCACCGGCTTTTCAAAGGGCAGGCCTGAGGGTGGTCCTTAAGCTTTTCTCTCTCAGCAGATGCCTGCAAGATCAGGCTGAGAGGTTGTGCTTGTCCTTGGAGCGCAGGGCTGGTGGGGACTGGTGGGGGATGGCAGTGGCCAGTCTAGGCCAAGGCAGCCAGGCCTTCTCTGAAAATGACCCTTGGCTGACCGGTTCCTGGACAGCCCCAGCCCACAGGAAGCTCTGGAGGCCAGACCAGCTCTGAGCTGTCCAGAGGGGCAGGTGGACTTCTCATCTCAATGGAACTTTCTTCAGAAGGGTCTAAGCACCCATAGCCTGCTCCCTGGGGTCGGTCTCTCCTAACTTAACAAACTGATCCCATAGGAACCCAAGAGGCAACCTGAGCCATGACATTTCCTGCTCATTCACAGCGGCTGCATAGATCCGCAGGGGCCCCTACTTTTGTGGGGCTTCCATTTTGGTAGGGGAGACAGAAAACCAAATACATACATAAATAGACAGTACTGAAGGTGGTTATAAGAACGATGAAGAACAATCCTTATGCTTCATAAGCTCACTTCCTGTTTTGGGGTCTTTTCATGAGAACTTATTTTGTAAACGATGGTGCCTCGTTTACAATTTCCTTTCCTCCTGGGGAGGGAAACTCAAGCACAGGTTTTGTGCTGGGTTCCAGGCTACACGCAGCAGGGAGAATGAACACTGTGACGTGTCCTGCCCCTCACAGCCTAGCTGGGGAGGAAGGACCAAGCCTGTGGAACAACAGGCAGGTAGAAGGGCAGCCCAGGACTGTCTGCCACAGCACTTCCTGAGCAACTGGCAAGAGTGAGGCGCCATGGGGATATGCACGTGTGGGAGGTAGGCCCTGCCCTCTGGTTTGTAATCAGCAGGGAGGCAGGGTGCCCTGCAATAAGACAACTACACAAGGCAAGGTACCATCGCTGTTCATTAGTGTTGTTACCATGGAGGTCTTAATGGGGATGTAACAAACCACAAGATTTGGGCCCTGCCTCCAAGGAGCTCACAGTCTAACTGGGGAGGTAAGAGTATCTATGTATTTCTGTATCAGCCTTTCTATCTAGTCATCTTTCTGTGTGATAAGGAATTCAGAAAAGAGCTGAGTTGTTACAAGTTAATGGAGCAGGAGAGGTGGCAGCGAAATCGGGAGAGGTGAAGGCAGGTGGGCAGGAAAGGCAGGGGAGGTGGGGCAAAGGCATTTGCAGCTGGGGCCTACCAGTGGCTTAAATGAGACTCAAGAATTCTGGGGTGGTGGTGGAGGCTGACATGATGGAGGGAAGGTTCTGGGTTGGGTGAGACTGGACAGCAGAGTGAGGCTAGATGATGAAGGAAGTCCCTGGACCCAAGCACCACCTCCCTATTGGACATGTGGGCACACAAGATCCCTGGGAGGTAGACAAGGGGGGTTGAGTCATTCAGTCTCTAAGGCTGGGGGAGGCTCCTTGCCCACACTGCCTGCCTGCACCCCCATCCCTTCCTGCTGACGTGGGCCCACGATGCCACAGTGGGCACCAGATGTGGGTTCTGACTCTCTCTGAGGAGGGACTCCCATGATGAAAATGGACCTTTCCATAAAGTGGTTTGGAGGGTCAAAGGGGATGTTTTCAACAGGGCCATTTGGAAAGCCATGGGGGCAACAAAAGCCTGGACTTTCGTGACGGGTCATGACGGGGACTCAAAGGTGGCAGAAGAAAGAACACTGAGCAGGCTCCTGTAGAGCAGCTCCGTAACCAGTCAGCCCAGTTTCCCCTCTGCAAGCACAGAAGAATGCATGGGTTAGGGAAGGCTTCCTCGAGGAGGTGACGACTGAGCCGTGCTAAAATTCAGCACAAATAGGAATAAATGAGGAGAGGGAAGGTTAGAGGGCTGGAGAAGGGGGCAGATCAGGCAGGGTTTGCAGACCAAGTAGATTCGGGTCTTTTATCTCGGAGGACCGGGAATCCCCTGGATGATTTTAAGCATAAGAAGTGATGTTTTTAGAATAGCTCTCTGCCTGCAGCGTGGGGGAAGCTGGAAGGAGAGAGTGGGTGCAGAGAGACCAGGTCGAAGACTCAGTCATCCTTCTGTGAGGGGCAGGAGCAGCTCCTTCAGCCCTGGCCTTTGCACTTGCTGTCCCTTGGGCCGAGAAAGCTCCTCCCCCTTGATCTTTGGACGTGCCTCCCCCGCAGCCAGGTCTCCATCCCCCCTCTTCAGAGAGCTTTCTCGGGCCATCCTCTCGGCTGGATCCCTGGCCCCCAGTCATGCTCTGTGCCACCCCATCCTTCACTAGCTGGAACCCCCACTCATTTCTCTGCTGCTTGTCACCTGCTCCTGAAAGTTCTAGGCATCTCCTCTGCTTGTGTTCTGCTGAGCACGGCCCTATGACCAGGCCGGTTCCATGTACCTCAGCCATGACTCTCAGTGGGCAGCGGGAGAGGTAAACAGAGTAGACTGGGTCCCTCCTGGGCTCATGGGCCACACAGCAGGAGGCGGGGAGAGGAGAAGACAGGATGCAGGATGGAAGGGGAGGCGGACAGGACGGGCAGATGTGCTTCTGCCCCCTAGAGAATGGGATGGAGGGAGGAATCCCACTGGATACCAAGTCAGTGGAGGGCTGTTACTGAGGATTCGGCCGTGTGGGGTCTTGTCACGGGGCCTCAGGACTCCAAGGTAACACTCCAGAGAGGAAAGAGGCATCCCTGGCCTGGTCCCCTCTGCTGGGGCGGACTGCAGGCTCGCTCTCCTGGGGGGCCTAACAAACAGAGTGGAACTGCAGGTCTGGATATTGAGAGGCATCTTGGGGGTGCACACAGTGGGCAGGGAGGGAATTAAGCATGCCTGGGGCAGCTGCTCTGGAGACAGCGCTTTGGGGCAGCATTCCCCAGCAGCCCACGCCCCTTATCTAAGCTGGATGATTGCTTAAAAAATCCAGCAGCCGGCATGTCTAGGGGGCTGAACGTTCCATTCTTTGCTGGCAAGAGAACACAAGGCCACAGAATGCCGTGATGAGAAATAAAGGACCCAGTGACTCAATGCATTTGTGACAGGTTTATTGTGGAGCGCTGCATGGGCCTGCCAACACAGTCCAGACGTGACATTTAAAAGCCCTGCACATTCCATTTTCCCTGGTGGCCTCCCCACCGTCGACCGTGTGAAACACAGGCAGCTTGTCCACATCAACCAAGAGTCTGCTGAGTAGGCTCTGGTCTTTGGTCCAGAGGTCTCTGCACATTGCAGGAGTGCAGCGAAGGCGTTTAAAAAGCTGCTTGCTTCCACCGGTGGGCCTCCTGCTATCAGGAAGGGGGCCAGGGTTCGTGCACGGATTGGTAGGGCAAATCTTGCAATGAGATAGCTCAAAGTTTTTAGGGAAGCTGTCCAATCTTTTCTCTCTGAAATTCCTAATCTATAAAAGCATACTTTCTAAAAGGTCTTAAAAATGCACACAACCTACCTGCTGTTTTGGTTTAATGAAAGAAGGCACTTGATTGGATTCCATGATGCTCACTGACCAGGCACAAATGCCTTTTCTCTCCAATAAAAACAACAGCAACAAAGCTATTATTCTCTGCTTATTTTCTGCTAGATGTCATCATTATCTCTCCATATGTAAATGAGGAAACTGAAGCACAAAGAGGTTACATAACTTGCCCAAGATCACACCACTAGTAAGTAGCAGAGCTGGGATTTGAACCCGTGCTCTGAGCCACCATCCTGGATTGCTCCTTAGCCTCTATAAGGTCCCCAGATGCAGTTATGTGGATGCTCCGTCTGAATCACTATCTTCCTATAGGCAGGTGGTCTACAGGGAAATAGAATGTTCCAAAATGATGAGAGAAATGGAGTAAAATATTAGGCTGAACTTGCAGAGAAGCCGTGTTGTTATATACAGCACCATGTTTTTCTGGAGGCCAGGAATGAAAATTGGGAAGCTACAGCAGCACATGTTCTTACATTTGGCTCAGACTGAGGGTGTCTTAAGTAAGCCTGAGCGCCTGGCAAACTCGCCCAGTGGAGGAGAGAAGGACAAAGGGCTGGGGCGGGTCAGCATGAAGCTTGTGCGTTGAAAATGTGTTGGAATCCTTACCAATGGCTCCAAACTCCCATGGTAACCCCACCAGTGAGGAAATCACATGAGGCAAGAGGGGCCCCTTCCCGATCTTTCCAAAGATGCAGCCACCAGTTCTGTGGAGGCAGGAGCTCTGGGGCTATTATGGACACACATGTCCATAGATCTGTGCATCAAATGGTACGCCTAGAACGAGGACTTGTCGGAATTTGAAAAGCTGACTTGAGAACATCACTGTGTTTCCCGAGACCCTCAGTGCCCTCAGCTGTATAGGTGCAGGCCTTATGCTCAATGTTCTCTAAGATCTCGACTTCACTGAATAATCCGCAGAGAACATCCTGCGCTCCACCGCAGCCCAGGCCTTTCCTCACTTTCTGGGTGGGGCCTGGGAAGCAACGCAGTGGATCAGCGTGCATGAGTGTGTGGGGACAGGTATCAGAAGGGGACAGGACAGCATAGGAAATGGGAGGGGAAAGCAGGGGCGTCAGGGGTTTCATCCTCTCACTGAGGGAAACAGCGTCCTTGATGAAAACTGGCAGATCAAAAGTGTTCTCCCCTCTCCTGGGTCAGAGTTCAGAGAAACGGCATCAAGAGAAGGAACTGTTCAGCTTTTAAAGACATGATAGTCTGAGTCAAAATAAGGAACATCTCTTTTGAGGCTTGCAACATCACTCAGAAGCGACGTGCCAAGCAGATGTGGAAATAGCAGCTGTCAGCCTCTGCCAGAATCTTCTATACAGCGGTATTTATCTGCCTTCTGGCTGTACCCTGAACTCACCGTTTGACCTACTGTCACCAAGCTACAGATGTAGGCAGTTAAGTCACCTGAAAGTTGCTGCTCACTGCCTGTCACACACACACACACACACACACACACACACACACCGTTGACATCATAAAACAACAGCATGGTAGCTGGTAGCTTCTAAGAGGTGGTATGCCCAACATTAAGTTGCACGGACACTATATATATCTTATAGCTGATGCTCATTTTTTATAAATGAAACATTTTTGAGAATCAGGTCATACAACTTAAAAATGCCTGGGGAGCTTTTAATTTAAAGAATAGATTCTTCCTGAGAGGCTATGGAGCCCTCTGAAATGGAATAGCTAACTAGACGTCAGGAGACACTCTGGAAGCCTGGTTTTTCCTATGTGGGGTTTTCGTAAAGAAGTGCCCAAGAGTGGCCGGGCGCGGTGGCTCACGCCTGTAATCCCAGCACTTTGGGAGGCCGAGGCAGGCGGATCACAAGGTCAGGAGATCGAGACCATCCTGGCTAACACAGTGAAACCCCATCTCTAGTACAAAAAAATTAGCGAGGCATGGTGGCGGGCACCTGTAGTCCCAGCTACTGGGGAGGCTGAGGCAGAGCTTGCAGTGAGCCGAGATTGCACCACTGTACTCCAACCTGGGTGAACCGTCTCAAAAAAAAAAAAAAAAAAGTGCCCAAGAGAACTCTGGCTGAAGCGGAACATTCACATTAAGGCTACTGTGATCTTGGACTTCACTACGTCTCCCTATCCTACCAGACCCCGAATACCAGACATTTCAAAGAAGGAGCTATTTTTCCTTGCATTTTTGGGACCATTGGCATCCAATGTCATTTCCATAAAAATTCTCTTGGGTATTTTTGGAACTAAAGAGAATGAATAGGATTAATGAAGCAGGACTGCGATTTGCTGTGCCCGTTGCCCAACTGTTACCTGGGTGGGGTGTTGCCCCCGCCCTGTGCTGGAGTGGAGACTTGGCTCAGACAACGGTCCCTGGTCCTCAGCCTCCTTCTTAGACCAAATGAGCAAGAGACTCCAGGAGCAGCCCCTTCCAAGGCCACTGTTGTTTTTGGGAAGCTCACATCTAAAGGAAAAGGAAACTGGAGAGACAGCATGGTCTCCTCTCTGAGGGTGATGTGGTCTGTGTCAAAAGCTGAGACTGGTGTTTTCTATAGTCACCGGTTGATTTCATTCACTCATTCAATAGGCATTTTTTTTTAACCTAACCTACCATGTGCCAGGTGATGATATATTGTACTAGGTTGAATTATAGATTGCTGTTTTTATAGGTAAGAATTGACAATTTCATATGGTTAAACCTAATATTTAGAGGGTTTTCCTAAGCTAGTGTTACTATTTCTTCTGATGGCATCGCTGAAAGCATAGATAACCCAATCGTTACTATTTGCGGCCTGGGTCTGCCCAGATTCCTTTCCAGAAACAGGGAAGATACCAGTTTCTACCATGCATGTAATGGTTAGATATTTTGTGACTTAACATAGGGCCGAGTTACTGCTTTAGATCGGCTTCTCCCAGACACCCTTTTATGCAGAGGCAGTCTGAGGCCTGGGCCACTTGGGGAACTCAACCACCATGGCTCCCCAACTCTGCAGGCCTGCTCTGCAGTGTGGAGAGGCAGCCGGCCAGAGGAGAGTGATTCGTAAGTGCACAATGAAGACAATCTCATTTGGACTCATCTTGTCTAATGCTACTGGAGCAAAACTGTACCCAAAGTTCACTTGCAAATATATTTACACAGACCAATATGAAATTAAATGATTTAATAATCAGTTTAAAAAACAAAACAAAACAGACTGGGCACAGTGGCTCACGCCTGTAATCTCAGCACTTTGGGAGGCCGAGGTGGGTGGATCACCTGAAGTCAGGAGTTCAAGACCAGCCTGGCCAACATGGTGAAACCCCATCTCTACTAAAAATACAAAAAGTAAGCCAGGCACGGTGGCTCACACCTGTAATCCCAGTGCTTTGGGAGGCTGAGGCGGGTGGATCACTTGAGGTCAGGAGTTGGAGACCAGCCTGGCCAACATGGTGAAACCCTGTCTCTACCAAAAATACAAAATGCAGCCAGACCCACGTGCATGCCTGTAATCCCAGCTACTCAGGAGGCTGAGGCAGGAGAATCGCCTGTATCCGGGAGGTGGAGGTTGCAGTGAGCCGAGATCACGACACTGCACTCCAGCCTGGGTGACAGAGTAAGACTGTCTCAAAAAAAAAAATTAAAAAACAAAAAACAAATAGCTAAAGAACAAACAAACCAAAACCTGACACCTTTAAACTCTGAGGCCATAGGAGATACCTAGTATCCCTTCACTAATTTATTAGAAGAAAGATGCTTTCTTTCCCTTGTACTCAATTTTCTGTTAACCAGATTCTCTTGTGAATATGACTGAAGTAGTTTAATCTAGTACCAAAGTGCAGAGTATGGGGGATAATAAACAAGAATAAGATTTTGAAATATAAAACCAAGGTTCTGAGATACGTTTGATGCTGCAGATACACGACATGAGCTTAGGTGATTAAATTTATTCAACAGGAGTTACCGGGGCAGCCTTTCTGGTGGTGAATAACCAGGTGAACATTAACCACAGTGGCCAGTGGGGTGAGACCTGCGCTTCTCAACCTCAGCTCTGGTGACATCTGGGGCCAGATCATTCTTTGTTGCGGGGGACTGTCCTGTGCACTGCAGGATGAGGAGCAGCATCCCTGACTCTAACCATGAGACACCAGCAGCACTCCCACTGGCTGAGAATCATGGGGTCCAATGGATACAACCAAATGCAAACTCAATGATTTGTAGGGGAAAGCACAGCTTCCTGGGGAACAACCCATGTCAACTTCACAAAGCTGGAGGCAAGCCTGGGGAAATGGCCTACAGTGAGGGCGTGGGGCATCTGGAGTGAATTAGGTAGAGTGTTATGGAGTAGTACCCACCTTGACAACTGCATCCCTTCCAGCCAAACTCAAGACTGGAGAAGCAACACTGGCTTACACAGCTGAAGGGATCCTGGGGAAGAGATGGGACTTGCAGACTCAACCACTGCTCCACACGGGGGTGGCCTGGGGGACAGTGAGAAGGATCTCCCCGCCCACCCCTGGGCCTTTGCTTGTCCTGACAGCTCCATCTACAATAGCCACACCTCTTCCCCCACTCCATCTGGCTCCTCCCTCCTTACTCTTCAGGTCTCAGCTCAAATGGCACTCCCCGCCCCACCCCCTGAAGGTTCTCTGATCCTTGCCCTGCAGCCACCCTCCCCTGGCCCTGCCAGTCTGCTCAGTGGTGCCTCATATCCAAACTTCTAGTGCAGAACTTGTCACCTTGTCACACACATACCGTGCATATTTATATGGATTGCAGGAGTTTGGTTTTCTGTTTGTTCCTTCCATTACAATATGAACTCCATGAAGACAGGGACTCTGTTTCCACGGAGTACCACACTCCTCCCAGAAGCCAATGGGGCACCCAACTCATGGTAGACATCCCCCCCACCAAATATCTGCTGAATTGAGGAAGGAAACCACTTTTCCACTGAATGGCAGGAGAGGTCCAATAAGTGAAGCTCATGAGGATGGAATCAAGCATGTGGTCATTGTAGCAAACAGTGGCATCAATGTGGACGCTGGTTTATTTCTGCAAAGTGTGCCAGGCAGAAGCCGATCCCAGACAACGTGGGGCATGTGCAAGTTTCTGTCTTTACCCACATAATTTTGGGGGTGTTCACCAGTACATTACGATACATCTTTTGGACAAATGGTTTGTACCCTGAGCCAAATCACACACCCTCAATGTGTCGACAACTTATATCAAAAGCCCGGTGAGACTGAACTGCTAAACTGGGTGGTAGAGTTCTATGTTTCGAAACTGGTATTATAAGGAATGATCATTTGCATATTGATCAGGGAAGGTGGAGAGCACGGGGAGAGGGAGGGCTGTTCAACAAAGACTCGGCGAGCCTCTGATAATGTCTGTATTTCAAAGAGCACAGGTCATGGTTGACACGTGGGCAGCAGGCCCATTGCTGACATCTAGTCTGCTTGGTTCCTCACCACCACTGCCAGGTTCCAACATCAAGAACACAGAGACATTTCCATCTAACTTTTGTATGAAGAATTTAATTATCTATACACGGAACTAATTCAAAAGGTTGTATTACAGTTGTTAAAGCCGCAGGTTTATATATTTATATATTTTACATTCATATCCGTGAAAATACTGAAGTGCAACTGAACGAGGAGGAGAGGTCCTCGCTCTCTGCACCATGTGAAAGGAGAAGGACCTCTACACGACCACCAGCACAGCCTCCCGACAGCGCCGGGAGAACGCGAGGGGAGTGAGCATTACAGAGTCTTTAGGAGGACAGCTAGATTGTGCTTGAGGCTCCCCCTGCCCCATTTTCTGTGCTGTGAGCAGCAGGCATTTTTATTGAGAGCTTCCAACTAGTGTTTAAAAGACAAACAGGGCTTCAGCTACAGCATATCTAACACACAAACGGACCATGAGCTCCATTTCATATTAATCTGTAGAAATTCCACAGTCTAGTTAAAAAATGTAAACATTGGAAATTAATTGCAGGGAGACTTCTATACATTCTTTCTTGTCAAGAAAATTACTTGTTCAAAATAGGTCATTCCATGAAAAGTAACTGGAATAAAACTTCATGTAACAGAGACTAAAAAGAGACTGTGGATATCGTTGATCGTAACGACCTCAGTGGTGTTGTCTACTGATTTTATGCTATGCAAACACGCAAAATTAAAAACCCCAAACAAAACACCAACTCAACCAGATAAATCTGAGACCGAACAAAAACACAGAGTGCTTTCTCATGTGGCTACAAGGTCACTGTGCAAAATAAAATTAAATGCAATATGATTAGAGCATCGTACAAGGTAATAGCTTTGCCATGGAAAGAACTAATTTCTTATGTACAGGATGTATTACATGCTCAACAAGGTACAGCTGATACACACAAACAAGCACAAACACCTTCGCTTTAATTGGGCTCATTCTATACGTCTTTAAAACAGAGATACTGAACTCCTCTGCACTTCTATGGTAAGGGGGAAAAGCCCCAAACTGCACAATTTAGTTGGTAACACTGGACAAAATGAAAAAATACATCAAGTCTCAGATTTATGGACATTTGGAACAATTTTTAATAGCACATGCAGCATTCCTTGATAGTGGGTCTTTTTGCAAAACCAAAATAGCAAAGAAGTCATTTATTTATTTTGTTTATTAAAAAGCTAAAATATATATTTAAAAATAATTTTAAAACTATTGAAAGCACCTGTGCAAAGGTGGGGGAAAGTCAATTTGAGTAACTAGGAAAGCCACAAAAGGACCCACTACCCTGTGTGTTTTTGTAATTTTTGCTCCTATCTCTGCAAGTAATAACTCAAACATTGCGATCACATGCAACTAAGGTAAAATGAGGTAAACTGCTCTGCAGTGAGTTCTTCTACTCAGAAGGCAGTAGGTGATCATGCTGGAAGTCACATGATCAAGGCTGCATCTCCCATCATCCCTCTGGGCAGTGATATGGGATAGTGGGTCTCTTTGAGGACTTTCAAGCCTGAGGGGGGGATGGACAACATATGATTCCTAGAAAAAGGAGGAAAACAACACATAAGCAAAACAAAACAATGAGCAAAATTCAAGCTAGGAAAATGAGTCAGGCATGTAAACAGCATGGTGCCAAAATGATTTAAAAAAAAAAAGGAAAAAGGAGGGAGGGGAGGGAGGGGACATGCTACAGAAGGAATGAAAATTAAAGAGAAATAAAACCCCATGAGATAAACTCTTGCATTACAGAAGGTCTTCAAAGAGACGACTGCGAATGCAGCAATGGTCTAGCTTTAAGTTCTGCAAACAAAGCTCAGCAGAATCAGAGCAATGCTGCATGTTTTACGGGAAGATACCAGAGAGGCGAGGCGACAGAGCCACCAGGGCACTTACATTGCTGGCTTGGGTCCATGTCTGTGGTCAGCTTCACATAATTGGATGGGAAGAGCCCCACTTGTCCATTGACTTCTCCTTTCCACCAGTCAGGGTCCTCCTTGTTGAGGACGTTGATGATCTGGCCCTTGTTGAAGGCCAGCTCATCGTCATTCTGCGCGGTGTAGTCGTACATCCCAATCACCTGGCACACTGCAGGAGACAGGGCTGGGTGAGCGGCTGCACACCCGCCGGAGAATGCACAACGGGTACCGCGCAGCCATTCAACATTCCCAGCTACTATTTCTGTCCTTTCAGAAGAGGGTGACAGTAGGTGGAACTGTTCTGTTGGGCTTTTTACAGTGTGGGCAATAAAGGTGAAGAATTAAAAACTAAGACAACAACAAAATTTTCACACTAAGTCTTTAGTTTTTATGATATCGTCCTCTTTTTCATGTTTACTTGTCAGCAGAAAATGTACAGTGCTAATCGAGGGCTTTCGTTTTGAGTGCAGCGGAACTCCTTCCTACTGCTGACTCTGGAAAGACCAGCCCAACCCCATCCTATCTTCTGCTGCACAGGACAGCTATGTATCATGGGGACTTTACTATCATTTTTCCTTTTTGGTTTAAAGTGGAAGGTAATCATCATTTGACCTCCAAGAATTCCAAATCTTAGGGAAAACTAAAACCAGTGATTTATTTATTTATTATTTATTTATTTGAGACAGAGCCTCGCTCTGTTGCCCACGCTGGAGTGCAGTGGCACGATCTCAGCTCACTGCAACCTCCACCTCCAGGGTTCAACCGATTCTCCTACCTCAGCCTCTTGAGTAGCTGGGATTACAGGCATGCACCACTACGCCTGGCTAATTTTTCTATTTTTAGTAGAGACGGGGTTTCACCATGTTGGCCAGGCTGGTCTCGAACTCCTGGCCTCAAGAGATCCGCCCGCCTCGGCCTCCCAAAGTGCTGGGATTACAGGCGCGAGCCACCATGCCAGGCCTAAAATCAGTGTTTCAAAAGATTTTTCTGCTGCTGTATCTTTGCATCTCAAAATGTTGTCCTGAAAGAAATCTCCACCCTCAAGAACAATTTTTCTTTTCTCATTTTCTCTCAAGCTTACAGGAGGTAAAATTGTTCTCATTCTTTGGCACTTCTACTTCAGATGAGTCTGCACCAACAGGTCACAGTCCCTATGAATCTTTCTTAACCAACCTATTAATAAATAGGTTTAGGCTTTTTAAATTCTCCAGCTAATTCAATCACTTCAGCAACTAATTTCAGCGGGCCTGAGGAAGGGGCTGTACATGGAAGTGGAGGGATACTGACACATCTCTCCAGGGGACAGCAAACCCTGCGGGAACCACATTCCTCAGCCTACACAAGGCCACAGCTCAAGCAAAGAGGCCCAGTGGGGACTGCGGCTCATCACAAAGTTTGCCCATCCTTTAATTTCTTGAGAAGGCTGCCAGTTTTTAATCTTATCTCACTGGGTACATACAGCACAGATATTTAACCACAAGGTATTGGAACAAAAATTCTACACTTTCCACAAAAGCCAACCAAGAATGATGGCTTAAAGACCTAAAGCAGAAATCTGCTCCCCCTGACCTCACCTCTCTCAGATCTTGCTGAAGCATCTCATTTGGTCCCTTCAATCAGAAAATAGCCAACTGGGCCAACTGCTGTGCTCTGTTCTTTTCCAGTCCTCCAGGAAAGTGAGTACAACATCCTGCCTGCCCAGCGAAGCCCCCTCTGCCCACAGTGAATGTCACAGGGGAGCTATTTTGGTCTTCAGTGAACACCACATTATAGCCCCCCAACCCCCGTGGCCCCCAGCTCCATCTCATGACCTACTGAGACCCCAGCCGTTTATTTTTGGGTGTCCCTTTCTGTCACCTCACCCCCTAGCCTAAACCCCAATTTAAATGGCTGGAAGGAAATCAAGAGGAAAATGTGGCCTTAATGCCACAGCATTCATGACTCCTGCAAGAAGAGCATTCCAACAAGGGTTCTGTTGTATCCAGCACAGAAAAGCCACTTAGATATCTGGTCCTTTTGAAAGACATATTCCATATCACATTAGTTGGGTGTCAGTCCCAGCAAGTACAGGAAGTGCTTTAAAGCACATGTGAAAAACAACCTAAGATATTTAATGAGAAAATCAAGTGGAAAAACTCAAGTGGCATGCAGACCATCTTCCAGTTAGAGATGCGAAACTCCTTACCTGCCGCTAATGCTGTTGACTTAGGTGGCTCTGTTGGAGTGATTTTGCTCGTCCCAGGGCTTAGAAGCTTTACATAATTAGCTGGGAACCAGCCTATCTGGCGCTTTTTCCCACGTGCCTAGTAAGAAAATAATTACATCAAACATTTTTAAAGGCGCATCTTTTATAATACAGCTCACTTTATAACAGAGCACTTATGTAAAGCTTACATATAACTGAAAAACAAATGACATTAACGGTAAAATCTATGGATTACTATGTCACAAAAGTAAAACACCATAGCTAAAAATTCAAATTGTGGCAATCACTGGTCAGCAAAGCCCAGAATGTTTTTGCTTCGGCTAGACTGTGTGGATCACAAAATTAAGATATACCATGGATTGCCTGGGACAGGAAATTCTACTCATGTAATGCTAGCACTCAGCTGTTAATTTCAGGTAATGTAGACATTATGGTTAATGCCAACACTGTATATGGGTTTTAGGAATAATAATAATAATAATAATAATGGCCACCAATACACACTGAGTACTTCTTTTTTTTTTTTTTTTTTGAGACGGAGTCTCGCTCTGTCACCCCGGCTGGAGTGCAGTGGCACGATCTCGGCTCACTGCAAGCTCCACCTCCCAGGTTCAGGCCATTCTCCTGCCTCAGCCTCCTGAGTAGCTGGGACTACAGGCACACCGCAACCATGCCCGGCTAATTTTGTTTTTGTATTTTTAGTAGAGACAGGGTTTCACCGTGTTAGCCAGGATGGTCTCGATCTCTTGACCTCGTAATCTGCACCCCTCGGCCTCCCAAAGTGCTGGGATTACAGGCGTGCGCCACCGCGCCCGGCCCTCACTGAGTACTTTTTATGAGCCAGGCCCTGTGCATTTATGCACACAATTCCAGAAGGATAATAGTATTATTATTCTCAATTTCCAGATGAAAAGTTGAGTGACAGCCCCAAGGCCACAGGCAGTTAGTGGCAAGCCAAGATGCACTCATGTGTCTGCATGCTCCTTTATGGGTAATATACATCCTTAGATGCAAGATGACATACATGCAGTACACACAGAACACAAGGAGACTCAATGTTACTTTCACAAACCCGTAGGCCCATGTGATGACTAAAGCCACATTTTTCACCGCCATTCCTTTCTCACTTAATTCAATCTGATTCAACACAAGACTCATTTATGGAGTGTTTCTGCACCATGCTGTTAGGAAGGGACAGTAGATGACTGTCCCTATAAACCCGGGGAGTTTATAACAAAGTTGGTGAGGCGGGTTTTGCAGTTAGGACACAATCCCATTAAAAGACTCGAGTTAGGGATCATGAGTCGGGCTTTGACTACCCTTCTGTACACCACCAAGAAAAGAGAACCCAAAACTACTTGTGCATACACACACATGCGTACACATACACACACACACGTCTAGAAACAAGGCTCTGATCGAAACAGCCACCTCTGGGGACAAGGTGGGAGGGAGACATTTATATCCCCTTGTAACTTTTGAATTTTAAACCATGTGACTATAATTACCTATTCCCAAAATAAGGAAATAAAACTAAAAGAAAAGAAAACTTCCACCACATTACCTCTGCCCTCCCACCTGCCAGTTTATCAAGAGGGATACCTCTAGGTCATTTTCAGAACACAGAGCAGGTTTCCCTTTCCTTGAGGTCTGATAGATTCCATCCCCTTGGCTCAAGGACTAAAGCTTTTATGTTTACAGTGAACCTGCCGATGACTGAAGCCATCTGGTTACAAATTTCCACGTTTATCTACCGAGTATACCACCATTCTGCTCGCAATGACACCACTCTTTCCCACACCTCTGCAGCACAGCACAGAACTCACTGGTGTTTCCTCATTTGTGGATCCACGCTGAGAGTCACTCTGGTGACAGCGCCAGGAGCTCTCCTGGGTCATGGCAACTCAGCCACTTTATTGAGAATCCTAAGAACCACTCAAACACTCACTTAAGCACAGTGCTAGAGGTGTGGGGACTGAAAAATACGGCTGCTGCCTCCAAGGTGCTAGTCAGCTACATGTGGAAGTAAGAAATGTGCACAGAAAGCAAAGTAATATAAAATACTAAAGAGTGGTGCCGGCACGGGGCCAGTGCTGGAGCTCAGGGGAGGGACACGGTGCTTCTGGTTGGGATGGTCACAGAGAGCTTCCAGAAGTGGGATCTCCCAGCTCTTGCGAAAGTGGAGAGGTTGGAGCTGGTTGGCCGCTGGTGAGAAATGTCATGAACAAAGGCAGCAAGGCAGGAGAGCAGGGGGTGCTGGTGTTTCAAAGAGGCTGGAGTGGAGACGCCATTGCTCAGCGGTAAGACGTGAGGCTGCACCGGGGAGAGGGGCCCCGCAGGAAGCCTTCCCCTGGCAGGCAAGGAGGACAGGCGATGGGAGTCTCCCACGTCTCCAGAACAGGACAGGGGCATGATGCTGGAAGGACCAATGGGTGATACAGCACAACTCTAAGCAGGGAGTGGGACCCGAGGGTCTAAGGAGGCCTCTCCCTCCCCAGCACAGGAGAAGGCATGCTGACAAAAAGGAGTGGATTTCCAGGCCTCCAGAGGTCAGATTCCTTAACCAGTGAGTAGTATCTGGACATTTATGGGTGTCCATCAGCAAACTCTCCAGGGAAAGTTTCATCTTTAGTTACACTCCAGGTTGTGCCTTCTATTCTGGCCAAGATGCGTTTCTTATATATTCAGCTCTCCAGTGTGGCTCTTCCTGTCCTGGCCTCAGGCTCACTTCCACAGAGTGGTAGACGGGACTGTGTGAGACCCGAGGCCTTCCCCAGCAAGGCCTTCTTCCTTCCTGCTCCTGCTGTTCCAACCTCCATTCCTCAGGAGCACCTGAGGGTCTGTCTTCCGTGGCTAGTCCACTGCATGGCAAAGGTTTCCTGCCTCCCTCTTCCCCCTCAAACTTACGTAGTTCCATACCGTCCTGCTCATGGGCAGACAAATACCAGCAGATTGGGTAAGTCAGTCTACAGGCCCACTAATAGCCACCAAAGGGTTCCCATGGGCCCCTTCCTCACAAAGCATTCCAGAAACCATTCCTTCCTATATCCGTTCAAGCCTTACTGAGGCCCCCCTGTGTTACGCAGAGGCCCACGTTCAACAAACGCCAGAGAGACGGACGGCTGCTGGAAAATTCAGTCCTTCCATAGGCCCCATGTGGGCAAGCCAGGGAGCAAGCCCTGTCCTTCACTAAGCTATGAAGCAGGTGGCCAGGTGCCCGCCTGGCAGTCTGAGGCTGATCTTCACTTTGGATGGGGGAGGATGCGGGGAGGGAGACACACTTTCTGTATGAAAAGTCAGCTGGCTTACCTCTCAAGTAACTGCTATAGTAGTAACTTTTTAAAGGCAACTTTTTATTTAGAAATGATTTCAAACTCAGGAAAATTGGCAAGAATAAGAAAAGCACACAGAACACCCATAGGCCCTTTACCCGAATTCACCTACTGTCAACACTTGGCAGCAGCTGCTCCCTCATTTGTGCGCGTTCTCCCTCCCTCCCCCCCCACCCTCTTCTCTGCAAGTTCTTTTTTTGATTCATCTGATTGCAAGTTGCTTACATCTTAACTCTACCCCTAAATACTTCAACACGTATCTCCTAAAAATAAGAATATTCTCTTATATAACCACAGTACAGTTATTGCTTTCTGTAAATTTTACACTGGTACAGTAATTTTGTCTAATGTAGTGTCCATAACCCAATTTTGTCCATTATCCCAAAAATGTCCTTGACAGCGTGGTTTTCTTTCACACAGGGTCTAGATACTGCACTGAGTCTAGATACTGCAGCCAGTCCTCACGCCTCTTTAGCCCCCTTTCGACAGGTTTTGTCTTTTATGATCCTGACGGTTTTGAAGACCAGTCACTCCCTCCCTCCTCCCTCCCGGCACAGCTGTACACACACCATGTCCTCTGGTCTCCCCACTGCTCATCATTCTGATCACCTCATTCAGGTCTTGTCCTAGTTCCCCACTCTATAATTATTGTGTTTTCCCCTGCAGATCATGAGTGATCTGTGGGGGTCACTTCAAGACCATGCACATTTTCTGCTCCTACTGAAAATTTTCTTGCAGATTGGGCATCCACCAATGATTCTAAGAAGTTTTACCATGAGAACTGCGTAACAGTAATCTTTTTAAAGCATCTTTGTCTCTGGAAATGAGACTTATAGGAAGTATCTGGAATGGTAAAATGTGTAAACAAGATGATATGATTAACAATACACACACACACACGTGCGCGCACACACACGGGAACTAAAAATACTGTGATGTATGGATGTGGCTTTGAATGCAAAGAAATCTGCTCTTGTGCCACACCTTCTAATACCACTGATGAAAAGCTCCACTCTCTAATGCCAAGGCACATAAGGATATGCAGGCATCCCTCGTCATATGAGTTCTCACTATGCCGACTCTATCTGAATTCAGGAATGGGAAAGATATGTTTTCGTATGCGCTCCTAGCTCTCAGAAATCTGTTACCGGCTGTCTGAAACTTAGGAACCAAACAAACACAGAAAATTTGGCATCTCTCACTATCCAAATACAGAATTTAGGTGGTGAGGGGTGGTTTGTACTTTACAATAAAATAGCGTCCCTTTGAGATTTTGTGTATTGAAACTTGGATGGAGAATTGTAAATAAACAAAAAAGACACTGACTTGCAGCTCTCCTTCCCACCATCCACCTGGGTTCTTTTTTCGGATCAAAATCAGCTGACCAGGGGCGAGAGTGAGCTGCTCGGGGCCGGTGGCGGTGTATGAGGCAATAACCTGGGCAATTTCTGAAAAACAAGATCAAACACGGCAGTGCACTGTTAAGAGTCAGCAGGAGAAAAGGCCAAGAAGATGCAGGCGCCTCCCAGGTTCACAGATGAACACATCAAAACCAATGTATTGAGCTGGATTTCTACCCAACGAGTAAGGCTCCCTGAATCGCCCGTTCCCAGAGCTACCAGGCAGACACGGCATTCAAGGGCCTGGCTGATCCTTGAGCCCTCAGTGGGCTGCAGACTCCCTTGTCATCCCGTGAAACTTACTTACCAACTTCCCTCCACGAAGTCCGCTCCTTGCCCACTCCTGGCACCTTCTGTCACACCCCTCCCATAATTACCCAGAATGCCCTGAGGCCAAGGGTGGGGCCTCATTCACCACCCACCCCAGCACAGTAGCACCCAATGGCTAAAGTGCTACTTTGAAGTGACTAAAGGACTCAATAGCTTTTCTAGCTGCCAAGTACAGTAGAAAGAGAAGCCCATTTTCCTCAGAAACCACTGGGAGCCCGGCAGGGGCTTATTTCTATGTTGTTGCTGCAGATTCTCACTCCCAACGACACAGCCTTCTTCTTTATGGCTCACATTTTGAGAGTGATCCCTGAATATCAGGTGCAAATCATGGCAGGGCAAATTTCTTTCTTTTTATTTCACGTTACAGGAGGGACCTGGAGTTAAGAAGGGAACTTTATGCAAAAACAATTCAGCACAGGGAAAAAAATGTGAACAGTTCTGTACTTTTCCTGAATGTGAAAAGTCCCATGGGAAAAACTCCAGCGGTACCACAGACCAGGCTCTGAAACACACCATTTCCACGGGCCCAGGAGACTGAGTATGAAGAGACAGAACCCTTCTCTGCCTGAGTTCTGGCTCATCTGCAACTACTGCTTTCTGAACTTCTAGAAGCAATAGAGAACAAACTGTTCTGCTCCTCTACCCTTGCTCTCCAAGTGTGGTTTGTGAACGAAAGGAGAAAAGAAGGAAAGAAGGACAGAAAAAAAAGAAGAAAGAGGGAATGAAGTAAAGAAGAATGGAAAGGAAGAACGCAAAAAGGTCTCATGTTCTGACGAGATTTCCTACTTTTCTACTCACTCCAGGGAACAAGTAAGACTCTGGCCCTTAAGCAAGCCGCTCTCATTCTGTTCTGCATGCTATCAGGGGTCGGCCACCAGGATAGAAGCACCTGGCGGTCATGGTGCAGGCCTGGCCCTGCCTGATGCTTTGCAGAGCTTGGGGCAAGCAAGAAAGGCCACAGCATGGTCTACTGGCCCAGCCTAGGCTCTGACTGGGAGCTCCAGCTGGGATGTCTACGCTGGGATGAGGACTCTCCTGCAACACACCAAAGACCAGCTCTTGGTTCCAAGAGTTTATGGTTTGGAGAAAGACCAAACTAGTGTCCTATTTGGCACTGGATGTTCTTGCTCCTCAAGGGACCTGGCATACGCAGCCAGCAATCTGCCCCAACATTCTCTGCAGTCTTTTGTGTCCTTTCTTGCTAGTTTCAGTGCAAAGCAAAGCCCACCTGGGCTTCATCTATGAAATATCTGGACCCTCTGGAATGACAAGTGTACAAAACTTAGAAAACTTACACTTAAAACGGAGATTTGGTGGGGTGGTCCAATGTATCTCCATCCACTGTATTTATCTGACTAAATACTCCATCCAGTATTTATCTGACTAAAATAAAATCCTAGACTACGTGAAATTTCCCTTCTTTTCCCTAGCCATGTAAGCCCAGTTGGAGCTGGGCACCAGACAGACAAGCAAATCCGTCTCTTGGCAATTCAGTGACTGTTTCAACCTATAATTTTCTAAGAATATGATAGCCAAAAAGTTCAAATGACCTAGACCAGGAAGACGTGCCACAGAAACCGTATTATTTCACATCCGCTTCTTTCTTTTCTTTTTCGTGCTATTTATAGCACATGTGATTTTACTGAAATAAACTAAAACACTTTGGATTCAGAGGCATGACTACAATTTTGTACCTTCAATGTGTACCGAGGAAAACCATCCTATGGCTTCTACATTAATGGGACCTACACTCTAATCTTCTCCATTGTTTGTGTCCTGGGAATGCATTGTTATGAAATGAAAAAGGGCTAACCAAGCCTAAGAGGAAGACGGAGAAGCAGCTGAGCCCATAATCCTACAGCTCCATGTATTATAACTTCCCAGCATCTTGCCTGAATTATTTATCTATATATTTATTTTATTTTATTTTATTTTATTTTTTGAGATAGAGTCTTGTTCTATCGCCCAGGCTGGAGTGAAGTGGAGCAACCTCGGCTCACTGCCACCTTGGCCTCCCGGGTTCAAGTGATTCCCCTGCCTCAGCCTCTCGAGTAGCTGGGATTACAGGTGTATGCCACTATGCCTGGCTAATTTTTCTATTTTTTGGTACAGACCGGGATTCCCCTGTTGGCCAGGCTGGTCTTAAACTCCTGACCTCAAATGATCCACCTGCCTCGGTCTCCAAAACTGCTGGGATTACAGGCATGAGCCACCGTGCCTGGCCTCACCTGAATTATTTCTCGACAACCCAAGAGAACATTCTGTTAGGTAACGTCTCCACTCTTCATGTGTGAAGCAACAGACAAATCTCATAACCAAGTAAAATTATTAATGGATTCCAAGGAAAGGACTTACTCTCACCACTCTTAGGAAAGATTCTTTTTATTTTAGGCTTCTGGCCCTAATACACAAAGATGGGGAGCAACTATCAATTACATTCAAAACATTGAAAAGTAAGCATCAGGGTTTGTAACTTACCAGGTTTTTTTCCTAAACTCCCTGTTTTCCCAGCAGTTCCAGAGCCCTTAAAACAGAGCAAAAGGTCTCATTTGCATGCTGAAGTTTTGATCATGCAACTTTAAAAACGATTAATGATGATACAAACCCGCTTGAGCCCCAAAGCCCCACTTTTCATTCTGGGAAAACATAGCACTGTATCACCTGACACAAGGATATAGATCAGGAAAACATGGAAAAAAATAATTAAAACATGTGGCTTTTACTCATTTCTATAAGAGAAAAAAACAGCAGAGTATGGCGCCTGTAAGAGCCCAGAGGGCTCCAAGCACAGGCACTTCTCGGACCTGGTCAAATCTAAGAGGAGGTTCCAGGCTAGGAAGACTGTTAGTTTACATCCTAAACACTAAGCTCGGACTTATTTTCACATGGCTAATTATGAAATATTTCACACATAAAAAGTACAGGGAATATAACTCACGAGCCTACTACCCGGTTTTAACACATTAAAATATTAATATTTTGCACATTTGCTTCAGGAGCTTTCTTTTTTAAAAAACTAACAGGGACAACTGGAACCTCTCTTCCCCCATCCTATTCACCCCTCTCTATCCAAAGAGGCAGTGGCTGTCCTGTGTGGCCTTTCCACCCAATTTCACAGAGTTTATACATTGAAATTTCTCTATCAATGCATAGAGGCAGAGCATATTTCTTCCCAACTATCAAGTGTTTAAAAAGTGCTCTGGGGTTGAATTCCTCTCTGGGATACTCATGGAATTTTAAACCAGCCAAGTAAGCCAACAACAGAGACCACGAGAGGCAGGACAGGAGCCAGAACGGAATCTGTTGTTACAAAGTACTTTATTCTAAATTAATTTATGCTTGAGTCTATCTTGCAGTAAATTAAGCATTCCAATTAAAACAAAACAAAAGGCTTAATAAACAAAACATGAGTTACTGAAAGAATAAAAATATGCCATTTATCTACCAGGAACACAACTTACAGTCTCTTTATTTTGCTTATTGAAATTTAAGAAACATTTACCAGGAAAAGTTCGGGTTAAATTTTTACTCTGATTCTGCTTTATTAACGAACAAAGTTATACAAAAGCAATCTCTCACTATTTTTCAATAGGCTGCATATCAAAAAAAGGAATACCAATGAAACAAGACTCCAGTGACCAGTTAACTTTCCTAGTACAGGCTTAGAATCTACTCCCTATACTCCATAAAAAGAACAAGGCAATTGGCAGTACCCTAGAGTTCAAGTAGTTTCAATGTGCTCCCTTTGAAAAACCACAGCCAGCCCCATAAGCTGAGATGGATTCAGAAGGCCATGTTCTGTCCTCCCTGCACCTATAAAGTCCCCCAGACTGTGCCCCAGACCTGCCCATACAGAGAAGGGAAGCAGGATGGGACGACTCTCCCCATGCCCAGACGTCAGTTCTGGTATCTGAAGCTGGGTCTGGTGTTAGGTTGGGTCGGATATTTTGCTTTTACACTGAATTCTGTATTCAAGTAGGACGAAAGAGCTGAGTTTTCAGGTTTTTTTTTCATTATTATTGAATAGTATAGCTAGATGTATATCTAAAAATTTCTAGTACTGCTAGTTCTTCTGTGGCTAATAATTTAAGACTGTGGTTAAGAAAGTACCTTACAACTCCACTTACCTTAAAAAAAAAAGTCACTGTGTGTTTTCCTAAAATTTATTTCGGATGGTTTTATTAAAGTAGAAAACTGTAACTTATTAAAATACATTACAAGTAATGGCTTTCGTATTTTAACTGATCCAAAAGGTAAAGTCACTTTAAGAGTTTTCATGCACGGTAGTAGAAATTGAGTTTGGCTTTTAGTGTTTTACCCAATTCCCCTGAAATATCATCTGTATGACTCTCATTGGACTCGACTTGCTGGCCTGGAGAAGAATTGAATTCTCTGTTTCCAGGTCTGAAAAGTCCAATATGCCAGCTGTCTCGCAGGGCAAAATTACTTTCTTCCGGGCTTCTGCCAGATTCTCCAAGGGTGGGCAGACTTATGTAAATCCATCCATGGGAATTCCACTTAGCTGCTCTCAAGACCGCAGCAAGAAAAACCAAAAAGCAAAACAATGCCACCCCTTAAAAAAACAAAACCCAAGCAAATAAAATCATTTCTGGGAGCTGCAGGAGAGGTGAGCAGGCCAAGGGCAGGACTCCTAGAGCAGGGCACCAGGCCCAGCCTCGCTCCCAGAGCAGCTCCGAGTACACGGAGCCGCACATGTAAGAGCCCAGTATACACTCTACTACTGGCATTTGAAAGAGAGAGAGAACTTTGTCCACTTGCTCACTCCTGAGAAAGCGGCCCCTACAGGCTCCCTGCCAGCCTTTTCTCTCTCAGTACCTAGGAGGTATGAGGAGAAAAAGAAAATAACTGTGAATTGACTGTCAACACTTAAAAAAAAAAGGAGTTAATTCTTGTTGGTTTTTTTAAATGTGCATTGGATCTGTTAAATGACTCCATTTATACCCTGAAACTCTCCACTAACGTGCAAGTGGCTCCTACAAGACTGACTCCCATGCTCTGTGGTAGGTCCACCCCACCATTCCATTCAACTTGCACTATCTTAAGACCACAGTTTATGTGATCAAATTTTTAGGGCTCTATTTAACAACAGTGAGAGCACTTCCAATTCATACGGATAACAGCACTTAAATTCAGTCCTGATCAACGGAGATTCTAAGGCCTAGCCAAAAGTGTACCCATCCCTTAGATCTTGTGTCTTTCTACTGTGTGGGCAAAACCAGAAATTCTAAAAACTTTCTAATAATATCCAATATTCTGGGGCGATTATCACCAGAATACTTCTGTTTATACAGGCAAAATATTGCTACCATTCTTGGGCATTTAAAAATCAATGACCATAATGATCTAATCAAGAAAGTTTACTCCAAAGCGTAAGTCAGTTACAGGCAGGAAGAGAGCTTAATACTGAACATTATCCTCCCAGCTGATGCGGACCAGCCCCATCACACTCAGCCTCCACTTAGCCCTGATGGCATTCTGCTTGGGGGAAGCCAGTGCTTACTGCGCAGTGCCAAATGACAAGATCAAACAATGACAGGTCACACTGGATTTACTGTCACATTCCAGAACTTAGCAAAACCCAACAAAGTTCCGCTGTCAAACATCGTGACTCCCCACAAAGAGAATCACCGCACAGAAAGGGAGAGGAAACAGTTAATGTGGGTTTACCTCTGAATCTTTAAGCCTCACATAGTTAGAAGGGAAGACTCCGGCCTTGTCGCCCACTGTTCCTGTCCACCAGTCACCATCTTTCTTGGTAACCAAAATCACATCCCCTTGCTGAAAGGTTAAATCTCCTTGCTCAGAACTCTCGTAAGTGTACATGGCAATAAATTCTGGTGGGGAGAAATATTGAGATACGGAGAGAGCTTGATTGTTTAAAGAAATCCCAGACAGCTTTGCAAAAGCAAGTTTACGAATAAGGAAGTTAGGACAAGATCCATTCAAGAGAAAGGCTAGTCACAGATAAAATACAGAGCTGCAGAATGCCCTGGGCTCCACATTCCCCCAGTGCACATAAAAGTTCAGTAGCTGCAGACAGGGAGACAATTCCTGGGAAGACCCAGACACAGGAATAAAAAACCCAACTGCAT
The DNA here is from genome assembly GCF_000001405.40 of Homo sapiens. Classification (NCBI taxonomy): domain Eukaryota; kingdom Metazoa; phylum Chordata; class Mammalia; order Primates; family Hominidae; genus Homo; species Homo sapiens. Next base: position 33,823,228 of record NC_000021.9, on the reverse strand, counting down.
GTTTACCGACACTTGAGTATTTAAGAGTGATCTACCATTTAGCATCATGATTTCTTTTTGAATGAAAATGGTTTTTACATTTATTTTTAACTAAGAGTTACACAATACCTACTCTGTGCTGAGCACTGGGTCAGATGCATTCATATGCAGGCTCTTGGTAAGCATATTAAATATGTGTATTTCAGTTTTGAGGGTACTACGTCACAGGTTTTTAAAAAATTGTTAGATAGCATATATCCTTCGCATAAATTAAATAAGACATACTTTTCCTTATTGAAGTGCCTGAAAACTTATGTCCTATTGTGCCATATACACAATATGATAGGAAGCTGTTAGAACACAAAATGAGTTACACATATTGTTTAGTTAAAAATGGGCATCTAGTTGTCATTCAAGAGCACAAACAGGTAGAGAGGACTGATGATAAAAGGAATGTCTAACCCAATCCCAGAAAGCCTTTCAACAAGTTAAAAAGACAAATCACAGTTTATCACATTTTATTATTCATGTAATTTAGTCTTAAAGGATAAGAACTAATGTTCCTTTGTGTCTTGAATTTGAAGGGTGTGCATTACAGAAGAAACTTTCCTTTTTAATTAGATGTAGAACTTTGCATCACTCTTGGTGGATTTTATTAAGGCTTAGAACCAAATCACACTCTCAGAAAGATCACCAGACACAAAATCCTGGATGGAGGTTCTAGGTACAGGATAAAAGATTTACAGAAAGATGCACAGGTTTCTTATTTCCCCTTTTTCTCCATTTTATCCTAGGCTTTTGTATGTATTTTTTTAAAGCAACAGAAAAATCACCATTTACCCAAAAAGTTCATTTTTATGATGGACAATGTATGTTTCTCTCTAAACCTCAGATGATGTTCCTTTAATGTCGAGCCTCGTGTTGAGTAAGAGGTAGGAATTTTTTATGGAGAACTCCTTCGGTTGATTATCAGAGCCTCTGCAGGAGGTACTAATGAAAACTAAAACAAACAGACAAAAACACAAAAACCTCTAACTCTTGTGCTCACGTGGGCAGCCCCTGGAGCAACAAGGGCCTCCTTCAGCGCCAGTGTTGACCTGTCAGCGCCGAGGCCAGCAGCAATTGCTGGTGGAGAGCACTGGGCCCCATGGCAGACACAGGTCATTCAAACGTCCCAGGGAAAACAGAAGACTCTCTGTCTTTAGCCCTGAGGCGCTGGTAACACATACCTCCACAGTGAAAATTGGAAAAATGATTTCCCACACAAGGAAATCAAAGTTTGGTGGCTTTAATAGGGTCATTCTTTCTTCATTAACAGACTCATTTTTCTGACTTCTCCATACTCTCACCCTTCCCTTTTCATTTTGCTCCCTGTTACTGTTCTTTAGATCATATTTGGCCATTTAAGACAGGATCCTTGGCCATCAATACTTTCCCCAGTGATTCCTCAACTTCAAAGTTACTTTCTTTAAAATTGATCCAAATTTTGAAGTAACTTTCCAAATGCTTAAGAAACTTCAGAAACATGAACTCTGGCTGAACTTGGTATTGCAGTATAAAATATAAAGGAGACTGGGAAGACTGAGGCTGGCCTTGCCCTGCCTGCCTTGCACAAAGACATCTGAGAGTGGCTTTAGGGTGACAATGAAACCCAGAGACATGATGATGGATAGGCAGAGGTTCCTCTTTAGCTACCCCTTCTCAGGAAACATTCCACAGAGGGCACTGGCCATCCCCAAGCCAATATTTTAAATATTTTAAAAGCAACCCAAGCCAATCATCTATTTTATCTGGTTTACAGTTTACTTTAAATTTGATTATGTTCAATGTGGTATTTACAAAAGGCTCATTAATATATGTAAATAGCTTTTCTCAGAATTTCTAATGTCCTCCCACCCCTTCACAAAGCCAGCAACCTTTCCAAATATTTCTAATAACTAAGTCATTTCAAAATTGGCTGTAATAAATACAAACTAAGATCAGAATTTAACTCTATTATGTTGCCCAATTTTAAGTACATGCATGGTTCACTTGTGACCTATTTATTGAGTCCTCAGTACATGTCTCAAAACAAACAAACACTCCTCCATACTGCTATTGGATGAGGATGCTCATACTTTATGTGGCTTTATCACTAATCCAGGGAATGAAGCAAAAACGACATAAAAGTAGCAGACATTTACTGAGCTTTGTTCTAAAAGCCTTCTGCATGTTATCTCATTATCCTTGTAATAATTTCCTACCTCAAGGGGTAGTTATCACGGCCAATTTACAGACAAAGAAGCTAAGGCATAAACAAAATAATACTGTTACTAGATGGGTGAGTCAAGATACAAACTCCAGCCCTCCAGTGAGCCTTGATTGGATGTAACACACCAAAGTTTTTTTCTTTATCTTTTGGTGAGGTGCATAAGTTGCTTTTTACTAAACTGACTGCATGTGGTATTTAAAGGAGCTTTTTGCCTTGTTACCCTAACAGTGGATAAAAAGTCATTAAGATAATGAGAATGTATAAAGGGAACTCTGTTAATCATTTTCATGGTAATAGCAAAAATTAGATGCTGGATTTGTTTAGTGATAAGGTTTTATAGCTATACTATGAACTAAAAAAAATTCTTACTTTAAAAAACCTCTTGAAAAAAGAACATTGTTACTGTGAGTCTGAAATACCATTATACCTTAATCCTTGCTGTCTCCACCTAAAACAGCTGTTTTAATAATTCTGTTTTTCACTGGGCAAGGTTTCTAAGGAATGTTAACAATCTCATTATGGCAGACAAACTAAATAAAACATTCTATTCTCCTGTAATGTATTCAAGGAACCCATAAAGAATTACTATAGAATTGGTTAGTTATGGCATCTGTTAACTACAACACTGCTCAGATGTCTACACAGAAAACCCATCTAACTCAGGGAGCACTCTCCAGTTAGGATGTGATGATGGCTGTATTGAATGTAAAAAAGATGTGAGATTTTTACCATGAGGGCCTGAATTACCTAAGTTTTATTCAGTTGGCATCCATACAATATTTAGGATTATGTCACCAAGTGGAGATTGAGAAAGAAGGCAATTATTTGCATAATAAATACTCAAAATGATTTTTTTTTTTTTAGTCCTAAATTGTCTGGTTTGATTGTTTTCATGGAGCACAGAAATTGAGTTTCAGTTTCATTTGGGATGGTACAGATGGCATTCATGTTACTATGAGAACTCTAGTGGTCTGTGTAGTTACTTTTATTTTATTTTATTTTATTTTTTTGAGACGGAGTCTCGCTCTGTCGCCCAGGCCGGACTGCGGACTGCAGTGGCGCAATCTCGGCTCACTGCAAGCTCCGCTTCCCGGGTTCACGCCATTCTCCTGCCTCAGCCTCCCGAGTAGCTGGGACTACAGGCGCCCGCCACCGCGCCCGGCTAATTTTTTGTATTTTTAGTAGAGACGGGGTTTCACCTTGTTAGCCAGGATGGTCTCGATCTCCTGACCTCATGATCCACCCGCCTCGGCCTCCCAAAGTGCTGGGATTACAGGCGTGAGCCACCGCGCCCGGCCTGTAGTTACTTTTAAAACGAAATACTTATCTATGAAGTCAGATGAGACTAGACTATGTTAGGTGAAGCAATGACCATAGTTTAGCTATAGAGATGCTCGGAAAACTCGATTCTTAGTGAACTGAATGGGTCTCTTTTAAAAGTCAAAGGGCTTATAATAAAATATAATTAGAAAATTCAGTTTTTGATGATTAATATACCTGACAGTATTTTCCATGAAGTACTCCGATTCTGTAAAGAGCTAAACTTACATTTTACTGTAGTTTAATATACTGATCATAAATGCAGTCTATCTTAAGATGAAATTCAATCTCATTTCAAACATTTACACAATGTCCTTGACCCTTCTGAAGAACATAATACAACTCAGGCCCTCACCTTCTCCCGAAACGACCGGCTTGGCTGCTGGAGAGGCTACTCGCTTTAGACTAGCAGGACTCTCTGAAGAACCAGAATCCATGCTGCAATAATGGAAGAAGAGAGTATTTTAATTTTTATCTTCAAAGAAAATCGTACAATGACACTGATTTTTCTGTTAAAACTGCTTAACTTTTAAAACTTTAAACGACCCACAGCTGAAATAGTTGTACTTAGCTAGGTTAAAAACACATAATAAGGTACTACAGAGGCATGACTCTAAGCTCGCATTCTTATTTTTCAGCACTTTGCTATACTGGACACATGGCTTATGTACTAGTTTATTTCAAGGCATGACTGACTGAGAGATGCTCATTGAATATTTTTGCTATTTTCATCCTTTTAAAGCTCATAATTTGTTTTGAACATCAATATGGTTGGAGGAATTAACAACCTTAGGTTCCATGCTATAAGACCCTAATGAAAAAGACAATTAAGTCCTTCTGATCATTTCCCCAGATCCTTTGGGTTTCCAAGTATTCACATATATCTGGTACAGCACTGGGTAATAAGCATAAAGAGAGTCATAATCTCCAACTAATGCACAAGAGTGTTCCAGGTCTCAGAGCTGAATTCCTTCTTGCATAAGGCAATGAAAAACAAGGCACATAGGTTTTCATGAGAGAAGAAAGAATGCACTTATCTATAAGAGGCTCCCTTTTGGTACTCTATATACTATAACTTTTGCAGTTAAAAGATCTAGAAGACAAACTAATCCCGCAACTCCTGTCTGTGAATCTTAACTAGTGCAAACAGTAATATAACGCCTAATATTGTTTTCATCAAATACAAGCAGATAAATACAAAAATACCTTGTAGACTTCCTTATGGGCCCTGAAATGAGTTTCACGTAAGACTTGGGGAACCAACCCTTCTGACCTTGAACTTCTCCAAACCACCACATGTCTTGCTGTTCCAGGACGGTGATGACATCATTTTTGTTAAAATTTAAGTGGTTGTCTTTTTTGGCTCTCCAAGGATATAGGGCTTGAGCTTGTAGCCCCTCCACCTTTTCACCCTTGTGTGGAATAACATAAAGGACCTCTCGTTATGTTGCGCTTTGTTATCAATTAGGGCAGACGTGAGCATGGCACCTCTCCAACAAGCACAGGCCAGACAAGCACACACAGCCACAAAGGGCCCTGAGGCAGCACAGCAGGAGGGCTGGATGCTTCACTGTTTCCCAACAATTGTTTATTTCCAAAAGTGGAGGCCAAAGCCTTCCAGCCTCTTCACAAAGTCATTGTCTGACCATCTAGAACTCTCTATTTCAAAAAGCCAGGAGGTCACAATTATTCTGTTGCATCTGGCTGTGTGCCCTTTATATTTTGGTTCTATTTTCACTCTCAAGTTGCCCGGGACACCTCCCCATTTCCAATTTGACTGGCATTTTTAGTGGAGGATTAACAGTGGAGCAGACATTTTATGAACTATCATGAGATCATTAACTGGCATTTTAGATTAGGTAGACCCAGGGAAATAGGCCCTATCTGGATTATGCTTGTTTTAGTTCCTTTTCAGAGAAAACAGGGATTTGGTTAGCATAAATTCATTGTAATTACCATTTATTGTACATCTACATGCACTGCCCCATGAGATTACAGATGAAAAAAACAGTCTCTGCCTCCCCCAGATAATTTAGGGAAAAGCACTTTATTAACCACAAAGCACTATAAAGATGGGCAGTATTACTAGCAGGTAATTCACAAGTAATGGGGAAGACAGAGATAAAAACAACCAAGTGTACCACCTGGCAGAATGAAATATACTAAAAAGGAGTTCCTACTATTCACTGCAGGAATAAAGAGAAAACAGGGATGAATTCTGCCTGGGGGCATCAGCGTAAATTTCACAGAGGGGGCAGCATCTGAGATGGGCCTTGAAGGATGAGAAGGACTTTGACAGCTAGGGCTTCGGAGGAAGGGCACTCCAGGCCGAGGGCGCAGCATGGGCAAAAGCCTCGAGGTGGAACACTGCAGGGGGTCCGGGAAGAGAAGCACAATCCGGGGCTGCATGTGGCCTAGTCTCATGGAGGGGTGGAGGAGGAAGTCAGGCTGGAAAGGCAGGGTGAGGCATTTATTATCTTTTAAGCTATAGCATTAAACCATTACAGTATCTTAAAGCATTTAGTAAAAAATGAAACACCAACTTTCAATCATATATATGAATGGACAAGAACAAAAGATAATGCCTAGAGAGAGTTACTTCAGAACCAATTTGTACATGCCTTTAGAAGTCATTTATATTATACTGACATTAAGTTATGATTATGTCTGATGAGCAGAGAATTTACAACAGGTCAAATAGTTTCAGCATCTATGTTGATAACCTCTAATTCCTGGTCTTCATGGGTTCTTGCCTTCTTAAACCCACAACATCCCTATCCTATTTCCTTCCACTTAGCTGTACATTCACTCCTTCAAGTCCCTCAGAGCTGAGGGGGTTTCCCTGGATTTCGAACACCCCTAAGATTGTATATTCTCGACCTTCCATTTTCCCCCTCTTGCAGTGGACCTGCTGCCCGCGTAGCTCCTCATCCCACAGCCCTTCTGCACTGTCTAATCCTCTCCGCCACTTCACTGATTTCTCTACGTATGGACCCCAGGGTTGGCCTTTCAACTGTGCCCTCACTGGTATTTCAGAATCTCTCCCCCTGAGAAATCTTCCCCGTGTCTGCTTTGTCAACCTTTTCACATTGATGGGCCCTAATGACCCCAGCCTGGGCTGGATGTGGACTCTGGGTTTGAATCCCAGGTCTGTCACTTACTAATTTTCTGGCTTTGGCAACTGTTTAATCTCTCTGAATCTCGATTTCCACATCTGTAAAGTAGAGATGATACTTTCTCCAAAAGGCTATTAAAGTTTAGCAATCCCATGGTAATGCAAGATGTGTGTAGGTGGGGAGGGGGAAGGAAGTTTAGTAAGATCCATGCACAGTATTGCTATGATAGAAATAACAGTGGTGAGCTATATAACTATTATTATTCCTAGTCCCAAGCTGTGAAGCATTGCTAGAGAAAGCTGAGGCAATGTGCAATGATCTATTACGGACTCAGGTTAAATTAAGCCAGGCAATTCTTTTTTTTTTTTTGAGAACTCAGTCTTGCTCTGTCGCCCAGGCTGAAGTGCAGTGGTGTGATCTCAGCTCACCACAACCTCCACTTCCCAGGTTCAAGTGATACTCCTGCCTCAGCCTCCCAAGTAGCTGGGATTACAGGCGCCCACCGTCATGCCTGGCTGATTTTTGTATTTATTTATTTTTTTTAGTAGAGATGAGGTTTCACCACGTTGGCCAGGCTGGACACGAACTCCTGATTTCAGGTGACCTGCCTGCCTCCCAAAGTGCTGCGATAACAGGCATGAGCCACCGCGCCGGCCCAATTCTTCATTCTTCTTTGTCGGATCCCTCATTCGCCTGCTCCCAAACCTCTTCTACACTCCGCAGCCCCTCCAGGCTCCCTCCTCACTGAGAACAATATCATGCAGCCCAACTTGAACATTTTTCTTGGCTTTATCTTCTCCAATCTCTTCACTCTTCCTCATCCAGAAGAAAAAGACTCCTGTCTTTTCTGTGCTTTTAATGTTTTCTGCCTTATACCAACTATATCCTCTGACACTTCACTTTTCCATTCCCATCTCCACTGGCAACATGGCTGGTTCTTGCTTTCCCGAGGCCCCTCACTCTGGTCCTTCTCTTTCCTTTTGCAGATCTTTCCACTTTCTTGCTGCTCATTTCCTTTTACGCCCCTGCAGTGTGGTTTCATCCTTCTCCTTCCCAGGTTACAAAGCTCTACCTGTCACAATGAATGGTCTCTTCTTTGCCCTGACCACGGTACTTAGTAACATAAGCAACCTCCCATCCCCCACCTCCACTCTCTGGAACAAACCCCCACCCCATCACTGAGTTACTGTTAACTGAGCATGTGACACGTGCTAAATGCTGAGCTAGGACAGATGCAAAGGAAAGTACCATTTCCTGCTGAGTAGCTCCTCTTCTTCTTCCAGACCACAGAACACACACGTGCCTGTGGATTTGCTATTTTCTCCCTGTATTCCCTCTCCTTGGATGACCTCACACATTTCCTGATATCCGATAATGTTCTCTATGGGAATGGCTCCAATCTATAATCCCAGTCTCGTGCTCTCTTCCATCCTCCAGATCTATATTCCGACAGCCTGCCAGACAGGGTCCCACGTTCACCTTCAACTCAACACAACTAAAACACAACTCTTCCCTTTAACTGCGCATTCATTTCATTTTCTGCCTTTCTCCCTTCCCGCTTTAAGGTGGGCCCTTATTCTCAATCCCAGCCCTCTTTCCTTTCCTTCGGCTCCCATAGGCATTGTGACTCCAACCTCTTCACTCTCCTCTGCAGTCTCTCCCACGTGCTCGCCTCTTCTGCTTCCACCGGCACCTCCCTACTTGGTGAACATGAACTCAGCTGGGTCCAGGCCTGCCCTAGGTCTCAGCTGGGTGACACCAACAGCCCCCTGACTGGTGGCACCGCCCTGCCGGCCCTCCACTCTAATCTTCCTGCACACCGCTCCTCCAGATGGATCTGCCTAGACCCTGTGTTCCATCTGGGTGTTCTCAGATCAGAAATGATGCTGGAACCTCCAGTGCCTCCCAGATGGGCACTTGCTGTTTGGCATGATTATTGATAGAAATTTGAGTATTTTATCATTATTGTATTAAGCAAAAGAGAACTATTCAGAATAACCACCTTTATCCTTTCAGACATTATTCTTTCCGAGCAGGGCATTTCAGAGCCTCCCATTAACCTTTAATTGGTCTACCTTTTCCAAAAAAAACTCAATGGTCTAGACAAATGGAGGGGTATGTGATTTTCCTTAAATACATTCTGACTGTCTGCCTTCGAGCCTTCCCAGCAGTTTCTGTCTGACAGGCAGGCTCTCTCCATTTTCTAGTAAGATCTTACCCACTGGTCAAGATGCAGCTCAAGTGCCACTTCTGCAATGAAGCTTCCTTCATCAACCCAGGCAGGAGAAGTTGACTGTGTCCCACCCCCACCCCCAACTCCCAACTATTCACAGCAGATTTCTGGCTCCTGCACTGGATTCCCATACTGCCAGCCAACCAAGACACACATAACAAGGCTTGCTTCAAAATGACATTGCCAAAAAGCATTTGCTGAAGTTTTTGGCACTAGATAGCATGCTAAGTCTTCACACTCTCACTGGCTGCCTTTACCTGGCCTAGCACAGGAGACGGGGAGGAGCCAGTGGCCGTGGCTGGAGTAAAGGCGGACCTCTGCCTTAACTGGCCGGCACTTGGAACGGTGAGAGAGGGCTGGGCTGCCCATGCATCCCAGTTATCCGTTTCTGGTTTCTCATTCGTGCTGGTGGGCCACCTGGAGGGAAAAGCACAACACCATGAATAACAAGCACTCCCTAATATACCAGCTTTTTACCCACAGTAAAGTACCAAAAAAAAAAAAAAGCAAGCACTCCCTAATATGCCAGCTTTTTACCCACAGTAAAGTACCAAAAAAATAAATAAATAAATAAAAGAGGAAAAAAAGAAAAAAGAAAAAGATGGCAACCAATGAGCCTGTGCAACACAAACCTAGTATACTTAATGTGGCTTTCTACAGTGAAAGAACAAGGAGGAGGCTGGGCACAGTGGCTCATGCCTGTAATCCCAGCACTGTGGGAGGCCGAGGTGGCTGGATAACCTGAGGTCAAGAGTTCGAGACCAGTCTGACCAACATGGTGAAACCCCATCTCTACTAAAAATACAAAAATTAGCTGGGTGTGGTGGCGCACCCCTGTAATCCAAGCTACTAAGGAGGCTGAGGAAGGAGAAATGCTTCAACCTCGGAGGCAGAGGTTGCAGTGAGCCAGGATCGCATCACTGTACTCTGGACTGGATGACAGAGTGAGACTCTGTCTCAAAAAGAAAAAAAAAAAAGTTAGCTGGGTGTGGTGGCATTGAGTCTGTAATCCCAGCTACTTGGGAGGCTGAGACACAAGAATTGCTTGAACCTGGGAGGTGGAAGTTGCAGTGAGCTGCTGAGATCACGCCACTGCACTCCAGCCTGGGTGACAGAGCAAGACTCTGTCTCAAAAAGAAAAATAAATAAAAGAACAAGGAGGAGAGGAAAAGGCATTTGATTTCCTCATTGATAAAATGGGAACAATACTGTGCCACTTAAGGTTAGTTGTGAGGGTACATGAAATACAGGCTAGGGAAATACTCTGTAACTGCAAAGCCCCGGAGAAACATCCTCACATGATCATTATCATTTGTAATAACAATAGTTAAATGAGAAAAAAAAAAGCTACATGCCACCTATGGAGCTGGAGCTTCTCAACACCATTTCTCAGACCCATGCACTCTACAGCAAGTACCTGGTAGTATGCCTAGATGCCACAGCAATTACAAGTGGCATCCTGACAGCAACCAGTTGTCCTGGGTCCCAGGGACAGTTCTAGTTTTGTGATTTTAATAATTTTAGATAAACAGGCTGGGCATGGTGGCTGATACCTCTAATCCCAGCGCTTTGGGAGGCCAAGGCAGGAGGATCACTTGAGTTCGGGAGTTCAAGATCAGCCTGGGCAACATAGTGAGACCTCATCTCTACAAAAAACTTAAAAATTAGCTGGGCATGGTGGCATGCACCTGTAGGCCCAGCTACTTAGGAGGCTGAGGCAGGAGTATTGCTTGAGCCCAGGAGGTCAAGGGTGCTGTGAGCCATGGTCATGCCACTGCACTCCAGCCTGGGTGATGAAGTGAGACCCTGTCTCAAAATAATAATAAATAATAAAAAATAATTTTAGATAAACATGTCTGTGTGACTGCAGATCTAAAGGCAATTTACTTTTTACATCCTTATAAGATATACAAACAAATCTGAAAATCAAAATAATTCCTGATTTTTCATTTGGAAAATAAGGTGCCCATAATTATAGCAAGAGAACTGCACACCATACATATATTGAAGAAGAGGCATACTGATTTGATCCCCAGCAAAACAAATCCTGGAAAATATGGTATTAGTCTTCTATTTTAGCCTAAGCTTTAGTTTAAAAACTCAGAACTTTTCAGTCAAGACCAAAAGAGTAAGGAAAAGTTTCAACTTGGAAGTCAAGCTAATGGAAGGCTTTTTTTTCTTAAAGCAGAGATTAGATGAGGGGACCTTCTTTAGCGCCTTCAGCCTTTTATGTGAAAATAAAGTATGAAAAACTTGCTATTCCTTACATCCTTCCCTCCACTTCCTCCCGCCCTGAGTAATTATTCTTTCTTCCCTCTATTTGTTCCATCTGATCCTTCTCCAGCAATACATCTGGATTCCTTGCCTTCAATTTGTTTCTTCTGAAAGATGATTAGACTTGAAAAAAAATTTAAACACTTCTTATTCAAATCACTCATACTTGTATCCTAGTATAAAATATTTTTAGACAATTGCTCATCTAGGTCATGGCCCTATAACTGGAAGTCTGAACAACCATTTCATCTATCATTTCAAACCTCTGCTTACACACAGTTTTTAAAATGCCATTTCCTGATGAACCAGGGCACAGAACTAACTGGCCAAGTGCAAACACCTCTTCATTCTACTGTACATTTGTATAAGATTAATGAAAGTGGAAAGCTTTAAAGGAAACAGCTTTCTATCTTATTCAGAACCACATGACTGAATTCAATTTTTGCTTCTGCCTGGCAAAAAAAAGTGCTATTTGCATGCAGGAAATAACTCTGAAAATTTGCTGACTGACATGGATGTCAAAATAGATTATTAGGAAACTGTATTTCTCCACTTCTTCCACAAGAATGATAGATACAAATACATTATTGAACAAAACAAGATAACAGGCTTCATTTTGTACCATGGTAAGTCACTGTTAGACAATGATATCATTAAATCCAGTTCAGGGACTGTAATCTCCAATTCGCCAGCTAGAGAAAGGAGTACTGAAAATGAGCCAGCTCCCTCACATAGAAGGACAATCCAAGACTATGAAAATACTTAAGGGGGTGGGGGGGAAATGATCAAATTGGGATTTCAAAAATCATCAGAAAGAGCCCACCAACACGTACGTGGAGCTGAAGTCGGCCCAGTTATTAGGGGTCGTGGAGGGCTCTGAAGAGGTTACTGCCAAAGGGGCGGGGGTCTCACGCAAGGCCAGTTTGGGGGCAGGGGCAGATGTTGAATCAGTCACTGGTTTCACTGGAGCGGGAACCTCATTTTCTGGGATTTTCTCTGCATAGTTTGCAGGGAACCACCCTGTCTTTCCTTTTAATTCTCCTCCAAGCCAGCCGGGTTCTCCAGTTTGGCTTTCATCCACCTGTGGAAAAAGTCACAGCTTTAAGTAGAACTAAATTAACCCCTGAATAGACCCAGCACCCAACTACAGTGAAGTCCCAAGCCTCTGCCCTCTTTAGATTGACATATGGCATAGGAATCTCTTCATCTTAGTCCAAGTGTCTGGGAAAAGAGTCTAAGCAGTAATGCTGAAAAAAAAAATGCACTATAATTCAAGCTCTTATTCTCTGCACTTTTTAAAAAAGCCTTACCCCATAACTGTCCTAATAATGGCAGTTGAGACAAAGTGCCTGGAGTCCTGAGGCATGTAATTTAAATATTTTGATTTGGGAAGTGACTTAACAGGCTTCATCAGAAAGTCATGTCATTATTAAAAATAATTTGACTTGAGTTTATTACTTAAAGTTGAAAGCAAAGGGTGCAATCAATATAAATTCAGTACTCTGAAAACCTCCAATAACTAAGTAGTATTTATTCAGTATAAGGACAAGGAAGATTTAAAAAAAAAAACCATGGCCTTAAATGGTTTCCACGAGAAGCAAAGCTGACTGCTGCTGTGTTTAGGCATTTAAAAGCTCCACAGACACATGATGAGAAAATTAAGGAAGTCATTATTTACAGCAATAATCAATTGTATTAAGGTCCTGTAGTTTTCTTTTGTATAAATTTAACTTGCATATTCAGTGCACAGGAAAATCCAGGATTATACTGTTTAAAAATTTCACAGAGGCCATTTATTACGCCAAATGCTTTTAAGGTTTGCATTTTAATTCTGACTCAAATGGATCATCCAAAATGGCCAAAACGATTCTACTTTTCTTTACGAGTTGTCCCTACTATTTTATGAGCAACAGGAGAATGACTTTGGAGGACAATCACATTTGCTATTGGGAAATTTATTTTTGGGCTGGGCACGGTGGCTCATGCCTGTAATCCCAGCACTTTGGGAGGCTGAGGCGGGGGATTACCAGAGGTCGGAAGTTTGAGACCAGCCTGACCAACACAGTGAAACCTCGTCTCTACTACAAATACAAAACTAGCCAGGCATGGTGGCGCATGCCTGTAATCCCAGCTACTCGGGAGGCTGAGGCAGAAGAATCGCTTGAACCCAGGAGACGGAGGTTGCAGTGAGCTGAGATGATGCCATTGCACTCCAGCCTGGGCAACAGGAGTGAAACTCCGTCTCAAAAAAAAAATTTTATTTTCATTACTATAATTCTTATAAGGGTCTTATCTTATGAAACCTTATATCTTATTTTTACCCCTTCCTATGCTGCCTAAGGAGTAAAACATCAAACACTTCACTGGAAATTAAAGTTGCTTCTTAGAAATCAGACATGAGTAGGCAGGGTCTTAACAATGATTTTGGAAAAATCTGACAAAAATACCAGTTATCTAATCCATTCAAGTATTCAGTAAAAATTAATTAAAAATAAAGCAAAAAATGATTACATTAAACAAACCAAACATCTATCTGTATGTACTCAGTGGACAGTGAGTAATAGGGTTCAATACTTATTAGCTTATTTGAATTAACAAATGTTTGGGGTAGAGGTGGAGAAAACAGAATGCAAGGCAAGGCTTACTTCTGATTTCTACCTGTTATTTACAATATATTCAGCAAGTAGGGGATGCCTGCTTGCTGCTCCACTTTAGGGAATCTTTATTGTCACAGATAAAAGCAATTTTTAAAGCTGAGAATTCTCCAAACAACCAAAAAAGGAGTTCCCTTGTATAAAATGCAATAACACTTCCAAAGGTTGAATTTTTGGCTTCACAGTTCTATCATTTCTGCTCACACTTACACCCACATGAACACACTAGCCACTTTGCAGTCATTGTTTTGTTCTTACTGTTCTTTTTCTGGGCAGCCCCAACTGTTTCTCTAGATGAGGATTTAAGATAAATTTTCCCCCATTTGGATCTTCTTTTATGCTGAACTCAAATGGCTAGATGTCTTTCCTTCCTTGTTTACATTTTGGTGATATGGTGACACATTATAACTTTGCTCCACACTGGAAACATAGCTGTCTCTATCCAAGCCAGGTCCTGCCAGACTTCTCAGTAGGTTCAATAGTCAAGATCAGCCACCTTGGTTCTAGGACCAAAGGTGATGTCAGGCAGGAGTGGGTTAGGAGCTTGAGCCAAACACACAATAACTTAGTGTCAAGACTGCAAAGTGTAATGATCAAGAATAGGGCTCTGCAGTTAGACCGTCTCAATTTAGGAGCTAGTTCTACAATCTATTAACTGGTTGACTTTGGGCAAGTTTAATCTCGTGGCACCTGTTTCTTCATCTGTAAAATGGGGATAATAAAAATACCTGTCTTATTATAATGCTCACTGTGAGGACTGACAAATATTTACACCAATGCCTGGCATACTAAAAGTGTTAGCTTTTTTTTTTTTTTGAGATGGAGTCTCACTCTTGTCACCCAGGCTAGAGTACACTGGCACAATCTCAGCTCACTGCAACCTCTGCCTCCTGGGTTCAAGCAATTCTCCTGCCTCAGCCTCCTGAGTAGCTGGGATTACAGGTGCCCACCACCACGCCTGGCTAATTTCTGTATTTTTAGTAGACATGGGGTTTCACCATATTGGCCAGGCTGGTCTCGAACTCCTGACCTCAGGTGATCTGCCCGCCTAGGCCTCCCAAAGTTCTGGGATTACAGGCGTGAGCCACCGTGCCAGGCCAGATATTTTTTTTAAATTCTCTCTTCTGCTGTCCAGCTCTGATGTTGCGCTGTAGTTCTCCTACTTGGGCTTCTGTCCTATTCTAAAAGCCTGGTCTTTTTTTTTTTTTGAGACGGAGTCTCGCTCTGTCGCCCAGGTGGGACTGCGGACTGCAGTGGCGCAATCTCGGCTCACTGCAAGCTCCGCTTCCCGGGTTCATGCCATTCTCCTGCCTCAGCCTCCCGAGTAGCTGGGACTACAGGCGCCCGCCACCGCGCCCGGCTAATTTTTTTTGTATTTTTAGTAGAGACGGGGTTTCACCTTGTTAGCCAGGATGGTCTCGATCTCCTGACCTCATGATCCACCCGCCTCGGCCTCCCAAAGTGCTGGGATTACAGGCGTGAGCCACCGCGCCCGGCCAAAAGCCTGGTCTTGACTTTACCTTCACTCTAGGTAACAATCTGCTTCTCTGTTCAGGAGTTCCCTGCTCTAACTGCCTGGTCCTCTGCTCCCTCTAGGTTTACCTTCTTGCCATAAGCAATCCTTTAGGGGCTCAAGTGGATCCCTTGATCGACGGGAACTCCTACTCGTCTGCTCATTTTGGACCTCCTCAAAGGTCAGCTGCTTTGCTTAATTATGTCCCATGATCTATTGTTACTCCCTTGAAACACAGGGTATTGACTGGTTAATAAGACTTTTAGGCCAGGTGCAGTGGCTCACTCCTGTAATCCCAGCACTTCTGGAAGCCAAGGTGGATGGAACACTTGAGGTCAGGAGTTTCAGGCTGGTGAAACCCCATCTCTACAAAAAATACAAAAATTAGCCGGGCGTGGTGGCACATGCCTGTAATTCCAGCTACTTGGGAGGCTGAGGCAGGACAACTGCTTGAACCCGGGAGGCGGAGGTTGCAGTGAGCCAAAATCACACCACTGCACTCAGCCTGAGTAACAGAGCGAGACACTGGTGGACATCTGGAATGCGACCTGAAGCCCTGGGGAAATGTCCTCCCCCTCCAGTAAACTGATAACACCCAGCCTGTCCTCAGATGTGATAGAAAGCCTGCTGGTGCAGTGTACACCTAGGAGTGAAGGAGGGGGCCATATCAGCCTCTTATCCCCTTAAGCAAGAGCTTCTCCCATCCCTAAGGATAACAGTGAAATCAGCATTTCACTTTTAAGCAAAGAAATCTGTTGGTCTCAACAGCCCCCCAAACAATAGTCTCAATTAGCTTAATTTACTCTTACAAGTATACATCAATTTTAATAAATTATTACATTTTAAGGTTCAGGGGCTGTAAGAGACTTTCATTCTTAACACCTAAATTAAATTAACCACTTAGAAAGGGCACAAAGGTCAACATATGAAAATGAAAAATATTTCTTCTTGGATTTGGAAAACTACCCAAAATGCCAATCCAATTTTGGAAAACATAAGATTATGGCAGACCAAGAAATAGGAACACAAACTGCTTTGTAATATGACTGGTTCCAACGTGGACTTTTACACAATGTACATTTACCTACTGGGGGCTATAAGGGAGATGTTATTATTAACAATTTTGGTCTCAATACAATTTCATTTATCAGGCACACTGTAACACCCCAACGTATTTGGGGGTAATTCTAGTGAAACATCATTTAAGCGAAGTACAAACACCAGATATTGCTCACATTTCTGGGACTATGTTACAGAGCTGCTCTACTAAATGTTAGTAATTACACACTGCATATTGTAGCTCGCTGATGCAACAGTCAAATATACACAGCAGCCACTTCAGCTTCAAGTCCGTTTGGCAAAGGCCGATGATATTACACCTCTTTTCTCAATTTTTATATGCTCCATGGCTGCCATCTTCATTAGGTAAGATTAATATTTCTAAAATCTCTGACCTTGTCACAAAGGGGGGAAGCAGAAATTCCTTTTTCCCCTCATAGAACATGATAAACAAGTGTAGCAAACAGGTTTAGCCTGTGTATTCAGACCAGCTGACAGTGGCTGCATGGGATGTGTTGAGGAGTGCAGGTAGTAAAACATTTTCCATGGATTTGCCGGTTTTGAAATATAAGGTTTCTCCCCAAATTCCTAGATGAGGATATTAAAAGTCTTTGTTTTTTGGAAGGATTCTCACTCTGTTGCCCAGGCTGGAGTGCAGTGGCGCGATCTCGGCTCACTGCAAGCTCCGCCTCCCGGGTTCATGCCATTCTCCTGCCTCAGCCTCCCGAGTAGCTGGGACTACAGGCGCCCGCCACTATGCCCGGCTAATTTTTTTTTTTTTTGTATTTTTAGTAGAGACGGGGTTTCACCGTGTTAGCCAGGATGGTCTCAATCTCCTGACCTTGTGATCCGCCCACATCGGCCTCCCAAAGTGCTGGGATTACAGGCGTGAGCCACCGCGCCCGGCCTTAAAACTCTTTCTGAGGTCAGGAGATTGAGACCATCCTGGCTAACACGGTGAAACCCCATCTCTACTAAAAATACAAAAAAATTAGCCGGGCGTGGTGGCGGGTGCCTGTAGTCCTAGCTACTCGGGAGGCTGAGGCAGGAGAATGGCGTGAACCCGGGAGGCGGAGCTTGCAGGGAACCGAGATCGCGCCACTGCACTCCAGCCTGGGCGACAGAGAGAGACTCCGTCTCAAAAACAAAAAATAAACAAACAAAAAAACTCTTTCTAAAGCTCCAACCTGGAGGCTGGCAAATTTCACCTCTGTTGCAACTACTCAAATCCGCCACTGTAGCACACAATATGTGAATGAAGGAGCCTGGCTGTGTTCCAATAAAACTTTATTATAAAACAGGCAGTGATTGGGCCAGATTTGAGCCAACCCTGTAATCGTGTATACTGGTCCCTCAAAACTGCAGTGATATTATGGCCAGTTGTTACTAAATGAGATACTTTCTGATGTTTAATCTATGGAAATCTATGGAAGGTAGAGGAAAAAGGTATTGTTGGCTACATTTAAAAAAATGTCTGTCAGGAGAAGAAAAGGAAAAGAATGAGTTAAAAATTGTTATAAGAGTAACACTAAGACAAACAATTTCCAGAATGAACTGACTGGCTAATGACTGATAACTACTAAAGAAGTCCATTCTTCTTTGGATATTTTTAAGAGGATATTTTCTAGAAATGATTTAGGATTAGTCCTGACGTGAAAAAGAGATTAGGTTAGATCAGCGGTTCCTGAAATTGACTACCTAACAGAACCACCTGGTCAGACTTCTGAAGGCTGTATATGCAGTAGAGTTCTCAGAATCTCTGGGGATGAGCCCTGGCATGGTTATTTTTTGGAAGCTCCCTCAGCAATCTGGATGCATTCAGGCCTGTACCAGTCCAAGGATAAGCATTTAAACCAAGCTTGTCCAACCCGCAACCCACTGGCTGCATGTGGCCCAGGACAGCTTTTAATGAGGCCCAACACAAATTCGTAAGCTTTCTTAAAACATTATGAGTTTTTTTTGCAAGCTTTTTTTTGAAGTTCATCAGCTATTATTAGTGTTAGTGTATTTTATGTGCAGCCTAAGACAATTCTTGCAATGTGGCCCATGAAAGCCAAAAGATTGTACTGATTTAGACACTCAGCCTGTGTTCTCAAGATAAACTTCAACAAAACAGCAGTGAGCATAGGTCTTCTCATTTCTTATGTTCTACTAACATGTTACGGATGTCAAATTTGATTTAATTCACCCTCCAAGTATTGGGAGTTCCAGATCAAGAGAGGCCATGTATTTTCTACGCATCTAAGCCTTAGCCATCAAGGTCAGACTCAATTGAAAGCATTTGGTCTTCCCTGAGCACATCACTTTACACTGATTCCTCTCCTCTTTTAAATTCCTAGCAGAGTTAGTGAATGTTTATTGAGAACTTCATCACATGTTGGCCTTTTCATGTGTTTCTCTAGATTTTTCTAAAAAGATTTTAAACATATGAATGGCAGACTTGATAATTTTCTATTATCTACAGTGCTGAGAATAGTGCTATATACAAGGTACCACATTAAATTTTTGTTAAACATGAAAAATTATAGTTTTGGATAAAACCAGGCTAAGTTTTTCTAAAAACAAAATATTTTTAAGGCTAAGACTGCCTACATTAAAAAACACTGTCACAATGTTAGACTTCTAAAAATCGAACATATTATAGTAAGCTATGTCCCAAAGACGTTTGAGGAATCTGAGAATCTGATGACTGTGCCCACAAAAGTATAAGTGAACCCCGGATTTTTCAACCTAGGGAGACTGACAGTAATGTTGTACTACATGTCTCATGCTCATCATTTGTTAACTGCAAAATTCATGAAATTAAAAAAATACAAACCTGTTGCTATTAGATGTCAATATCTATCTTTTTGCATTGACTGTTATCCTCACAAAGATAACACAGCTGAATGGCACCTGGAGTATCACAATGCATTTTGTAGTACAAAATCGAAACACTGCTGTCCCTTCTGCAAGCCAACGAATTATGCCTAGTAGTACATTCTACATTTCATTACATATTTGGGAGGTCTGAGATATAATAAACATTATTACAGTCCTGAGTAGATACTCTCTAATATACTTGTCCTTGAATTTATTTTGTTTTATTAAAAATTACAAATTAGATACATTTATAAAAATGAAAATAACATAGAAGTCTATAAAATTCAACACGAAAGCCCCTTCTTTACTGCCCAGTGGTAACCATTGTTAACAGTTTGATATATATATTTCAAAACTGTTAACTATACATAAACACATGAATACATATATAGTTTTATTTCGAACCAAAATGCAATTATGCTGCACATATTCTGCTTTTTTGATGGAAATCTTATGTGTATATGTGATCTACATAAGTTTTAATCTTCATTGTATTTTTTAGCTGTATCATAATTTATTTAAGCCATCCCTTTACTGATGGACATTGGGCTGTTTATTTGCTTTTACCAACACCACTGCAGTGAACATCCATGTACACACATATTTGTGCATGTGCCCAAAAGAGGAAGGAGAAGAATGAGAGGAAGGAGAAAAATAGAATTTCTGGGGCAGAGGGAACGAGAATTTTAAATCTAAACAGGCACTGCCAAATTGCCTTCCAAATCGCTTAACCAATTTATACAACCATGCTAACAATGTATATTATATCCACTGTCCTATACTCTTGACAAAGCTGGATATTACCAGACTTTTAAACTTGCTCATTTGACAGAGGAACAATGCTATTTTGTTTTATAACTTGCATTTTTCTGATCACCCAAGAAGCTAAGCATCTTTTCATGTATTTTTTAAATAACTGACTTTTTACTTCATCTGTGAATGTCCCTTCCCACCCTCTGCCAATTGTTTAAGGCTTGTGGGTGTCTTTCAAAGTGAACTGTTCGGAATCTTTATGTAACAGGGGTAACCCTTTATGTAACCCTTGGTCTCATATATTTTGAAACATAGACATTTTAATTTTTGCATATTGTTGACTGTCCATTTTTGCCTCTTAACGACTTCTGGTTTTTATAGCTTCAAAAGGCCTTTCTTAGCCAGAAAATTATTCCAATAGTCTGCTTAAAAAAATTTTTTTCCCAGAATTTTATCTTTTATGTTTAATCTACTTGGAACTCCTTTTTGTCTATGGCCTGAGATGGAGACTTGACCTAATCCCTTGCCAAACACAGAGCATTCAAGTTAGTCCTTAAAAGGAATCTAACAAAAAGAAACCCAGTACACAAACTGAGAAGACTTACGACTTACTTTTTTTTTAAAAAGCACAACCTACTACACAGACTCAAACACATTTTTACTGCCGCAACAACACCCAGAGATACGTGTACTTACACAGAATTCAAGTGACTTAAAAGGACAAAACATTGAATAAGATGCAGACTTCCTGACAGTTAGGCAACACTTACCCATTCCCCTTTAACCTCCACCAGGAAAGCAAAGGTTTGAAAGCAAGGCAAAATATATGTTTAATGACATGCTTTATTCTTACAGCATATCTAAACTCTACGCATCTCATCAAGCTGGTGGTTAACTAGCCAATTCGAGGAAAAGGTTTCAACAGGCCTAGGATTACAAGTGAAGCCCAGATATGTTCCCGAAAAAGAGCAACACTTTCTCATTAAGATACAGATCACCTGCAACATTTCCTCATCATCACATTTCATAACATTCCCTTACTTTAGGATGAGAGCGAGCTGCTTCTCTGCACCTTGTGTTGCAACAAAATCCAGTTTCAAAAATATTAGGCTGGTTTGTTTAACATTAAAAAAAAAATTGTAATGAGGTCCTCACTGATGTGACATTGTATTTTCAGAAATTTTAGATTCCTATTATATGGTGTTTACATATTTTACAATTAATCTGCTTTACAGGATACACTACTTCAAATATGAGGCAGTATGAGTAAAGTAGCTTCAGGCTATCAGAAACCACGGTGTAGGAAACAGCAGGTGGTGAAGTCAGAGGAAAGCTGACAGAAACACACCCCGCTGGCTCAAGTTACCATTTGTGTGTACAGAGTGGCATGCCCAAACCAACAGTTCTTTCTGTAAAGGATGAGTAAGGCTGGCACCCAGCATGTTTCAGTCAATAACTGTGTGCTGAATGAAGCCATGGAGTATACTTGAAGAGGTTTTTGCTACTGTTAAGGTGATTTTAACTTTTAAAGATCTGGAGCCTGGGCAACATAGGGAGACTCTGTCTCTACAAAATGTAAAAAAATAAAAATTAGCTCGGTGTGGTGGCACACGCCTCTGAGCTACTCAGGAGGCTGAGGCAGGAGGATCACTTGAGCCTGGGAGGTGGAAACTGCAGTGAGCCAAGATCATGCCACTGCACTCTGGCCTAGGTGACAGAGTGAGACCCTGTCTCAAAAAAAAGAAAAAATAATTTGGGATGTTTGGCCTTGCTTCTTCTAGCCCATGGTAATTACAGAGAAAGCAGCTATTAGGAAAAAAGGGGACACAGGAATTCATTTCTCTAAGTGCCAAACATATTGTTATTTCTAGGTATTTTAGCCTATTAAAGATCCACAGATATGATGTGTATATGGCAAGATGAATGCATGAGTAATAGTAAAATCACCTGTACACCACCCTTTATACTTCAAAGACATACAGTCCTTGGGTAAGAAACATGTTTGTTTCAATTGTTAACTTTCACAGTTCTTTACAAATTCTAGGCCAGGCATGGTGGCTCATGCCTGTAATTTCAGCACTTTGGGAGGCTGACCTGGGAGGATCGTTTGAGCCCAGGCAATTCAAGACCAGCCTGGGCAACACGGAGAAACCCTATCTCTATAAAAATTACAAAAATTAGCTGGGCATGGTGGTGCACGCCTGTGGTTCCAGCTAGTTGGGAGGATGAGGTGGGAGAATCGCTTTGCTTGAGCCCGGGAGGCAGAGGTTGCAGGGAGGCAGAGGTTGCAGGGAGGCAGAGGTTGCAGGGAGGCAGAGGTTGCAGTGAGCCAATATCACACCACTGCACTCCAGCCTGGGCAACAGAGTGAGAACTTGTGTCAACCACAACAAAAAAAAAATCTAAATTATCTTTAAAAAAAAAAAAAATGTTAAGAGTAATGCAGAGTTGACTACTTCTAAGACTCTAAAGAGAGTAACTAGAACAAGGAACTACTATTTTCTTTTAGAAAATGATTTAGATCAACCATGTCTGATTTTCTTTCTTAAACTGGTTCCTATAGTTTTAGTCACATCATAAAATGATTATTAGTTCAAGGAAAGAAACAATAACAAAGCAAAATTCTAAACTATTTTCTGTTACAAAGTAGGAAAGCAGATTAACTGTATAATTCATTACTCTTTTTACATAATTAAAAGTTCACATAATTAAAGGGAAAAAAGATGCTTTGATGCAAAGATACAAAAGTTATTGCAATTATGAGAATGATTTGATAGAGTGTTTTGCACTTATAACTATTTCTTAAAGACTCCTGGCCTCCTTCCACCTTGGAGGATCCTTTTGTGTGTGTATATATATGTGTACATATATACACACACGCACACTAGTATATATTATACATACACATATATATACACACGCACACTAGTATATATATTGTCTATACATCATATATAAAATATATGTATTACATATATATGTATACTCATAGTATATAAGTAGTAATCTAAACTCTGAAATTATCAGACATTTATAGATTTAAAAATAAGAACACACTGTCTTTATCAACTCAATTTTAAAATGATGTTAGGATACATTTTTTTAAATGCCATCTTTCATTTTAATAGAAAAGAAAGAAGATTGAGCTTATACTTTAAAAATCTAGATGCTGGATTATTGGGTTTCATACTCACTGACAATCTCACAATTGTTGAATAAAGTGAAAAAAAGAGGACAGAGGCTAATCTTCAACAGAAATGACCCTCTCACTGGAGTCTTTCTTACCATGACTATGTCTCCTGGCTGGATAGTGATTTCATCATGGCTTCTGGATTCAAAGGGGTACAGTGCCCGGTAATACACCACTTTTACATTTTCCTGTGCAGAAATGGTAAGTGGACCTTTTTCTGTTTACAAAAAAAGGTGGGGGGGACAAAAATAAATAATTACAGAGAACACAAATGTATGACAACAAGCCAAACAACTAACCTCTCCTCTATTGCCTATCTTAACCTCTGAACTATTTCCCTCCATTCAAGGAATTTCTGAAACACATACTGAATGCCAAAGCACAGCCAAATCTGACGTCAGCAACAAAAACCCATGAGAGAGTTCATTAGTGACTCTCTCTAAACAAAGGTCACTCCAAGCCTGGGTGCGGCGAGGCTGCCTAAAGGTCCCTTGTCTCTGCCTCTTTCCTTGGGCTCCAGCAGTGCAGATCTGTAAAGCATCAATACCCGCCCTCCTCCCTACCCAGTGTGTTGAGTACAATGTAGCAGTTAGGATATGACCCAAAGTCTGAATCAGCCAAGGAGTCAACTTGTTTGGGAGGGAACAGAGGCACCAGTTTCCATACTGAAACATGAAAATGCAGATGTTTTAGGCTCTTTAACCTGGTCATATAAAAACTAAGTGCTGATTTTGGTTATACTGATAATCCCCGATGAAGACACTCTTCCTCTACATTTCTTTGGGAAATAATTAGCCTAAGGATGAAACCTAGATGAAAATAATTTAGATTTTACATGAAATAAAATGTTTAAAAATGCACATGAGCGGAGGATATTTTGGATTCTGGTTAGCAAAAACTAGTAACAGACCTTTGGGCATTTTTACTCAAGAGCTACAAGTATTTTGACATATACCTATCTTATCTGAAAAGCAACGAGGGGGAAGTATTATCTCCACATGATTTTGAACTGTATGACATGCAAGATTTCCTACTGACTGAAGGGGAAAAATAAATCCTCATCTTATACTAGGAGGACGCATGAAGAACTTAAACTAACTTCCTAAGATCAATGGTGAAATTATTTTCAGATTAAAAAAAAAACTATCAAAAAATTAATTTGCCCCTCCTATGACATGGTTGCTACTCTGTAGGTCTGATGACCTGCCAGTCTTTCCCCTGGACTGCATGCATCTGAAGGCAGGTAGGTGCCTAATGCAACTCCATACCTCACGCCCATCTCTGCCCACTATGTAGCTGGGGACCAGTAAACCTTTACAGAATAGCTTGAAAGTGTTTTTTCTTTCTTTTCTTTCTGTATACTGAAGCACTAAAGAAGCACATGGATGACCAAGCAAAACTGGTATAATTTACCACACAAAGAAAAAGCAATGACTTGCTTCCACTGAACATTATTTGCAAAACTGTACAATCACACAACCACACAAGAATCTTAAATACATTCTAGCTCACATCAGATATTATAAAGGATAGCTTTTTCTAGCTATTCCGATTAGATTGGTCTTTCATTTATCTTTTTGTTCAGTCTTTCATTTATCCCTTTTTTAAAAAAAAAAGGCAAATTAGGCTAGGCATGGTGGCTCATGCTTGTAATTTCAGTACTCTGAAAGGCCAAGGTGGGAGGATCGCCTGAGGCCAGGAGTTCAAGACCAACCTGGACAACAAAGTGAGACCCCCCATCTCTACAAAAAAAAAAAAAATTAGCTGGGCATGGTGGTGCATGCCTATAGTCTCAGCTCCTTGAGAGGCTAAGACAGGAGGATTGCTTGAACCCAAGAGTTTGAAGCTGCATTTAACTATGAGTGTGCCACTGCACTCTAGCCTAGGCGACAGAGTGAGACACTGTCTCAAAGAAAAAAGAAAAGGAAAGAGAAGAAAGAAAAGAGAAGTAAAGAAAAGGCAAATTATGCTTTTACATTTTTCAAAAAGTAAAAGCAGTTTTATGCAATGCAGACCGAAGACAGCGAATGCCCCATCAGTGGAGGCAAGGGTGAAAGGTGCCACTTTCTGTTGCAGAAACAGCTCAGAAATTCCAGGGAGGGAAATAACAAACCAGAGAAACAGCAGGTTCTTTTGCAGCATATAAGACCACTGGAACTTCACGCCACTTGTTAGCTCCGTAGAGGACTCGTGGATGCCAGTGTAACGTGGGCCAGAGGCTGGCATGGTGGTGGGAGAATTACACAGATCTCAAATGACCCTGGGGAAAGAAGAGCTGGCCATGCTCAAAATAAGAGACTGACGTTCTCATCTGTTAATGTAGCCAAGACAGGTACTGATGAGATAGGGGCATTTTTCAGGAGGCTCTGGGAGAGAAGATGACTTATTTTCTATAATTATTTTTGGCTTCTAATACCTGCAGTGGACCAGGGTGCCTGGACAGCTGGCTTAGCTGGTTCTTGGTGTTGATGGAAAAGCCGACCCAGCTTGTCTTGTGCTTCCTGTTTGCCTTTTTCCTCGCCATCCTTCTTTTTGACACTCTCCTCCCTTTTCAGTTTTTCCTCTTCGTGGAGTTTTCTTGGTCTCTGATGCTCGTCCTCCTGCTGCACATGCTCCAGCCACTGCTTGTCCCTTTCCTGAGCTCGTCTGCCAACAAACACGCTTGATTACAGCAAGAAAGCAACTCTAAGTTAACACTACTGTTGCCTCTTTTCACAAAAAAAGCTCCATCCAGTAAATGGGATGGGAACATCAAGGGAACATTGTTGTTCAGATGGGGCAACTGAATCAGGGCTCCAGTTCTGAATGAGAAGAAATCACATGATTTAGGAAAACACAGAAAATTTCTGATGTATTTTACAAAGTGGTTACAAGAATAAGAAAAATACTTCTTAATAATAAAGCTGGTATTAAACTGACAAAACAAACAAACAAAGCCATAAAACACAGAGAACATAACTTCTATAAAAATAAAATACACCCAACACTGTAAAAATTTCCCCCCAGCAAAGGGAACAACACATTTACATGCACACACATTGCTCCCCAAACCTGAAGTTGAAAGCAAGGGATTGTTTTATTGACTTCAACTACTTTGATTTTGTTTTTCAAAGTAGCTACCACAAATAGATAATTGTAATTAAATCTAGGCCTTGAAATTTTTGATGGCCTCAACCTGAAACCCACAGTAAAAGACTGAGAATGATTTTTCTCATTCCATAATACTTTATAAAGTCAGAAAATACTTTAAATGAAACTAATATGTAATAACAAATGACATAATAATAACTAGCTCCCCATATATTAACTCCTTTAAACTGCGAATCAGGTTGGTAGTCCTAGTATTACTCCTATTTTACAAATGAGGAAGCTGGGGCAGAGATATTAAATGACTTGTCCACGTCACACAGCCATACATGCATGGGCTTCAATCCCAGGCAGCCTGGTCCCAGAGTCTCCACCCTGAACTGCCATCCTGTGACATGGCTAACGCACACAGGTCATCGGCTAGAATTAGGAATCTGCCACGGGAACATAATTGAAACAAATTATACTTTTATTCTCCATTGTCAAAAAATTACATTTATTTCTACTCTGTATGAATGTGATATTTTAATGCAGAAGTCTTTAAACTTAAATCTTAAACATTTTATTTACAATTTTTAAAATGTCTTTTAAGAAAGTATAAAAACATTTTTTGGAGGGGTAAGGATATGGTTATTCATGACAACAAAAAAACCATAATAAAAACAGTGGCCAGGCGCGGTGGCTCATGCCTGTAATCCCAGCACTTTGGGAGGCTGAGGAGGGCAGATCACGAGGTCAGGAGTTCTAGACCAGCCAGGAGTTCTAGACCAACATGGTGAAACCCCATCTCTACTAATAATATAAAAATTAGCTGGGCGTGGTAGCACACACCTGTAGTCCCAGCTACTTGGGAAGCTGAGGCAGGAGAGTCGGTTGAACCTGGGAGGCGGAGGTTGCAGTGAGCCGAGATCGTGCCACTGCACTCCAGCCTGGGTGACAGAGCGAGACTCCGTCTCAAAAAATAAAAAATTAAAAAAAAAAAAAAAAGAATTACTTTATATTTTCTACCAATGAAGGTCACCATATATACTGTATAACCATCTAATTTCTGACGTTAATTTGCAGTTTTTATCTATATAATTGGAATACATATTCCATATTATATTTTTATGCTATTTTCTGTATTATGCTATTTTATGTATTTTTCTGTATTTTATGTTTATTTCTACACTGTAGGAATTTAACAGTTCAGTGTGGTATAGTGTGAATAATAAAAGCATTTTATAAACTCTGGGGGTAAGAAAAGGATGGAGTTAATCAACATCCAAGGAGGAGATCCTTAGTCTGACCCCCAAGAAAACCATAAAACAATCCTGTAAATTGGTCTGGGACCCCAGATACCTCCCCACTGGCACTGAAAAACAAACAGAAGACTCTATATACCCATAAGAAAGTATGCACAGCTCTTGGCAGGTTAACTGAACTCAGCCCACTAAAGTCAATGACTTGCCTCAAGTATCCGTTTCTTCGCCTTTTTAATCTAATTTCTTGAGACAGAGTCTTGCTCTGTTGCCAGGCTGGAGTGCAGTGGCATGATCTCAGCTCACTGCAACCTCCGCCTCCCGGGTTCAAGTGATCCTCCTGCCTCAGCCTCCCAAGTAGCTGGGACTACAGGCGCGTGCCACCGTGCCCAGCTAATTTTTTGCATTTTTAATAGAACAGGGTTTCACCATGTTGGCCAGGATGGTCCTAATATCTTGACCTCGTGATCCGCCCACCTCGGCCTCCCAAAGTGCTGGGATTACAGGTGTGAGCCACCATGCCTGGCCTTAATCTAATTTCAATTACCAACTTTTATAATTTACGGGGCTGTCATTGGGACATTTGGTCATTTTTGTTTCGTGGAGTCTAAAATTAACTGACATTTAAAAGGCAAATACCCAGTAACAAAATCAGACACAAATTTCTACAATTTACTACAGTAAGTTACAAGTAAAAATAAAAATATCACAAATAAATCTTCAAACAAAAACAGATAAAAACATGTCTGTATCCTACACACTAAGCAGCGGTGGCAAATTTCCCCCTTTTGTACTAAAGTTTAATTTGCAGTTGAAAAACAGAAGAGGCCCACCCTGACCCTGCTGGAGAAGCCCTGTGTGGGGCACTAGCTCAGTGGCTTGGATTTTAAACCAGGCACTCCAACCCCTGTTAGCTGTTAGTAAAAGGCTGTGAACTGGCCATTAGCATGCAAATGAGCACACCAAGTGTCCCAATTTCCTTGTATAATTCCATTTATCTACATAGTAGTAGCTTGAGAGAGCTCTGGGAACCAACCAAAAACTTCAGAGGGTACTGATACATGCAAAGATTCATATATACACGTGTTTGTGTTTGCACTCACACTTCACATGCACACTAAAGACTGAAGGCTCTTTCTGGTGCAGTAACTACTTGGAGAAGCCAAGCAAAGAATAGTAAATCCTCAAAGTTCCTTCCAGATGAGTCCACAATCCAAAGAAGACTCACCTTTGGGCTTCTTCTTTTTGTTTTTCTAATTCTATGATCTTTCGTTCTTGTTCTTTCTGTTTCAGTCGTTCAGCCTCCATGGACTTTTGCTTCTGGAGTTGTTGCTTATTGTGTATTTCTCTTAGTTCCTATAATTAACCGAGAAACAGTTCATGTAGCGACATGAGTGACAGGTACATCAACTATTTATCAGCATGCAACATTTCATAGTGGGAAGCCTAGGACACTTAGGAGATAACGTTTCAGAGTTGGAAAAAGTCAACTTGGAAAGCTAGAATCACACCACATTTTGACATGACTGATTTCCAAAGGCCACTTAAGATTACATTCTAATGAGCCATACACATTATACCATTTTCCATGATCTGCTCTAGAAGAAACCTGCTAGCGAAGGGCAGGAGGTGAGCTCTGCTGCTAAAGGCTCAGCAATCATAATGGAACGTAACCAGTTCCAAGATATGACGATGATCATGAATAAAACTTAAGCTTCTTTTGATTATCAATCAACACCAACCTTTACTGGCTTTGAAAATACAGATGCCTCTTCTTCACTGACTACCTCCATTCAAACCTCACCTCCACCTTTCACTAAGCTGCCTTAGAACAAATGGACATCTCTTTGCTCCTCAATTCTTTGACCTCAATTCTTCCCCCCAGGGTCTATTTTTCTTCAAGTTGCTCCTCTTCCAGAGCATCTTTTCTTACTAAATCTATCCTTCAAGTCGCTAACTGCCCCAAACTAAACCAGCAATCAGGTTAAAAGTAAAAAGCTATAATTTGATGATGAATACCTTGGATCCAATTTCCTCACTTGATACTACTAGCTGCAGGAATAGCAGTAATTTCCTTAGCAGGCTACTGAAAATAAAATGCATTCTATGATATTTAAAGTACTCAAGTCACAAGTTTAGACACCTGAAAATAGGAAGAATAAGGAAACGTCTGCTGAGGAAGAAACTCCCTGATTCCATAGAAATCAAATGGTCACCAATAGATTGAGTCACTGAAACTCGTCTTATGTGGGCCAGCGATAAATCAGATGAGTCAAAGTGCCCAGTAGAGCCAAGGTATCTTTCCAGCTGATTTCTTGATCTAACCAGGGCTGGTCCTCCCAGTACATGGCCCAGGGATCTCTATGGGGAGAGTTAAGGACTAAGATTTGCCCTGTCGTCTTCTATCACCTTTCTCACTGGCAAGACTAGATGGGCAGGTAGGTTTCTTCCAGGCCCTAAAATTCCTACCTTTAGATTCATTCAGAGATTGAACAACAAAGGTAGACGGTTTGTCTGTAGAAAGTCAGTATTAAAATGCACTTGTTATTGGAAAAAAATCCTAAGGGTTAGGCTAACCTTTTCCTACTAATTTTGCTAAGGTTAAAGTTAAAATCCATACACAAATGTTTTATAAACTGTAAGTGACGCTGAGAGGCTTTAAAAGAACAATGAGATAAAAGAAAAAGTTTAACTGGAGATAGGGGTCTGGGGGGAGGTACTTAGGAAGAGGAAGGTACTGGAGGAAAAGGGGAAGGGGAAAATGGAGAAGAAGGGAAGAAGGAAAAAAGGAAAGGAAGGAAGGGGGAAGGAGGAAAAAGAAAGGAAGAAGGGGCTTCAGTAGGGAACCTAGCAGATGACACTGGGAACATCCAGGCAGGACACAGCAGGAAAAGGTACCTTTGTAAGGCACAAATTGGACTGTTCCCTATGGCA
This sequence comes from Homo sapiens, assembly GCF_000001405.40. Taxonomy (NCBI): domain Eukaryota; kingdom Metazoa; phylum Chordata; class Mammalia; order Primates; family Hominidae; genus Homo; species Homo sapiens. The sequence continues at coordinate 33,792,762 of NC_000021.9, read as the reverse complement.
GCAGACCTGACATGTGGAACAGAGGGAAGGGGAAAAGAAGGCTAAGACTGGAAAGCAATGATGCAGCCTCACACTGACTGTTTAAAGTGCTGAGATCAGAAAATCAACCCTAGGGAGAAAGAAGTCCATTTTTCATCATCTTTCTCACTGCCATACCAAGGGATGTAAAACTTAATTTTAATGTGTTAAAAAATCAGTAGTACTGGTTTTCATAGTAACCTGGAATCAAGAATAAATAATCAGTAATAATATGAATGAAAATTTCATTTTCAAGACCATCAAATTCTTAAATAGGTTCAGAAAAAATAATTTACAGCAAAAGACTATACTTAAAAGTTACGCCACCATGGCTAACACGGAGAAACCCCGTCTCTACTAAAAATACAAAAAATTAGCCGGGCATGGTGGCAGGCGCCTGCAGTCCCAGCTACTCGGGAGGCTGAGGCAGGAGAATGGCGAGAACCCAGGAGGCGGAGCTTGCAGTGAGCCAAGATCGCGCCACTGCACTCTAGCCTGGGTGACAAGGCAAGAATCGGTCTCAAAAAAATAAAAAATAAAAAAGGTACAGAACTGGGAATCAAGAAACCAGGATTCTAATCTCAGGTCCCTGATATGAGCTGGCAGATGAATCAGAATGGATGATCTTTAGGTGTTCTTCTAGTTTTGGGATCTGATAAATCTTAGACATTGTTCATCACAATGTCTAACAAACAAATAAAGTATTTATTTATTTCAGTATCTGTTTTATTTAGAATTTTATTCTTAACTGCAAGAATAAGTGAAAAAAGCATAAGCAAAATAACCCTGAGCTGAAATTAAACCCTACAAAGGAGTAAGAAATGCCGGAAGAGAAATAACATTTCAGCTTGATGTTCAGGAATCTGATTATATATTAAATAAAGAAAAGTCCTTATTTCATCCAGGAAAAAATGTATTCATGAGTGATATTCAAAATATTCAACAACAGGTACTGCACAACCAGAATGGACACTGGCCATGATGTATCAACATACTATAATAGATAGCCCATAGGCACAAATGAAGATTTTTCATTTTTCCCCAAGAATTATACCGCACATTTCCTTTCTATACTAGGCTCTTGTAACTGGATATGGATTTATAGATCATTGATTACCGGATTTAAGTAAAGCTAGTAATACATTAGGAGAGACTATAAAATTGAAAAGCTTGTAAGAAAAAGTGATTTTGAAGAATCTACAGAAAAAAAACCTACCTATGACACAGTTTCAAAAATAATTTTTAAATGTATCAAATACATGAAAAAAGATACTTAAATTTTTTAAACACACTTGTTTTTGAGTATAGCAGTATTTGAACCGATCTTAGGAACTGATTATGTAAGTTGCAGTTTCAAGCACCTCCAAGGAATGGAGCTTGCAGGAACCATAAAATAACAGACGACAAATAAGCTAACAGAAGGCTCTGGCACCTTATGATCCAGATTTCAAGATGGCAAAGTTTTTCTATCATTTCCTTCATCCAAGTCAAACACTGCTGAGATACACAGTTGTAAGGAAATCAACATGCTGCCCAGAGGCAGGCATTCTGGGTCTTCTCTTTTCTTGGACTTAAAGAGTTTACTATGGCATGAATCAACATAAGCAGAACATGGATGATTTCTAAGTTGATAAGCTTTTTAAAAAGTTGAACTTCCGAGAAGGCAATCTATAGAATGAAGAAATATATACTCTTAAAAAAATGAGTGAATGACTCTCCTTCCTTTGCCAGAACAAAGTCCTTGTAGAATACCCAGTCCTTTCACATAGGGGAGCAGATGGCTACACTATTCTCTCATTCTTCTCCATACTATTAAAGAGACTCAAGTACAGTTACAGTTATTAAGAAGTATCCTTTTAACTCCTTCAGAAAGAAAAAAATTCAAAGTGACAAACAAATCTAGTGCCATTAAATTACATATCTAGGAAATGAGCAAATTATTGGGGGAAATGGCTAAGGAAAATTTCACCACACTGAAAGTATCAACATTTCCTGGTAGGCAACTTGATTTAAATGACCCTGCAAATTCTATTAAATCCACATGGAATTTGTCACAGTTATTTTGCTATTATAACAGAAAGAAAACAAACAAATTACCACGAATCAAAAGTCAGTATCTCACTCGGTTCTTCCTAAAGTTAAGTGATTTTTTTTTCTAAAACCAGTAATTCTACAAAAACTTGTTTCTTGGATGGATATTAATCTAGCAATATAGTACGGAGTGTACAACTTTGTTGATTTTTCTTTTATGAATTCTATTCAAGTGTATGACATGTTTTACACTAGGTAGAGTATGTAATAATTTGATATTATCTTCCAATAAAACATAATTACAGTACTTTCTTAAATAAGAAATTATTAAGTAGTCAAGAAATTGTAGCTGCATGTAACAAATACTTATGCAGAAAAAATAAAACTATAAAATGTGTAGTATATATACTACACACATATATTAAATATTAATATTAAATATTAAAATAAGTTTTTTTTAAAAAATCACAATTTATGCAGAATCATGAAAATACAGAGTTTCTTAACCAGGTTCCATGAATAAGCTTCAGCCCTGTGGATACTATGTTGCATGCAGACTTGGGGTATATGGGCATTTTTCTGGTGGAGAAAGCTCACAGCTTTTATTAGTCTCAAGGGGTCTTTGATCAAGCACAGCTCATGAACCACAATAACAAATTACTGGCATATCAAGATTCTGTTTTGTATTAGTTAAGATAAACGAAAATCAACTTGCTTTTAATTTTCTTCCCTAGACCAAAGAGGGAAAAGTCACTTATTTCCCCTAAAGAACTAAGATATTTGAACCATAAAACATCTTTGGACATCCTATGGCACAGAGCCAAAGTATTTCAAAAGCAATCTGTTTGACAAATTGAATACCCAAGAAAATCCAACTATTTTTCCCCTGAGAAATGTGGCTCAGGTTTACTGAAGAAGTTTGTTCTATTGCTAAGCTAAAAGGCACAGAATCACTTGATTTAATAACTGTGACTGTTTCTCCTTCATCTGGTCTTAGAGACACTCAAAAATACATGTATTATGTGAAACAATATTACTTGAAATATAAAGTAGCATGCGCCTGAACAATATATAGGATTCCTTTTCACAAACATTACTTTGCATAATGTATATGAAGAGAAAAAAATAGCAACAGGGGTCTATGAAAGGAGACCAGCAGTTAATGGAAATGTATTTACTGATTTAGATATTTAACTTTTTTGAAGGATTTTGCTTTTGGTTCGCCTCAGGATGTCTCTTGGAAATGAGAGACAAAAACAAACATAACTTAATTACTTAAATTTCATGAACTCAAAACCATAAATCAAGATAAAATTATTTAGCTCACATATAACATTTATAATAATCTTCATACTGTTAATATTAAATTGACCTCATTAAAAAATGATGTAGCTACCAGCATCAGAAATTTCAGGTGTTTATCTATAATATCACATCCATAAAAAGTCCAAAGTAGAAGTGCTTTTCTGTAAATAAACATTATTTCTCACCTAGGGATAATATGTAGTATACGGTATCAAAATTTATAGAAGGCCTTTGGAGTTTTAAAATACATTAACTTTTTCAAATTAAGTGGTTGTGAAACAAATGAAGAGCTATTAAAGAAGGCCAGTTAACAAACCCCATGAGGTGAGAACTTGTGCCTGTATGGAAAATTTTGAAAAATAACGATTTCAGAACACAGAAACTATACCCAAATCAAGGTAAACTGATAGCCCATTTATCATAAAATTATAAATTTATTCATTCATTTAAAAAATTTATTTATTTAGAGACATGTGTTGTCCAGGCTGGAGTACAGCGGCTACTCACAGGCACGATCATAGCCTTGAACGTCTGGCTTCATGTGATCCTCCCACCTCAGCCTCCTGAGATATATGTCACTGTACCAGGCTACATTTATTCATTCTCGATGCATTAAAACTGAGAGGACTATACAGAAAAATATATACTGATTGGTTATTCATTTATTTATTTATTTGAGATGGAGTCTTGCTCTGTTGCCCAGGCTGGGATGCAGTGGCATGATCTTGGCTCTCTGCATCCTCTGCCGTGATGAAGTTCAAGTGATTCTCCTGCCTCAGCCTCCCGAGCAGCTGGGATTACAGGTGCATGCCACCACACCCAGCCAATTTTTGTATTTTTAGTAGAGACAGGATTTTGCCATGTTGGCCAGGCTGGTCTCAAACTCCTGACCTCAAGTGATCCACTCGCCTCGAACTCCCAAAGTGTTAGGATTATAGGCATGAGCCACTGCACCTGGCCTGACTGGTTATTTAAATTCTGAAATGGGATATACTGTTTGAAAACATGTTCAAAAATTTAAATTTGAAGTCAGTATTTAACAAAATAATAAGACTATTTCCCATGGCACAAAATGGTAGTCAATGTGTCACAAGTGCTAAGGGAGATTGGAGCAAGGTGTGTGTGTGGAAGGAGGTGGGCAGAAGAGCTAGAAGCTCTTGTCCTCTCTGCAATAGTAATAGGTAATCAGACACCCTCTGCCATGAGGCTTTGGGAAGTACCCTTGGGAAGCATTACCAGAAAGAGAAAACTGATTCCATTTTGTCCTGAAAATCTGAATTTCCCTCAAAGTGTCTGCTTCAGTCACAAAGCAATATTCCATTAAGAGAAGAAAGTATTTTTTCAAAAGACTGAGTTCTTCTTAACCCTTTCCCAAATTATCTTTTATTAAATTTTTACAACCTTAAAAAGAAAAAAAACCCATGCTGTAACTAAAAAACTCAACCAAGCAGCCTACTGGTATGGCACAGAATCTGACAGAATGAGAGTTAGAGCACTTTATTACTTCTGTGCATAAGAGGTCTTTTCCAAAGGATCATATAGGTAAAAATAAAATTTTAGCTTGAACAGAATGAAAGAACCAAACATTATTCTACTAATTATGACAAAGCAACATGGCTATTTGAATTCATACTGATTTCTCTCACTGTCTCTGTGCCTCCTCTTTCTGAGTCTTTCTCCTTCCTTCATTGTTTCCCTTCACAAGCATTTTTTTCCCTGACTTCTTACTCTGTTCTGCAGTTCTTTCTCCAGCTCTTTTCTTTTTTCCTCTGGTTGCTAAACATTTTGCCTTTCACTGCCTTCATAATGAATGAGCCTCCCATGAAAGCTAGTGTCTGAAACCAAGAGTATAAAGGCTTTAGTTAAGCAAACAACCTCATTTACTACAACTGGCCTTCTCATTTCAACATCGATTCGGTTCTAAGAGCAATTTTTAGAACAGGTAGCATTATGGGGAGAATTTATATTTCTAACAGCCTCTTGTGTCTAATTTTAGAAGCCTGGATTTCCCAAGTATACTAAGGAATTAAATCATAATTGTGAATTAGTCTTAAATATTCAAACTTTGCTAGAAAATAAAATGCTATACACATTTGGAATAGTATACTGATCACAGTATGTCTCCCATGATGGAAACATGCACATGACCCAAATAACAACTGAGCGCTTTCACATTTTTGCAGACAAGCTCAAATTCAATGATCTAAAATGCTTGTTAAAAAGACAAGACTACAGTATACAGTACCTTGTCCAGCCTGTAATTCAGTTTACACCACCATACACACACGCAACTCGTCAATAGGAAAGAATCAATCATACTCCACGATTAATAATAACTAGTAATTAACTTTTATAAAGAAGGCTTAGTACTTCATGGTAAATGCTATCTTAGACACTGAGCACTCATCTGCGCAGGGGAAACTGAAGCACAGAGCTGGAGATGGTTCATCATTCTTAGTCTGAGAAAGATGTGCATTGCCTGAGTAGGGCATGGAGACCTTTAGAAAGAAGTCTAAGTGGATGACGCAGCCCAGGAGAACTGCCAGGCACTGCAACACTGCCTCCTCCATTGCCACTGACTGGAAGAAAGAAATGCTCAAATGTAAACGGCCATTCACATTAGGACTTGTCCAGTACACACTGACTAGACAGGAACCAACAAGGACTCAACTTTTCAACATGAAACATAAAATCTAGCTCCGTTGGGTGTTGGATTCTCCTTATTTGACCTCTTAAAGGAGCCTGGAAAACTACAAGCTGTACTTTGTGCTGCTGCTCCATCTTAGAGCTAAGACATTAAAATATGGAACATTAGGCTGTCAGTGCCAAGGAAAACTGCTACAGTAACTACTGACATCGCCAAGGTCAAGGTAAAGTCAGGTGCTACTGTCCAAAAAGTCCTAGCAGTAATGTTATTTAACACTTGTTTGAATCATAATTTTATGCCTATAGGTAAGCACTGTGTGTAAGAAAAACTACCCTTTTGGTACACAGAGTCTCCAAAAAAGTTGGGAGTTTTAATTTTCATGTAAACTGAAGTAGAAGTCATAGATAATAATTTTAAATTGTTGTTTCTAGAACGTGGATCTGAGAAGACTACCGATTTCTTAATAAGGTATTTGTTACATACAGAACACATTTTAAAAGCAGAAATTAATGGTAAATAAATTTTACCCACTGAATTAAAACTATTTTAAGATGTACTAATTCATGCTAGCAATAATCACAACAAAATTAATTATTCCTGGTTAATTCACTGTTCAAATATTTCATTTGATAATCAAAAACCTAAAATTTATCATGCATAGCAAGGGCAGCATAAGTACAAAGGCTGCCAATTGGGGAATTTGTAGGATAAGAGCTTCAATATTTCAGGGTGCTATCGTTTCTCCTCTTCTCCCACCCTCCCTGTTTTTACAGACTTATTTAAAACCCAAAAGCAAAGTTTATTTGCTACAGTAAGATTCCTGTTTCCTTTCTCAAGTAATTATTGGTTTGGGTGGTAAATAGAAAGATATTTACATCTTAGGATCTTTTTTTGAATATATAAATATGACACCTAAAAGGTAAATATCTATTAAAACGCATGGAAAAACAGCCTTTTTTGGAAAACAAAAAATGAGCCTTCAATTTCCATGGATTAGGTAGAAACTTAAAGGCCCACGACTTTGAATATGGAGCCATTTAACAGAAGATCACGATTATAAGTATGCCTTATGTTTTCAACAGGTTGCTTCCTATACGAGACAAATACCTGTTAACCTGTAACTTTTTCCTCTTTAATTAATGCTTTGAGAATTTCTATCTTTGCTTATCAGATTTTGGGTAGGGAAGGAAGGAATTCTTCCTGAACTGAAGAAAATGGGAGAAACCCACAAAAGACAAATTAATCTGAGCAAGACATTCTAGAGAAAGAACTAAATCAGATTGTATGTTAAAAGAAAAGGAAAGTATAAGTGTATTTAGTTTTTTGACTAAATACGCTTCCTATACTTCCTAATCACTGTCTTATAACTCAGAATCTGGGCTGAACCAGGGTACGATTATTCCCTGTATTACCTTTATACCTAAGAAACTGGACATAACTCTGAGCATGCATCAAAGTAGGTGAATGACTTATTGCAATTTACCCAAAATAGTGAGAATCAATTTTTGTTAAATGTTATCCTCATTTGTGGAGCCAGCCACTTAATATAGATTTAGTATCCTGATCAACTAATTTTAAAATTCTGTACTCTGTAAGGTATTCCTCCAGTGTTACAGTACTAACCTATAATGAGGGAACTGCATTTCCTTCTTCCAGGTGAACAATCTACGTGAACATGAAATACAAAAGAACAGGAAGCCCTAATTTCTTTTCTGTACTCTCCAGCTGGCTTCCTTTAGGGAAAGGAAGGTTTAGGATACAACAAATTCACACTATCAGGTTAGATGTGTGAAATGACACATCCCAGGAAGGCAGAAGTAATTTTTGCATCAACAGCGTGGATGCTCTAAAGGCACTGCCGATCAAGAGGGGCACTGAAGAAACCCCAAGAGTCAGGAGACTGGCTCCTCCTGGCCTATCTCTTCATCCAAGAAAACATGGTTGCTAATGGACACATGCTCTAAAGTTACAAAAAAAGTATTTCATTTTCCAGTGTGGCTACAACAAAGAAAAGTGGGCAAGTGACACTTAAGAGACTAAATGATAAATCCATCTCTGAGTTGTCTCAATCAAATTCTATAAATCTTTTGATTCTCCAATTTAATTGTTTGTTTTGGCTTTATCAGGTTTGAGAGGAATACTAGAGATAATAACCATAACACAACATATTCACTAAGTCCTCCAAATGCGTGTTAAATAACAAAACAATATAGTTATACTGACCTGTGATTTGTTTACTGTTTTGTTTGTTTGTTTTTTGAGACAGGGTCTCACTCTGTTGCCCAGGCAGGAGTGCAGTGACACAATCATGGCTCACTGCAGCCCCAACCTCCCAGACTCAAGTGATTCTCTGACCTCAGCTTCCCAAGTAGCTGGGACTACAGGCACATGCCACCATACCTGACTAGTGTGTGTGTGTGTGTGTGTGTGTGTGTGTGTGTGTGTGTGTGTTTTGTAGAGACAGGGCTTCACCCTTTTGCCCAGGCTAGTCTCGAATGATCCACTTGCTCAAGTGATCCACCTGCCTCCCAAAGTGCTGGGATTACAGGCACATGCCACCACACCCGACCTGACCTGTGATTTTTTTTAAACTCATCATATTAATTAAAGTTAATAAGAGAAAGCCAAAATTAAAATTAAAAAACAAGAAGAAATACTCTTATTTAAAAATAAGCATATTTGGAAAAAGGGCTAGTGGAAAAGGGGGCTAAAATTGGCCTTTATGTAAGAAACTCTGTGATACTGAAAGCAGCCATAGTCAATTAAACAAAGTAGGGGTGACTCGCCACATATTAAGGGTGTTCTCTTTAGTAATGGCAACAGAAATTCAATCACCAAAATTATTTAATCTTCTAGACATTTATCAAAAGCCTCTCACTAGAGTATCATTTTCTAATACCTGAACCTTTTTTAGGGGAGTCAAATTTCTAGAAAAAGAATCAATGTGAAGGCACAAATCTGGACTACTGCCTGGGTTCAGAAGAGAGCTTAATATTTAACAGTTTATATCCCAAGAGACTATTAAAAAGCAACATAGGCTTTGCAACAGTGCTATTTTTTTTTTTTTTTTGCTTATAAAAGAGACAAGTGACAATGAAAGTTAATGTGAGCATACTTTAATTGAACTTATTCTTTTTTGTTTTTTTGTTTCTAATTGCACTTATTCTAGAGATGGTTAATTTACAGCTGTACTTCCAATACTGACATACCACACATAATCATATATGCATGAATATAGAACATATATAGTGTACACACAAACACACACCATGTAAGCATGAAAGCAAAGTGAAGAAAAACACTAAGTTGGCTCAAATAATATTTCCCCTAAGAGCACTTTCCTGGAATCGTACAATTGAGAAAAGATCATTACCTAATACTCTGAAAGAACAGCACACATACCTCAAACTCAGATGTCTAGACAATTTGGCCTAGAATCTCAATCCAAAGGTCAACTATTATAAAAGTTTCAAATATGCTAATTTTTAATTTTGTTTTTAGAATTATAGAATAGGAGTTTTACTTCTTCCCACTGTCAAAAGCTGAATTGGCTTAAAAAGAATTTTATGTTAGAAAAGGAAAACAAATATTTGGAGGGGAAAAAAGTATAACATCCAATTTCTTATAAGAATAACAAAAATGCTAATATCTACATACATCTAAAGTAGTATATGATTGTTTATAAGAAATAAACTGTTTGTGTTCTGATTTTAAGAATTAACATTCCTTTTTTTTTTGAGACAGAGTCTTGCTCTGTCACCCAGGCTGGAGTGCAGTGGCGTGATCTTGGCTTACTGCAAGCTCCGCCTCCTGGGTTCACATCATTCTCCTGCCTCAGCCTCCCAAGTAGCTGGGACTACAGGCGCCCACCACCATGCCCGGCTAATTTTTTGTATTTTTAGTAGAGACGGGGTTTCACCGTGTTAGCCAGGATGGTCTCGATCTCCTGACCTCATGATCCGCCTGCCTCGGCCTCCCAAAGGGCTGGGATTACAGGCATGAGCCACCACGCCCGGCCAAGAATTAACATTCTTAAGATGATACAGTTGTAAAGTTAAATCAGAAACACCAAATCTGAAAAAGGCTGTGATCTAACCATTTTACATTTCCTCAGAGTTTTGGCATTTTCCCAATTTTACTGTGCAAATGTGACAAAACCATACACCACTTCTGCCACAAGAGACAAAAGCAATTACTCCACTAAAACAGTAAGATTTAAAAATGAGGTAACAAAATAAAGATCTACATTTAAGCGCAATGAAGATAAGAAGTGGCAGAAAAATTCTTAGTTTTAAAAAAGAAAACAATCCCTTTTAGTAGTATTCAAAGAACATAAGAAAGATAAAGCTTTTGGAATCAACTTGATGTGACTATAAACAGACAAAAGAATGGAGATGTGTCAAAATATGATTCAGGTTAAAAATAGATGTCATGCTGGGGCCACTCATTCAGCCCTAATTTATAGATGCCAAATTCATTCTTATATTTTCAAGGAGAAAAGTGCAATTTAGATTGTCTCACAATGGCATAATAAATTTTTCTGCCTGTGATTAAATAGCAACTAATCATTTGGACAGTTAAAAAAATTAAAGGTAGGACACACATGCAGGCACACATAGAAGAGTTACCTTCAGCTGATTATTGAAAATATCAATCTCCTGTAGTTTTGATCTAGTTTCTTTCTCCACTTCATCCAGTTGGTCTCGTAGGTGCTGCCGAGCTAGTTCTTTTGCTTCTAAGGCTCTTTTAAGTGTAACAAGTGAATCTCCTATTTTAGAAAAACGTCGCAAAGATAAGAAAAACTTTAATTTGCAGTGAGGAAAATGTTTTTTAATGTTCTCATTTCACTTAAGGAAATTCTTGCTGGTTAAAAAATAAGAAAAGGCTGGGTGCGGTGGCCTACACCTGTAATCCCAGCACTTTGGGGAACCAAAGTGGATGGATCACCTGGGGTCAGGAGTTCGAGACCAGCCTGGCCAATATAGTGAAACCCCATCTCTACTAAAAATACAAAAACTAGCTGGCTGTGGTGGCATGCACCTGTAGTCCCAGCTACTTGGGAGGCTGAGGCAAGAGAATCTTGAACCCGGGAGGCGGAGGTTACAGTTGGCCGAGATTGCGCCACTGCACTCCAGCCTGGGGGACAGAGTGAGACTCCATGTCAAAAAAAGAAAGAATAAAGAAAAGGTCAACTTTAAAAATAAAACACCTACTGTGCAAACTGTTCTGCTGAACTTGTTTTAATTGGTCATTGAGTATCTGTTTTTCTGGAATAAGTCTTCCAAGCATTTGCTGAGATTCCTGGGAAGGAAGGAGGAAAATAGTAATGAATGACAGGGAAGGCTACCACATCTACATTAAGATCCAGGCAGAGCTTAAGTCAGTTTTCTCAGACTCTTCCCAAATCCTGCATGGTGAAGCTGCATTTAATTATTAATTAGGTGTGGCTCCTGCTTTCTTTCCAAGAAATTAACTCTGTTTGCCAAATGCTTTTCCCTACACAGTTATAGCTTCCCTGATATTTCTTATATTTTTGTTGACTTACCGGATATTTATAAGCTTCAAAAAATGTACATTAAGTACTACTCCACAGAGATAAATTGAAGCAATGATCTTCCAATGGCACCGGGATCAAATGCAAATGCAGTGATCCTACTGTTTGTAAACTAACTCAGTGGTCTAAATAGGAGCTACCCTATTACTCTATCCTGAACTTTGATACTTACTAAGGCTGAACTTAGGTTTACCGTATACCTGAAGTTAGAAACAGAAATCAAAGATTTTTAACAACTAGAATCTTAGCTGCTGTATATATTTTTCCACCACACTGGATGGAATTTTAAACAGGTACACAAAAGTTTTGAAGCAACTATTTTTTTAACTGACACAAGAAAAAAGTTAAGCCACACTGCACAGGCTGTTTGGAATTTTTGTGGTTAACTTGCCAAGAACAGTATCTGCTTAAATTTAGCCGAAAATATCCTGTATAGTTTCTGCATGTTTCAGTAAAATGGCAGCCTTCCTAGGTTATAATAAAGAATATTTGACTTTTATTTTTACCTTGATAAAAAATGAGCTCTATGTATTGACTTTTTGTTTGAAAAACTAAAAATGCCTTAATTAAAATTTTTCATCAGAAGCTAAAAACCAGTCCATTTTGGAATAACCACCTTTAGATACAGACTGGCTTATGTGGAATAAATCTCTGTGTAATGCATGTCTAAATGGTAGAAAGAGTTAACTCAATAGCTAGAATTTAGAAGCATCTTCTCCTATGAATAATCCATACCAGAAAAAAAAATCTTGATAAAACAGAATACACAAATCAGATCTGACTTATCTCCAAAGCAAGTATCTGCTAATCCCTGTACAGAAAGGGAACCAATATCTGATTACCTACTACATACTTTTCTTTCTTCAAAGAATGTTTTATTTTTCACTTCATTACATTTTTGGGAATCTTGATTTTTATCATATTATCAATAAGTGAACAGTCTAAACATCAATCTTTAATAAAAATTGTACTTGGTCATATAGTATTAGGTGATAATACTTAGTTTAATAAACACATGGCCTTCATCCCTAAATTTTCCAGGAGAATATTTTATGAAACTTTACCTCAAGAGTTAACAAAAGACACATAAAGAGAGTTAACACATAGAAAAATACACTTAGGCCAAGGTGGGCAGATCACCTGAGGTCAGGAGTTTGAGACCAGGCTGGCCAACATGGTGAAACCCCATCTCTGCAAAAAATATAAAAATTAGCCAGGCGTGGTGGCGCTTGCCTGTAATCCCTGCTACCGGGGAGGCTGAGGCAGGAGAATCACTCGAACTCGGGAAGCAGAGGTTGCAGTGAGCCGAGATCGCACCACTGCATTCTAGCCTGGGCAACAGTGAGACTTTGTCTCAAAAAAAAAAGAAAAGAAAAATATACTTTAAAAAGGTGCATGCATTTTGTAATATTTTAAAATAATTTCCAGCAATCAACTTCTGGTACTTTTTCCTTTACAAATCTCAAATTTCAAATGTATAAGGAGTTTCTTAGGACTTCAAAGTACATGAAACAATAATTGAACAGAAATGAAAGGAAGATATACAAATCCACAATGATCAGGATTTCAGTGTTCCACTCTCAGTAGCTAATAAAAGTAGTCACAAAATCAGTCAAGACACAGGAGACTTGAAGACCACCATGAATCAACTTGATCTAACTGATATTTAGGGAACACTCTACCTAATTACAACAGCATGCACATTCTTTTCAAGCGCCCATAGAATATTCCCCAAGACAGAGCATATGCTGAGCCATAAATCTCAATAAAGGTGAAAGAATTAGAAGAAATTACAAAGAAAATTTAAAAAAGATTTTGAATTGAATAAATATGAAAATGCAACATATTAAAAATTTGTGGGATATGGCAATGTCAGTGTTTAGATGGACATTTAAAGCTTAAAATGTTTGTATCAAAAATGATGAAAGGTCCAAAATCAATTATCTAAACTTCCTCCTTATGAAGCTTGAGAAAAGAAAATTAAACCCCAAATAAGTAAATGGAAGAAACAAGAGAAAAAGAACAAAAATAAAGCAGAAAACAGACATACCACAGAGAAAATCAATAAAGCCAAGGGCTTACTAAAAAAAAAAAAATCAATAGAGCCAAGAACTTATTTTTTAAAAATAAACAAACTCCAGATAGACTGATCAAGAAAAGAAGAAGGAGGAGAGATAGAGTAGGAGAAAGGAGAGAAGAAGGGGTTAGGAAGGAAAAGGAGAAGGAAGCACGGAGACAGAGTGAGAGGACACAAATTACCAATATCAGTAAAGAAAGAAGAGACATCACTACAGATACTACAGACTTACATACAATAAGAGAATATTATAGGCCGGGCGCGGTGGCTCACGCCTGTAATCCCAGCACTTTGGGAGGCCGAGGCGGGCGGATCACGAGGTCAGGAGATCGAGACCATCCCGGCTAAAACGGTGAAACCCCGTCTCTACTAAAAATACAAAAAATTAGCCGGGCGTAGTGGCGGGCGCCTGTAGTCCCAGCTACTTGGGAGGCTGAGGCAGGAGAATGGCGTGAACCCGGGAGGCGGAGCTTGCAGTGAGCCGAGATTGCGCCACTGCACTCCAGCCTGGGCGACAGAGCGAGACTCCGTCTCAAAAAAAAAAAAAAAAAAAAAAAAAGAGAATATTATAAACAACTTTATACAAGTAAATTTAATAATTTAGATAATATAAACAAGTTCATTGACAGATAATCAAAACAGATTCAAGGAGAAGAAGAAAATCAGAATAGCCCTATATCTGCATAATGAATTTTATAATTAAGTCTTCAAGAAAGCTCCAGGCCCAGAGGCCTTCACTGGTGAATGCCACCAAAATTTAAAGAAGAAATGCTATTTCAACACAAACACTTTTAGAAAATAGAGGAGGAAGGAATATTTTCCAACTCATTTTCTGAGGCCAGCATTACCCTGATATCAAAACTAGACAAGAATATTAGAAGAACACTAAAAACCAATATCTCTGTTGAATTGAATTCAACAGATTTAAAAAGATCCTTAATAAAATAATGGGAAATGGAATGTAGTGAAATATTTTAATAAAGGGTAATATACCATGACCAAGAGTGGTTTATCCCAAGAATGGAAGGCTGATTTAACATTCAAATGGCAACCATGTACTTCATCATATTAACAAAATAAGAAAGAAAAAACACATACTTATCTCAATAGATGCGGGGAAAAAACATATGATCTATTTCAACACCCATTCATCATAAAAACCCTCAGCAAAAGGAGAAGTCCATCAACCTGATAAAAGGTGTTTACAAGAACCCTGGTTAACACTATACTCTATGGTGAGAGAGCTTTCCTTCATCGAGAGGGAACAAGGCTCTTCCCACTTCTATCCAATATAGTATGGGAGGTTCTGGTCAACAAAGTAAGACACACAAAGGAAGTTAGTTAAGCAATCACAGATATAAGGTCAATATACAAAAATAAATTCTATTTCCATATACTGGCACCAAACAACTGGAAACTAAAATAAAAATATGCAATATACAATAGCATCAAAAGCCACAAAATACTTAGGGATAAACTTTACAAAGTATCTACAAGACTTGGACACTGCAAACTACAAAACATTGCTGAGAGAAATTTATAACTACCAAAATAGAGATTTATGCCATAGATTTACTATTGCTGAGATGTCAAATCTTCCCAAATTGATTTATAAATTCAATGGAATTCCAACAAAATTCCAAGCATTTTTGTAAAAACTGATAAGCTGATTCTAAAATGTACATGGAAATGTTAAGGACCTGGAATAACCAAAAACAATTCTAAAAAGAACAATAACAGAGAATTCGTATCACTTGACTTCAAAAATTAGGTATCAACAGGGTGAGGTACTGGTAAAGGACAGACAGATCAAAAGAACAGAATAGAGTCCAGAATAGACCATTACAAATATGTTCAACTGATTTTCAACAAGCTACCAAGGTAACTCAATGGGAAAAAAGCCAGTGTTTTTAATAAATGGTGCTATAACAACTGTGT
Source organism: Homo sapiens (assembly GCF_000001405.40). Taxonomy (NCBI): domain Eukaryota; kingdom Metazoa; phylum Chordata; class Mammalia; order Primates; family Hominidae; genus Homo; species Homo sapiens. The sequence goes on along the minus strand of NC_000021.9, from coordinate 33,777,192 downwards.
ATCAGTATGTAAAAATATAAACCTCAACCTTTACCTTATACTATCTGCAAAAATCAACTTGAAATAGCTCATAGACCTAAACATATAAGATACAACTATGAAACTTAAAATTTTAAGTTTTTTTCAATTTATAAAAACTTGTAAAAATTATTTTTTTAAGCCCCAAAAACTTCTAGAAGAAAATAAAATATTTGCAGTCATGGGGTAGTCAAAGATTTCTCAGATAGAACATAAAAAGCATGAACACCAAAAGAAAAAAAACGGTAAACTGAACTTCATCAAAATTTAAAACTTCTGCCCTTTAAAAAATACCACTAACAAAAATTAAACCCAAGCCAGATTGGGAGAAAATATTTGCAAAACACGTATCTGACAAAGGACTTGTTAAGAATATAAAAAGAACTTTTACAAGTAAATAGTAAGACAAACAGCCCAATAAAAAATGGGCAAAAGATTTGTTCAGACACTTCAACGAAGATGCACAGTAAAAAATACTCGCCAATAAACATGTAAGATGATTCCCAACATCATTAGCCTTCAGGGAAATACAAATTAAATGATCAGAATGTAAAATGGTACAAACTCTTTGCAGTTTGTCAGTTCTCTTTCTTTCCTTTCTCTTTTCTCTCTCTTTTTTTTTTTTTTTTTGAACAGGGTCTCATTCTGTGGCCCAGGCAGTCAGTGGCTCAATCATAGCTCACTGCAGCCTCGATATCGTGGGCTCAAGTGGTCTTCCTGCCTCAGGCAGGTACTACAGGTGAACGCCCCCATGCCAGCTAATTTTTAAGTTTTTTTTTTTTTTTTTTAGAGATGGGGTCTTGCTATGTTTCCCAGGCTGGTCTCAAACTCCTGAGCTCAAGCAATCCTCTTACCTTGCCCTCTCAAAGTATTGGGTTTACAGGTGTGACCCACTGTGCCCAGCCTGACAGTTTCTTATGGGGTTAAATATACACTTACATGACACAGTAGTTCCATTCCTAAAAGTTTACCCAAGAGAAATAAACCATTTCCACATAAAGACTTGTACATAAATGCTCACTGCAGTTTTATTCATAAAAGTTCCACACTGGAAAGAACCTGAATATCAACCAGTAGGTGAATGGACACATAAGGAAACACTACTCAGTGATGAAAAGAAACAAAAGAGTCATTCACTCAGTAACATGGACACATCTCAAAAACATCATGCTGAGAAAAAGCCTAACATAAAGGAATCACAGGCAAATATGATCATCCACAGGCAATATTTACATGAATTTGATGCCCCTGTAGTTCAGCACTTGATACCAAACCAGGTGATATTATAACAACTTTGGATAGGCTTTAAAATGAAGACAGAACTACTAAAAGTGCTCTGTATGTCTCCAACTATTTAGTATACATATAGCTCTCATATGACCCCCTAAAATACTTAAGTGTACTTATTTATTGTAATTACCACAGTAAAGCCAAAGTCCTGTTGGTGGACTACAGGTTCTGTGTGATCCAGCTCCCACCTGCTCTACCCAGTAGTCTCCTTGCTGTAACTGGCATCTCAGAGTCCTGCTACGACCTCAGGACTTTGGCACTATTTCCCTGCCTAGATCTTGCTCTGCCAGATACCCACATGGCTTAGCCTGTCATTAATTTCAAGTCTCTGCTCAAATGTCACCATCCAGAAAGACCTGTCTTGGCTACCTTAGTTAAAATCACAACATTTCCTATCCCTAGGACTCTCTATTCCCTTCCCTACTCACTCTCCATAGCACTTTTCATCTTCTAATACAGTACACACTTTATTTTGTTAGTCTCTGTTCCTCCTGCAAACAGAGGGTAAGCTCCCAGAAGACAGAGTGTCTGTCCCTGCTGTAGCCTCAGAAACTGCAAAAGCACCTGGCCCGAAGCAGTGCTCAGTAAATATTTGCTGAGTTTGTCTCCTTGACAGGCTACTTTTCACACAAGGACCCTGTCTACTTCATTTTTGCTTCCCAGTGCCTAGTACAAGACAGTTGCTTAATGTTTACTGAATAAGTAAGTAAATGAAATGAATTAGAGAAAAGGATGCCAGTTTAATATAATAGCTTTTAAGAGGCATATTTCCTCACCTGTAATTGTTGCTGTAGATGGGTGATTTCGGCAATTCTCAACTCTCTAGATTTGTTTGTGCTCTCAATTTCTTGCCTTTGGGTGGTCAATCGACATCTGATATCTTGAAGTTTCCCTTCTAGTTGATGCTTTTTATCATTCTTGAACAAATGAAAGATAATAAAAATTATTACTGTTTTTAATGGTTCCATCTTAGTATATTTTCAAAGTATAACCAAACTTCACTCACTAGAGCTTCTAATTCAAATTCCAAAGTCTTTTTCTTTGCTTTCAGTACAACTATGTCCTCTTGTTCTTTGTTTCTTTGATTTAGTAGTTCTTGCCTTCGATTCCGTTCCCACTCAAGTTGTCGTTGCCTTTCAAGTTCCCGTTTTGCAGCCTGTGACATTTACAGAGACAAATTACTAATTTTTCAGTTCTTACACTACACAATGTCTTTTCACAAAAATGGCATCTAGGAAGTCTTTCCTTTTAGGGATGAAATATTAAACATTACAAGAAATCACATTAGAAAACAAAAAATTACATAAAAATACAGTATTCCTTCTATGGGAATAAAGGGAATACACAGAACTGGGTATTATATTTACATAATACTATATTTACGTAAGATGACAGGATTATTTCCCCATTAGAATTCCATTCTTTATGCCTTCAAGAATGCTTGATGTGCTAACTAAAAATGCTCCTTCTTATTTACTGACACGCCAAGAAGGAAAATTTATGTAGTAAAATCAAACTAAAACACCCCTGAACAAAAACAAACAAGAGTTGATTTTACTCCACCAAAAGAGAAATTATTACTTAACTCGTTTTAAAAGTCTGCGACTCCCCACTTCCTAATCATTCATTTCCTTTTTACCACAAAAGCTTTTGCTCCCTCCAACGACTGGCTCTGACGACTGCTAGATAGAGTACATATCAGAGCATCTGACAGTCTATGGGAATTGCCTCTGACTCATGGGTCATCCAACTACACCTGATACATGGTAAATGTCTATTAAATAATTCTGAATAAATACTCTAGAATATCATTTTTTTGGTACGTTGAAGAAAAGTTTGCCTATCTTTGTTCATTCTGAAAATTAAAATTTTGTTAGTGTCTGTCTGAACAAAAAGGAGTTACGGGGCCGGGCGCAGTGGCTCACGCTTGTAATCCTAGCACTTTGGTAGGCCGAGGCAGGCGGATCACCTGAGGTCAGGAGTTCGAGACCAGCCTGGGCAACATGGCGAAACCCTGTCTCTACTAAAAATACAAAAATCAGCCAGGCATGGTGGCTCACGCCTGTAATCCCAGCTACTCCGGAGGCTGAGGCAGGTGAATCACTTGAACCCAGGAGGTGAAGGCTGCAGTGAACTGAGATCGTGCCACTGCACTCCAGCCTGGGCAACAGAGCGAGAGTCTGTCTCAAAAAAAAAAAAAGGAGTTATGGCTATAAGTTTTGTTTCTTTCTTTTTTTGAGACAGGTTCTTGCTCTGTCACCTAGGCTGGAATGCAGTGGCCTCCAACTACTGGCCTCAAGTGATCATCCCTCCTTAGCCTCCCAAAGTGCTGGGATTACAGGCTTGAGGCACAGCACTCAGGCTATTTTTTTACATCGAAAAATTCCTCATTTTTATCTTTCATTCACATGAAAGAACCATGTGTTGCTTCTGCAGTAATGTACTAAAATTGGAAAGAGAGACAAGATTTGCTTAGCCCCTTTCCAGGTATGGCGCTAAATTTACGAAGCCTTCCATAGAATATAGGGAGGATGTCCCAGACATATTTTTAAAAGAGTTTAAAAAGAAGGTTGCATGGGCCAGGCGCGGTGGCTCATGCCTGTAATCCCAGCACTTTGGGAGGCTGAGGCGGGTGGATCACCCGAGGTCAGGAGCTCGAGATCAGCCTGACCAACATGGTGAAACCTCATCTCTACTAAAAATACAAAATATTAGCTGGGCGTGGTGGCGGGCACCTGTAATCCCAGCTACTCAGGAGACTGAGGCAGGAGAATCGCTTGAACCCAGGAGGCAGAGGTTGCAGTGAGCTGAGATCATGCCACTGCATTCCAGCCTGGAAGTGACAGAGCGAGACTCTGTCTCAAACAAAAAAAAAAAAAAAAAAGAAGATTGCAGAACAATGTAATTGGTATGATACTATTACAGTGGTTTTTAAAAAATTATACAGCCCTTACACTCTCCGCCATATAAACCTTTATATTTTTATATAGGTGTATACAGAGAAAACAGTCTGGAAAAACACTTTACTGGTATCAGTGGTTTGTTACAAAATTGTATCATCAAAAACTTGTACATTAATGTTCATAACATCATTGTTTATAATAGCCACAATGACCATCAACTGCTGAATGAATTAAAAAATGTGGTATACCCATATAACGAAATATTACTCAGCCATAAACAGGAATAAAGGACTGATTCATTTTACAATGTGGATGAACCTTGAAAACATTATGCTAAATGAAAGCCAGAAACAAAAGTCCATATATTGATGATTCCATTTATAAAAAATGTCCTGAATAAGTAAATCTAGAAAGATAGAAAGTAAAATTAATGATAGGAGCTGGAGGGAGAAAGAAATGGGGAGTAGCTGCTTAATGGGTAAAGAGCTGGAGTGATGAAAATGTTCTGGAATTAGGGACGATGGTTGCACAACTTTGGGAATATACTAAAACTACTGAATTGTAAAAAGACAAAGATGGCGTGAATAGATCACTTGGATAATTCTGAAAAGGGGTGATCGCACACTAACTCCGGGTGGCTCCACTCTCGCCTGCTTACCTCTCGCCTCTCAATTTCTTTCCTCCTCTCCTCCTCTCTCTGCCGTTCTAGCTCCCGCTGCTTTTCCAGTTGCTTCTCCAGTTCCAGTTGTCTTTTGCGCTCTTGCTCCTGGCGCTCACGCTCCTTCCTCTCCTGCTCCGCCCGCTCCAGCTGGGCCAGGCGCTCCTGCTCCTTGCGCTGCTGTTCCAGGAGAGCTTGCCTTCGTTTCTCCAGTTCCAGGTTGCCACGTTCAAAGTTCTCCCGCTTCTTATCTTCAAACGTTACTTCAGACAAGGAACACAGCAACTATGAAAACTCAAGATTTTCAACGGACTCTTTTCAAAGGAAAACTCACCAATGTATTTGAAATTTGTAGTACAAACCCAAACCCAGAACTCCCTAAGCTTCTGTGTCCTTGTTAATGAGCACAACGAAAACCCCCTTTGCCTAACCTCTCTGTTTATATCTTCTCCTCCACGCCAAACACTGTTTCTAAAAGATCCTTATCTAGCAGTTCTACATCACCATCCAGACTCCTTTCCTTCCCTGTTACTCCATCCTTTCCCTTCTTCCCATGAGCTTGCCCTAGGAATTAACCCCCTCTCTTCTGGACCATGAGTCTCTGTCTCTCTCCCTCCTTCCCTTTGCCTTGTAACCGTGCTGATGAGTCCTCTATTCTAACAAGATTTCTCAAAGCAGAGTGAAAGGTGAGCATTCGGCTTTTCACACTGAAGAACAAGCTGTGCCCTGATCCCTATGGAGATCACAGTCAGTCAACAATTTTTTCTAACCCATTATTCAGTTTCCTTCTTTAACACATCAATTATAAATTTAGAATGATTACTCAGTTCTATCCTTTTTTTTCTAATACTTTATGTCCATTTTATTTCTTCATTTTCTACAATCCCATCATCCTTGTCCCTTACTGTCCTCAGCAGTGTCTATTTCATTTCTGTGTTGGCCTCACGCAATCCTCCTTGGTACCAACGCCGGCCAGGGGAGCACTCATTGCCACCCTGTGCAGCATGCCAGTCCCTGGTCCACATCTAAGAACCATTGCTTCTCACTCTGCCTTGAGATCTGCAGCTGTGAGCATCCATCTTTGGCTTCTTCCCACATTCCTGTTTGGACTTCACTGCTTTAGACAGACTTCCTTCACGTACTGTAGTCAGCGATTAGAGATGAAAGCGGGCAAGTATGTTTTGGTTTTCTTGCTCACCTTTGGTGATTTCAGAGGAGATGGTATCCTCTACTCTGATATCTTAAAATTCAAAGTCCTGGCTGGGTGCAGTGGCTCACACCTGTAATCCCAGCACTTTGGGAGGCTGAGGTGGGCAGATCACTTGAGGTCAGGAGTTCCATACCAGCCTGGCCAACATGGTGAAACCCAGTCTCTACTAAAAATACAAAAAAATTAGCCAGGTGTGGTGGCAGGCACCTTTAACCCCAGCTACTTGGGAGGCTGAGACAGGAGAATCGCTTAAAGCTGAGAGGCAGAGGTTGCAGTGAGACAAGATTGCGCCACTGCACTCCAGCCTGGGTGACGAGCAGACTCTGTCTCAAAAAAAAAAAAAAAAAAATTCAAAGTCCCCCTCCCACAGAAAGGGATGATGTAATGATACATGCTGCAAGGTGGATGAATCTCAAAAATATTGTGCCAAGTGAAAGATGTCAGTCATAAACAGTCATATATGATTCCATTTATATGAAATATCCACAACAGGTAAATCCCAAGAATCAGAAAGCAGATTGGTGGTTGCCAGGGGCTGGAGGGAGTGATGGATATGGAGTTTTGTTGTGAGGTGAGGAAAGTATCTTGGGACAAGAGAGGTTGTGGCTGCAAGGCACTGTGAATGCACTAAATGTCATTGTTAGGAACTGAATGTTTGTGTCGCCTCACCAAAATCCATATGTTTAAGCCCTAATTACCCTAATGTGATATTTGGAGATGGAGCCTCTGGAAGGTTAAGATTAGATTAGCTGGCCAGGCACGGTGGCTCACGCCTGTAATCCCAGCACTTTGGGAGGCCGAGGCAGGCAGATCACCAGAGGTCAGGAGTTCAAGACCAGCCTGACCAACATGGAGAAACCCTATCTCTACTAAAAATAAAAAATTACCTGGGTATTATGGCACATGCCTGTAGTCCCAGCTACTCGGGAGGCTGAGGCAGAAGAATCGCTTGAACCCGGGAGGCGGAGGTTGTGGTGAGCCAAGATCGCGCCACTGCACTCCAGCCTGGGCAACAAGAGCAAAACTCCATCTCAAAAACAAAATAAAACAAAAAAAATTAGCCGTTGAGAGTGGGGCCCTTATGATAAATTAATATCCTTATAAAAAGACAGGGACTGCCGAGCGCAGTGGCTCACACCTGTAATCCCAACACTTTTTGGGAGGCCAAGGTGGGTGGATCACCTAAAGTCAAAAGTTCAAGACCAGCCTGACCAACATGGTGAAACCTCCGTCTCTACTAAAAATACAAAATTAGCTGGGTGTGGTGGCACATGCCTTTAGTCCCAGCTACTTGGGAGGTTGAGGCAGGAGAATCGCTAGAACCCAGGAGGCGGAGGCTGCAGTGAGCCGAGATTACGCCATTGCACTCCAGCCTGGGCAACAAGAGCGAAACAACCGTCTCAAAAAAAAAAAAGGCAGAGACAGAGATAGAGAAAACAGAGAGAGGAGAGATCTGTCTCCCTCTGCATGCACAAACCAAGGAAATCCCATGTGAGCAAAAAAACTGAAGGCTGCTGTCTGCATGCTACGAAGAGGGCCCTCACTGGGAACCAAATCTGCACACCGTGATCTTGGACTTCCAGCCTCCAGAACGGTGAGAGATAAAATTCCCACTGTTCAAGCTGCCCGGTCTATGCTATTTTGTTATGGTAGTCCAAGCAGACTAAGACAGCCTCTGAACTGTACATTTTGTATTATGTGAATCTCATCTCAATTTAAAAAACTCTCCAAGTCTCTATACATCTTTTTAATTCCAGCATCTGGCAATATTCCTAGTATGTAGGAGGCATATAATAAACGGCTGTTGAAGGAATGAATGCACAAATGAAATCTCTGATAATGTTGCTTCCTGTTCAAAATTTTAAATGAATGTCTACTAAAAACAGAAAAAGAAAATTCTGCATTCCAAGCATTCCTGTCCTTATCTGCCATTGAAATTTCATTCTCATTGTTATCAAAACCTGAACTATTCTCACTTCCACTTGTGGTGACCCTATTCATCTTCAACTCTCAACTCAACTGTGACCTCTTCCACAGACATTTAATTCCTCATATCTTCCCCAGTCTACACCAACCAACCATAAGTGAGGTCTGTTGTGCATCTATAATACTCTCCAGGAATTTATCCCACTCACATACTGCTGAAGTGATTGCTTATATGGATGTCTTAAATCCTCTAATATATTTTAAAGGTTCTAGAAAGTATGAACCATGTATTAACATTTAGATTCTTTGCTCAACATGCAGGCTTGCACGTAAAATATTTCCAATAGTATTTCATCAGTGAACAAAAGGTAATTTAGTTTAGACAATAAACTGGGACAGCCAGTGTTCTGACCAGACCAATTAACTGCTGAGCATCTTAAATGCAGCAAAATGACACTGACAAAGTATTTATCATAAAAGACTCCATAATTTCATTTGCTTCTTAGTATCATTATCATCTCATCATTAATAATTCATAGCCACCTTAGAATATTTTAATAGTATGATGGATTTATCATTGTAAATGAGTATTATTTAAAATAGGTTCAGCTGGGCACAGTGACTCACGCCTATAATCCCAGCACTTTGGGAGGCTGAGGTAGGTGGATCACTTGAGGTCAGGAGTTTGAGATCAGCCTGGCCAACATGGTGAAACCCCATCTCTACTAAAAATACAAAAATTAGCCGGGCGTGGTGCATGTGCCTGTAGTCCCAACTACTCCAGAGGCTGAGGCAGGAGAATCACTTGAACCTGGGAGGCGGAGGTTGCAGTGAGCCTAGATTGCGCCACTCCACTCCTGCCTGGGTAACAGAGTGAGACTCCATCTCAAAAAACAAAATAAATAAAATAAAATAGGTTCACATTAAATTTAAAATAGGTTCCTGCAATTAAGGAGTTTCCAATTCTCTTATAACAACATGAGAAAACAACAGTAGATGATTTGATTTTCTATTTCTGCACTGGTGGTATTAAGCAATCACCTTAATACTCATCAGTTTTTAGTGCTGTATATTCTATGGATAACATTTACATAATTTTTGTTTAGCAGTTTATAATCAGATTTCAAGTTACAAGTTAGAACAACGGTGCATTAGCAGAGTGCATAATGTTCTTATTTCTCTATCCAGACCCAAATCCACAAGCTTAATTAACAATTATCTCCAACTAAGGTCAGTTAAGTTACAAGGCAAAAATGTCAAAAACTAAATTTATGTTTACCTCTATCTTTGTCTTAGAGATAGGAAATCTCTAATTTCGTTTAATCTAAATGATTTAACTCAACATAAAGGCTGCCTTACCAGGTAATTTCTTTTCTAATTGTTGTTGTTCATCTTCTAAAACTGGTTCCTCTGGTAGCCTCTGATCTACAGATGTTGAGCTTATGACAGATATACCACTGCCAGATCGAACTCTTCTGCAATTGCGGGGAAAAAGAAAAATAGATTCACACAGAGCTGTCTGGGTGGAGTTGGACAAGTTATGAAGAAGGATTTTTAAAGATTTTACCATGCCATGGAGCAAATTTCATTTACAGTAAGGAAAATATAAAGATTTGGTCTTCTCTATTTACAAAGAGTTTTTTAATGAATATTGGAATGTCATCAGACTCTGAGTGCCAAGCTTAAGAATCACCACCAAAATTGAAACAATTCCAAAGGATGAAAGTAGTTAATAATCAAAAAGTGGTAAGAACAATGCCTGGGACATGGTGAGCACTAAGTGGGAGCTGCTATTTCCATTGCCCTCTCAAGTAACCTTAAATTCCTCCAAGGGAAGATCAGCAGCTCAGCTCACTAGGAGCATCTCTCTTCCCTTTCCCATCTCTCCATTTCACCCCCTAAGAAACACATGCAATGTCTATATAGTTCGTAAAACAAATCACTTTGTTTACTAATTTCTTCCACTTTACACTTTTATTTATTTATTTATTTATGTCATTTTATTTTATTTTATTTTTTGAGACAAAGTCTCACTCTTGTCCCCCAGGCTGGAGTGCAATGGTGCAATCTTGGCTCACTGCAACCTCCGCCTCCTGGGCTCAAGCGATTCTCCTGCCTCAGCCTCCCGAGTAGCTGGGATTACAGGCACCTGCCACCACGCCTGGCTAATTTTTGTATTTTTAGTAGAGACGGGGTTTCACCATGTTGGCCAGGCTGATCTCAAACTCCTGACCTCAAGTGATCCACCCGCCTCGGCCTCCCAACGTGCTGGGATTACAGGCGTGAGCCACCGCACCACCCTCCCCACTTTACACTTTTAACTTTGCTGTGTTTAAACCGTCTCCCAATCCTTTTTACGCATTCATTATCAGCTTCCAATGTTGCAGTTGTGGGATTTCACAGGCAAAGTGCCTCAGCTATCTGTTGCTTCCTACATAGTCACAGTTTCCTCAGCTTGCTCCTGTACCACGTGTGTGCTGACAGTAATGGCTCTATTTCTCTTCATTTAAAGGGGATTTTGCCCCAGTCCTTCCTGCAGTTTGAGGACTCAGGTCAGAAATCTTAATCTTTCTTTCATTCTCCTTTGTACTTGTAAGATCTCATATTCAGTTTTTATGTTCAAAGCCAGGAGACAGAGCTGTCCTGGACAGCGTGTGCATGCATGCATGGATGTAAATGAGGATGCCAGTCACAATACTGGACCTCAGGTGACTCTCTTGACATCTTTACTGAGACTGTCTTTCAGTCCAGGGTAATTTTCTTTGTCTTCCTGATTATAATTTCTACATTGCTAGCAGCTTTTGTTACCACTGAAATGTGTGGAATTCACAAGTGTGATCTCCTTGGTTTCTTCTCTATGCATAGGCTCATGCAGTTTCTCTCTTGCTGCTGGCATCTGTTGTGAAAATTTCTGGTAAGCATTGATGACATAGGTTGGTAGAAAATCAACAATCTATTGATGTTTTACTTCATTGTTTCACTAATATACTTCAAGTACTTTGAAGAACAAAATGGGCCCAAGATTAACATAGACCTAGATGAGAGTCTCTAGAATTCACGGATACTTAGTTTCCTTGTCAGGGATGAAAATCAGGTAAGACACATAGTCAATAAAGCCAAGTTTGGAATTCATATACTCCGCATACAATTCCTGATCAGAGCCCATGTTCCTTACCTAAAAGAAGGTGGAATGTATTCTGGAGGCAGGACAGGTGGCAGTGGTTGGCCAGACATAGCTACATCAATGAGGTGCATTGCCAGGATAAATTCCTCTGCTGTAAGTTTTCCATCTTGATCAATGTCAGAAAGATTCCTATTCAACAAAAAGTTAACTGTAATCCGGTTTCATGAAAATTCATGCTTTTTACTATTCATTAGTGATTTAAAAGTTATGTTTTCTTATTGACCACAGGCCAACTGAGTCTCTTTGTCCCTCATTTTGTCAAAATAGTACCTATTTTATACTGCTGCAAAGATAAAATTACAGGTAGTTGGGACAGTGTTCCTCATTCAACAAATGCTATGATTATAATGATACTCTTCCCCAACCTTTGCATATTTAACATATAATACACTCATATTCCATGAATCTTTTTTAACAGATGAGCTCTCACTGTTACCCAGGCTGATGTGCAATGACATGATCACAGTTCACTGCAGCCTCACTGCAGTCATGATCACAGCTCACTGCAGACTCACTGCAGTCATGATCACAGTTCACTGCAGCCTCACTGCAGTCAAGATCATAGTTCACCACAGCCTTTCCGGGCTTAAATGATCCTCCTGCCTCAGCCTCCCAAACGTGAGATTACAAGGTGTGCGCCACCATGCCTAGCTAATTTTTAAAATATTTTGTAGAGATGGGGGTCTCACTGTGTTGCCCAGGCTGATCTGTCCTGGCCTCAAGTGAGCCTATCAAATCGCTGGGATTATAGGCATAAGCCACCATACCCAGCTCTATATTGTTAAATGTTCTGCTCTAGACCAGGAAATGACAAACTATCAGTAAAGGGTCAGGTAGTAAATATTTTACAGTTTATAAGACATACAATCCTTATCATACTGAATTCTGTCATTTTGGCAGAAAGTAGCCATAGACAACATATAAATGAATGGGCATGGCTATTTGTACGATAAAAACTTTCTTCACAAAAACAGATGCAGGCCAGATTCGGCCCACTGGGCAGAGCTGGCCACCCCTTAATCTAGGCCTACACAGTGGATCTTTATGAACTCCAGCCACAGAGTCTAAGTGTTTCCTCTTCCTCAATCTCAGGATTCAATCTCCATCATTCTTCATAATGAACTTGCCCAAGTAGCTAATTACAGCAAACATTCTCCTGGCAAGTCCAAGAATGTGATTTTACTAAACAATTTCTGGACCATCAAAAGAAGATACATGACAACACATCCATTCACTAGAATGTCAACAGGACAAATGCAATGGGAAACTGGTTTTGCCAATGCCAAAAATTAAGAAACCTTCTTAATTCTGAAATTTCCTTAGGTGCTATAAACTTTTTTTGTTATAATTTCCATAAAGTAGAATGCACACCTTCTAGAGTATAGGTCTGAGAGTTTTGACAAACATGAACCACAACATACAGAATAGTGTCAGCTCTACCTAAAATTCCACATCTGATTGTAGCAACTCCCTCCTTTGCCCCCATCCCCTGGCAACTGCTGATCTTTTTTCTGTTCCTCTAGTTTTGCAAGATACCCATATGCAAGATACCCAGTTTTAAAAAGAAATGCAAATGAAATAAAATGAAACCCCTGCCCGCTCTTCCTTATTCTGTTCCTTTTTGTGTCTCACAATTAGCCAGTCCTAGGTAAACCAGTTAGAAGGTGGCTGAAATTCTTGTTTTTTCACCACACTTACCTAAATTATGATTATAAGCATTTAATTAAAATATCTTTTTTAGTGTGTAGCACCAGAATATAACATTCTAACAGAAGAAGCCTCAAGCGTTTTTCTCAAATAGGATAAGTTATAAATGAGAAATTTAAAATAAATATTTCAATATAATCTGGTATCATGAGAACAACCTAATAAATTGTCAACCAACCTCCATTAATGTTAGATCTTAAGTTTATATTTCAGGGGGCCCTAGGATACTGTTCAATACCCTGATTTAAAGAGTTCTGGGTGTGTCAAAGATATAAGATGTTTATTAACTGGTCTGGTCTACTGCCAAAGGCAAGCTCTTTCATACAAAACAGAAGGGAAGAGAAGGGCAAAGGAAGCTGCATTAGAGCTTGATCATTTGTGAAACAACCCTATCAATGTGGCCTGCAAGAAAATCACGAACTTTGCAGTGAGTCTTGTAGACAAAGTTTATTTTCCAGGGACAATCACCAACATACAGCTATAACATGCACACTTCTTAAGAAACCATTCTAGTTAACATTTAAATTTAAGGAAGCCTGTAGGACCCAGGCAATGCTCATCGATAGCTATTCAAAATCATTACACAATAGAGACATTATGTGCCTTTTGAGGAGAGTACACAGAGACCTCTCTGGCACAGTCTTATCAAAAACAAAACAACAAAACAAAAAAAAAAATCAAATCTGATCCGCAATTCTCAACCAGGGAAGATTTTGTACCCCAAGGCACATCTATCAAAGTCTGGAGACATTTCTGATTGTCATGCTGGGTGTGGAGCTCATGCTACTGGCATCTAGCATCCAGTGAGTAGTGGCCACAGATGCTACTGAACATCCTACAGTATACAGGACATCCCCCAACAACAAAGATTTATCGGGCCCAAAATGTCAATAGTGCTGGGGTTGGGAAACTTTGCTCTAGATCTAATTATCAATTTACAGGAAATACAGAAACAAATTAGACAATCCCACAGTGACGCACTCTTCAAAAGTTAAGCCATTAAGAAACTACAGGACAAATGATCTGGTTTGTTTTTAACGGAGTTTTTTTTTTTTTTTTTTTTTTTTGGTTGGGGGGCGGCCTGGGGGACTTGGGAAAAGAAGCAGAGAACAAGACAAGGGGAAATTTATAGATTAAAGGAGACATAAAAGATGGAAAACTCAAGTATTGCAAAATACAGGCTTATTTCAGTCCTGAGCTGAACAAATGAACTATAAAAACATTCTGAGGCACTCTAAGGAATGTGAACATTCCCTGATTAATTTAATGATAAGGATGACTACTGAAAAACTTAGGTGAGCTATTGCTGTTATGACTGTGCTAAGAAGAAAGTCGGTCAGGCGCAGTGCTCACCCCCGGAATCTCAGCATTTTGGGAGGCTGAGGTGGGCAGGTCACCTGAGGTCAGGAGCTCGAGACCAGCCTGGCCAACATGGCAACACCCTGTCTCTACTAAAAAAACAAAAATTAGCCAAGCGTGGGGGTTCATGCCTGCAGTCCCAGCTACTAAGGAGGCTGAGGCAGGAGAATAGGCTGAACCTGGGAAGTGGAGGTTGCAGTGAGCCAAGATGGCACCACTGCCATCTGGATGAAAGAGTGAGACTCCATCTCAAAAGTAATAATAATAATAATGAATGAAAAAAAGGAAAATCCCTCTCTTTTGAAGATAAAAGCTAAAATATTTGCAGTAGAAATTATATAATAACTAAGATTTGGCTTAAAATAATCAAAGAGGCTGGGCATGGTGGCTCACGCCTGTAATTCCAGCACTTTGGGAGGCTGAGGCGGGTGGATCATCTGAGGTTGGGAGTTCAAGACCAGCCTGACCAACATGGAGAAACCCTGTCCTACTAAAAATTCAAAATTAGCCGGGCATGGTGGTGCATGCCTATAATCCCAGCTACTCAGGAGGCTGAGGCAGGAGAATCGCTTGAACCCGGGAGGTGGAGGTTGCGGTGAGCCGAGATCGTACCACTGCACTCCAGCCTGGGCAACTAGAGTAAAACTCCATCTCAAAAAAAAAAAAAGAAAAAGAAATCAAAGACAGGGAGAGCCAAGACTGGTCACGAGTTGAGAATTGTTAAGTTGTATTATCACTCCTTCAGAATTTATTGTATTAATCTGCTTTTGTATTTTTCAAAATTGAGAGGGGAAATAGTATTATAAAAGAGGCAATCATTACAACTCACTGAAATTAAGCAAATTCTACATATTCCCCCATAAAAAACGGTATTAATCTAAAACCCATGAGGCCACACCAATCTAACCAAGTTTCCACTTTATCCAAACCAAAGAACTTTTCATTCCTTACCATATTGAAGCCAGCTGAGCCTGTGGTAAACTTGACTGCATAAGAATAGTTCTTGCTTGGGGACCTAAACAGGAACCAGGAAAAGGACATACAGATGAGTCAGCAAATACTCACTGTACAGGAGGACCAGGGTTCTGCGTATGTGGACTACTCCATGACCTCATGCAATCACAATGCTTTAAATAACATTTGCTACTACCGCAGGGGCTTTGTAAAAAGGAAATTAAGCCCCAATGAAAAAGAGGAGAAACACAGAGCACAGCATCTGACACATAATAAATTTTTGTTAAATGGATGTTTGATAAAGAATGACCATGTGAAAGATTTAGAGTTTCAAAATATAACCTGACCTTTTGTCCACATTACCATCTTTATTTGTATTGGGCTTTATTTACAAACTTGAAAGTTATTCTCTTTAAGTTTAACATCTTTTGCCGCTGCTACCACCTGCTGTCTCCACCCTGCTCAACCTCAGGCAAATTCAGGGAAGATTCGGAGAATCTTAGAGGAGGAAGGGACCTCGGAGAGATCTCCGGGAAACTGTTTCACTAAACAGACTTAAAAAGAAAAAAAAAAAAAGTTGCAGGAAGCGCTAATAGCCAGGATTAAAACACATTTCCAGCCTGGTGTGGTCACTCGTGCCTGTAATCCCAGCATTCTGGGAGGCTGAGGCAGGCAGATGGCTCGAGCTCAGGAGTTCAAGACCAGATGGCAAAACCCCATCTCCACCAAAAGTGCAAAAAATTAGCTGGGAATGGTGGCATGAGCCTGTGGTCACAGTTACTCGGGATGCTGAAGTAGGAGGATCGCTTGAGCCCCAGAGGCGGAGGCTGCAGTGAGCCAAGATTATGCCACTGCACTCCATCCTGGGCAACAGAGTGAGACACTGTCTCAATTAAAAAAACAAAACAAAACACATTTCCTATGTTAGCCAAGAAAAAAAAAAAAAAGAAGAATTCCTGGAATTTCTACTCTTCTCTCAAAATAAGCTCTCATTTCTTAAAATAATCATAAACATCTTCACTTCTGGTATGAAAGTGGCCTTAGACATCAGACAAACGCACAGTAGGAGACTCAGTTTAAATAAACTACAGTCAGAGAGGGAGAAATAAATACGTCTTCCTTTCCAGCACTGCCTCTCAAGATGTGGTCCCAGGAAGACTGCTGGACAGAGGAATGGAAGGCTGTGGCAATTTTGTTGGGAAGATTCTGGTGTATATGTTTTTGCTTTTTGCTATTTCTTTATTCAAACGTCACCTCATCAAAAACCACAAAACTGGATGTGTTTTTGCATGGCCAGCAGTAGAGGTCAGGGAACCAAGGAGCTGTAGGCTCTAGTCCTGGCTTAGTCTAGACTTTGCTGAGTGACTGGGCCAGGTAGTCTGGATCCTAGTTTGCTCATTTCAGATAAACCAGTCTATGATCCATTGGGGCAATGAGCTTAGCATCACATTAGCACATGAGAGGTGCTCTAATGGCAGGTAACATTACTGACAATAGTTCAACTTTTATTTACATATAAAATCCTGACAGAAAAGCACACATACGGATACATGTGGATATATACATGTGCACATGTACACAGCTGAATTAATTTTCCAAAGTGAAAATACTCAAACACTATGGAGGTCATGAAAGAGAGTATAATCGCACCCCAGATGCCCCTATTTGCCTCTCTTTTAGACTCAGCTACCACCAAGGTAGCCTAACTTCTAACCAAATAGCCTGTCCGCTGTTCCACCTGGCTTATTTTGCTCAATATATTGTCGTGTAGAGTTGTAGAACATTAATCCTCACTGCTATGGAGTGTATCATTGTGTCATTACATCCTAATTCATTGTCCATTCTACTGTTTTCTTTTCTTTTCTTTTTTTTTTTTGAGATGGAGTCTCGGTCTCGCTCTGTCACCCAGGCTGGAGTGCAGTGGCGCCATCTTGGCTCCCTGCAACCTCCTCCACCCGGGTTCAATGATTCTTCTGCCTCAGCCTCCTGAATAGCTGGGACTACAGGCATGCGCCACCACACCTGGCTAATTTTTCTATTTTTTTTAGTAGAGACAGGGTTTCCCCATGTTGGCCAAGCTGGTCTCGAACTCCTGACCTCACGTGATCCACCCGCCTTGGCCTCCCAAAGTGCTGGGATTACAGGTATGAGTCACTGTGCCCGGCCTGTCCATTATACTGTTGATAGGCATTCAGTTAGTCTTCAATTAGGGCTACTATTAATAGTGAGCATTCTAACTTTTGGTGAATATATGAACACATTCCTGCTGGATGTGTGTGCATACATGAGCACGTGTGTGTTTTGGGAGCATCTAAGAATAAAAAACAATCTACTGAATTCATGTGAAGATTCTAAAGGACTGTGGTACAATGGAATGAGCAAAGTTCAGGCATCACTTTCTTTAGTCTGTAACATTGTATCTAGAATGTTGGTAACAAAGTAGAATTAACAAAACTTTAGTGGGTGATTTAATTTACACTTGTAACAATTGCCCTTACTCCAGAACTATAAAAAAGGAAGTTAATATTTTATCTATTACACATAAAAAGCCTAACAATAAATGTGAAGAACTAGCTCTAAACCTGGATATCAGGGGACTTGGATTCTAGTCCTGACTCCCTAATGGCATGTGACATTAACAAAACTACTTTAACTTTCTAAAATGAAGTTCTTCCATCTGTGAAATGAGGAAAATAATCTACAACAGGGATTGGTAAATTATAGCCCTTAGGCCAGATCTGGCCCACTGCCTGTTTTGGTAAGCAAAGTTTTATTAAAACAGCCATATCCACTGATATAAGCATGATATATGGTTGTTGTCATGCTACGATGGCAAAGTTGAGTAGTTGCAGCAGAGAACATATGACCTATGAGCCTAAAATATTTATTGTGCTATTCTTTACAGAAAATGTTTGCCAATCCCCACACTAGAAGATCACAATTATCTCTTGTAATTCTACTATTTGTCTACATATGTCCTAAATCAATGTTGCAAAATATTAAAAATAGATCAGCAACAGCTAAGATAGCATCTTAGCACATTTGGACAACACACAGTTGAGCTTTGAGTGCACAGAACTCTTCTGTGGAAACCTAGGTACATAAAGGGATATCGGTTTTGGAGTACTGGCTTATAAGGGAACATAGGAATAAAACCAGAAATCCCAAGCACACAAACCCCACTTCTGGCATCCATGTTTGGGCAGGGAAGTATGGCTAGAAAGGAGAGAGTAACTACATGAAATGAGCTTTATTTAAAACAATGACTAAGACTTTAGCTTTTCTGATTAATAGATGAATTACCAAATAGCATATTCATTGTTTCAGAATGCAACAATAAAATACCTCTTTGAGAAGAAGGGCTAGCATTATTAACAGGAATACCAGAGTTCTAGAGCTTCTTACATAACCTTAATTAAAGAATGATCCCTCTCTATTTTATAAGGCAGTCTCTTTTAAGGGCATGCAACAGTTACACATCAAGCCATGAAGGAAGAACAGGGTGTCCAACAGGATGTATCGGCTAAATCAACCCAGATAGTCAGTGGGGTAAACAGTGCCACTATTAAGGCCAGACGCGGTGGCTCACGCCTATAATCCCACCACTTTGGGAGGCAGAGGTAAGCAGATCGCTTAAGCTCAGGAGTTCGAGACCAGCCTGGGGAACATGGCAAAACCCAGTTTCTACAAAAAATTAGCTGGGCATGGTGGCACATGCCTGTAGTCGCAGCTACTTGGGGGCTGAGGTGGGAGGATCCCCCGAGCCTGGGAAATCCAGGCAGCAGTGAACCATGATTATGTCACTGTACTTCAGCCTGGGTGCCTGTAATCCCAGTACTTTGGGAGGACAAGGTGGTAGGACTGCTTGAGGTCAGGAGTTCAAAACCAGCCTGGACAACAAAGATCCCACCTCTAAAGAAAACTTTTTTAAAAAAATTAGCCAGGTGTGGTGGTGCATGCACGCCTGTAGTCCCTGCTACTCAGGAGGCTAAGGTGAGAGGATTGCTTGAGCCCAGGAGTTCAAGGCTGCAGTGAGCTACTATCGCACCACAGCACTCCAGCCTGGGTAACAAAGCAAGTCTCTGTTTCAAAAAAAGAAAGAAAAGAAGTGCTTTTTAGCTCCTGAAAACAAAAACCCACAAAAAACAAAAGCAAGAAGGATGAAAAACAAGAGATTACAAATATAAATTATATATTTCTTTTGGGCCATGTTATATACTGAAACCTTTTCTCAACTTTCTTGATATTTTGCTTCTCCTGCAGCTGAGTGAACTGCTTTGGGGATTCTGACTTCATAAAATTATTTTTATAATTGTGATCAAGACAATGACCTTTATGTTCCATCCACCTCAACAAATCAGCTGTTTCCATCAACATTCTAATTTAGTATAAAACATACTTCATATTGATTCCTAAGTACATAAAGGGAAAAAAAATTAAATTTCTATTGTTTATTCCCATTTTAAAATTTACTGTAATAAATTATTCTACTTGACATGACTATACAAAGGTCTGGCTCAAAAGTAAAATTCCCACCTTAAATTCTTGCTGGATCAAAGTAGCAATAAGTATGCAGATAAACAATATCAAAATCTGCTTTCTTTCCAGTATATTTCAAATTTTACTTTCTGCCTCAGATATTTAAAAGTTCTAAATGCTCAAGTGCCTGGGTCATTATATTTGGAATGTAGATACTGCATTTCATTCATAAAACACACATCCCACCAAGAAAGAGAGAATTTCTCAATCAATGTCTCAATTGAATACTATTTTAATCAACTCACAGCAAACACCAACGTTTTCAAGAAATATTTTTGGATTCATTGGCAATGTAGTTCTGGGTTTGTATGGAGCACTGGTGTCAAACAAACCATGTAAAACAGTACTTAAAAATATGCTATTAAATATACCTTCAGTGGGCCGGGTGTGGTGGCTCATGCCTGTAATCCCAGCACTTTGGGAGGCTGAGGTGGGTGGATCACCTGAGGTCAGGAGTTTGAGACCAGCCTGAGCAACATGGTGAAACCCTGTTTCTACTAAAAATACAAAATTAGCCGGGCGTGGTGGTACATGCCTGTAATCCCAGCTACTTGGGAGGCTGAGGCAGGAGACTCACTTGAACCCAGGAGGTGGAGATTGCAGTGAGCTGAGATCACACCATTGCACTCCGGCCTGGGCAACAAGAGTGAAGCTCCATCTCAAAAAAAAAAGCAGAGCCTGCATAAGGTAGGCTGGTTTTGACAGCTACTGCTTTATGAGGCAGTATGACACATCGAGAATCTGTGTGTATTTACTATTCACCCATTCAAACATAAATACATGCTTATTTGGGGTGACTGCTGAGATCCTTAAAGGGACCAGAGTTCAAGATTAGATTAGAACCCTTCAAAATCTCGTCCAACTCTGACATTTTTAAACATAAGATACCTTTTTTCTTTTGGGAGTAAAAATTGCAATTTTAAGTAATAGCAAGGAAAAAATAGTAAGAATCATTTCTTAAAAGTGTTTTGGATTATAATCCTCCCCTTACCCCACTCCACCACACAGGAAACCTAATTTTTTTCCCTTCCTTTCATATTTGTTAGAGGGCAGTTAGTTTTTCCCTTTAACATTTAATATTCATATCAGAGGTCTCTATTTTCTTTCATTAAAGTTATGCTTTTCTTTATAACTTTCTTTTTTTTTTTTTTTTTTTTGAGACGGAGTCTCACTCTGCAGCCCAGGATGGAGTGCAGTGGCATGATCTTGACTCACTGCAACCGCCTCCCAGGTTCCAGCAATTCTCCTGCCTCAGTAGCTGGGATTACAGGTGCCCACCACCACACCCGGCTAATTTTTGTATTTTTAGTAGAGACCATGTTGGCCAGGCTGGTCTTGAACTCCTGACCTCAGGTGATCCACCCGCCTCAGCCTCCCAAAGGGCTGGGATTGGGATTACAGGCGTGAGCCACTGCACCCAGCCTTCTTTATAACTTTCTAACAAGTATTTAAACCTTCGTGAGAAAAATTTTGAACAGTATGCTAAAATTCCTGTCTATCCTTCTGACGTAGATAACAGAATCATTCTTCTTTTAAAAAAATCCATTGAGATCACCTAAGTTAACTCTGGCCTTTTATATTAATAGATAAAGAAATATCCAAAGTGGTGAGCCCTATCTAGGCAGTTATCTGAGACAGAGCCATGTTCTCAACTCCCTGCTTTTACCCTGCCTGCTGCCTCCAACTCTAACCTAGTGAACAGACAGCTTCAAGTTCATCAAGTTCAAAGCTGGACTTCAGAAGTTGAAGCTAGTTTTTGTTCAAAGAAGTGTTTCTTTGCTAGTGCCTTGATTTGCATATCAGTGGCTTTCAGCGTACAGGAGTATCCCTGGTCTATATTCCATTTTACCACAAAGCAATGGGGCATGAGAGAATGATATAACTATGTAAAGAGTTATCAGTGGATAAGAACATGAGATAACAGAGACAAAGGAAACACTGCCAAGAAATAAGCACACAGACATGGAAAATATCTATGACCCAATATCTAGAAACAGTTTACATTGAAAACAAAGATCATATTTCACTAATTTTTATTTGTAAATACCTGTTAAGTGTCCACTCATAGTTTTGTCATGACTATTGAATAATTGCCTGTATTTCAGTCTTGATGACTGAGGAACAGCCCACTCTGCCACTGGTGGGACACTGTGGGGAAAAGAAAAAGGAGAGAAAGAGGATTATCCATAAGGAACAGCCTGGTAAAGTTCCTTAATGACAGTAAACTAAGAACTTCTCTAGATAATCATCTCTAACTTTCATATTTTATTCATTTTATTATCACTACTTCTGATTTTTTTTGCCATGGGTATTTCCCATTTTTAAGATCATAAACATTTCCCTCAAATAGATAATTATTTTTCCAGAATCATGGATAAACACAATAGACTGAGAGGCTGTTTCAAGTTGTATATATAATAATTTAAAGGTTCTATAAAAGTATGAAAAACCTCTTGTAACTGAGGTAAAACAATAATGTCCAGGCTATTCTAATTTCTAAAACACTTCTTTTTTGGTTAAAAAGCAATGCTAAAAGCAAACCAATAACTGCCTTTAAAGGTACTAATTCTCCAAAATGTTTTAACTTTCTATACGTGAATATACAGGACCCATTTCTTAATGAAGTGAAATTACTCCATTCTGGTAAGTTTAAATTCAGACCCATTGGACAGTTTCCCAGAGAGAGAGAGAACAGAACATTTCCATGGTCACACATAAGCAGAGTGGGAATGGAGACAGCTTCACTTTCTCGACTACAATCCAATACTGATCTCTCCTTGCCAATGTGCCACAATCCTGAGCTGGCCCAAGGACACACTTGCCAGTAGTTAGGCTGCGTCTACACTTCCTTAGTGATTAGTTCCTCAGATGCCACTGTCCACACAAATATCACACTGGTACCAATGGCTTGTTAAGCTTCGACATCTGAATTAAACCCAATGGCTGAGCTCAGACAGTAAAACTGGCATTCCCCTTCCAGGACAGATTACAGCTAATGCTCTGTCTGCAATTTCACTTCAACAAAAATATCTATTCAAACATGTAAAAGCACAATCTTACTGAAATACTGAACTTTTTAATCATCATTTCCATGTGTTATCTATGCACTTATATCTATTATATACAGTTCAAGTATAGGAAATACCTCCCAAACACTCGAGAAGTACTTATATGAATTCACCTTTTTCAATTTTTATGAATTTCTTAATAAAAAACACTTACCATGATCTATTCTGCTGTGGGTACTTCTGCACCAACCCTCTCATGTTAACTAACTAATATTTTGCTGATTCCAACTCCCACCTATTTGTCAAGAAGCTAACTATCTAGTTGCTACACGCCAGGAATGTTGGGTGTTACATACACAAGTTGTCCCAGATTACACTTATCACATCAGAGTTTTCTGCCAAATTCCTGAGAATTTAAATAGACTAAAAACTCATGAAGATGTACCCAAAAGTTCAATACTGCATTGCAAAAATTGGCTAGAAATTTAAGTTATTAAAAAGGTGACAACATAAAACAGTTGTTTCAATAGCACTAATGTTCACTAATACTGATAGTTCATTCTAATGTCACAAATCAATAAAGCAGATTTCAAAATTGCTTCTGCAAAGTCATAATAAACTCAAAACTTCAGCATGGTATAGGAGAATTTTTTTTTTTTTTTTTTTTTTTTTTTTAAGAAAGAGACTTGCCGTGTCACCCAGGCTGGAATGCAATGCCGCGATCTCAGCTCACTGCAACCTCCACCTCCTGGATTCAAGCAATTCTCTTGCCTCAGCCTCCCGAGTAGCTGGGATTACAGGTGCCCGCCACCACGCCCAGCTAATTTTTTGTATTTTTAGTAGAGACGGGGTTTCACCATGTTGGCCAGGCTGGTCTCGAACTCCTGACCTTGTGATCTGCCCACCTTGGCCTACCAAAGTGCTGGGATTACAGGCGTGAGCCACTGCACCCAGCCCAGGAGAATTTTTTTTAAAAAGGAACTTAGTGTAAGATGATATAGGTTTAACTCTCAGCTCCACCATGCACTAAGCTGTAAACTATGGGTGAGGACTAGAGCTTCTCTGGGTGTGCTTCCTCATGCACCATCTTGAGACATCTACTGCATAGGTAGCTATGGGGTTGAATAGGATTAATGATGTGCCTGGCAAAGTAGATGCCCAATACATATTGAGGCATCTTAAGGGTAAAACCGCAATTAAATGGAACACAAATAAATACCTGTATCCTACAATTAAGTTTTTTAGAGAAAACTTGCATAGTTAAGAACACACGCCTTAAAATCAGACATCTCAGTTTGACTCAGCTCTGTCACTTATGAGTTACGTTCTGTTGCACGAGTAACATAATGTCTCTGAGCTTGTCCCTCATCTATAACAGAGAGTAACAGAATCATCTCATGGGGAAGAATGAGTTAATGTAAAGCTTTTGGCACAGTGCTTTTCAGTTTATGGATTTTCTTTAAATCATTTTTAAAAGGTAATGAAGGCATCACTGAATTATATTCAACATGCTTTTCTCTTGAAAGTGGGAAAATGACTTGATTCACTTAACAATTTCTAGTGAGGATTGACATAAGACAGGATAAATTCCAAAAGCTTTTTTTTTTTTTTTAGGCAGGCTCACCCAGGCAAGAGTGCAGTGGCACAATCACAGCTTACTGCAGCCTCGATCTCCCTGGCTCCAGCCATCCTCCCATCTCATTTTTAAATTTTTGTATCGACAAGGTCTCCCTATGTTGCCCAGGCTGGTCTCAAACTCATGAGCTCAAGCGATCCTCCTGCCTCAGCCTCTCAGAGTGCTGGGATTACAGGTGTGAGCCACCACACCCGGCCCAAAAGTTCTGAGATGGCTTAAAAGAGACTTAATTTCTCTTCTTAATGTAGCAGTATGCAAGGGTAAAACATAGGAGTAAAATAAAAATATGAAAGGTAATAATTGAAACCAAGGTTGGCCAAAACATAAGCAATAATGTCATGTCAGCTTTAATAAAATTGAGCCACACATTTGATTAATGTGAATTGTCCACTATCTGGATAATTCTTTTCATAATAAATCGTCTTTAATAGGATTTTACTAATTACCCATATAAACTCCACAAGATTATCTGAGATAGAATTAAAAATAAGGCCAACTATAACTCCAATCTTCATACAAAAATTTTATACATAAACTTGTAAATCATAAACACATAAAATAGTTCATTTGCTTTTTTCCCTTATACCCAGAATTTTATCTTACTGTTTTTAAACATTTTATTACTATCCATTTGTTATCCTCTTTAAAAAAAAAAAAATACACAAAGCCTTTAAGGAAATGTTATGTCCTTGATTTCTCTCATCTCTGCAACAAATTAATGATAAAAACTAGTGACACTATCCAGAAATTAAGAAAATTATTATTAGCACTCTACAAAAGCCTACAAAAAAGATGACAACAACAAAAAGAATATAGATGATTCATGGTCAAATTTATGATTTAATCAGGTAATGGCCTTAACCAAACTTCCCATTTAAAAACAAGCAAACTTACCTGGCCACATCAAATGACTGTGCCTTTTGTAATTTAGTGTTTAGTTGTGACCCTGGACCAGATCTACTAAAGGAAGAACTCTTTGGCAATGTGGCTGCTGTAAAAATAAATGTTGAATAATTTTAATTCTACAAAGATAAGAAACTTTCCCCAATTTACAAAAATTAAAATGCACAGTCAACAAATCTGAGGCAGAAATAATTCCCCCTTCTTGCCAGCCTAGACTGAAAAGAGCTTTTCCCTCCTTACCCTCTGTCCTCCTGCCAAAAAGGTTTCTAGATTTACTTGTTCTACTGAAAATCACCTTACTATGTAGTAATGCTGATTTCCATAAAATTTTACTCTTCATTAAACATTTTGTATCACATTTTATAGGACCTATTCCAACAGTTAAAGAGGTAACAGCTTAAATATATAAAATGGTATTTTATTCACTGCACTGAAGGAGCTGAAGTATTAGTTCCAGATGTAAGAGCCAAGAAGTCACAAACTGTAGTCTTGGCCAGATAACATGTGACACTAGGGAAGGTCAGCTTTTGTGTCTGATTATCACTGGGGTTGGTTAGTTGAGTGTCAGAAAAAAAACACTGCGTCTTAGCCACATTCCCTCACTCTTGCCTGATGGCAAATGACTTGCAACATGTGCCATTAGTCACAAAAGAATAGAAGACTCAGAGTGTGTGGATTTGCTTATGCTCCTGGAAAAACAACTGCACACACTTTCTGGGCTACCATCATGTCCACAGTCATGGTCATATATGCAAGATGAACTACATGTGACAAGAAAAAATCTAAAAAAAGGAGATACATTTAGCTTATTTGGCCATAACTTAAATATATATCCTGATAAATATACAACAAATTCAGGGGGCCAAAGGCGCAGAAATGTTTCAAGTATGATGCTAAAACCCATGTCGTCAATACTGAATTTACTTAGATGTAGTCAAAGTACTTTAAAAATAATACTTTCCATATTGATATGAATTCATTAAGATGTTAGACCAAGGCTATCTACATCTACAGTTTTATACTTTAACTAAAGGAAAAAAGACTTAATAAAGTCTCAAAGTGGAATTAATTAAACCAGAAACTTTTAAATCCTTTCCTTCAATTAAGCAGGCATGTAATACCATAAAATAGTATAAACTGTTCTTTTTTATTCTTTCCCACAACCCCCAACATAGTTCTATTCCTAGGGGATTGGCTTGCTTATTAGCAATTCATAGTGGCTAAAGAAAAGTAGTAACTGATACATAAAAATAGAAAATGTTCAACTACAGTTCAACTTCAATTGCTCTTCTCAGCCCTTGAAAGAAAATTACATTTGTGGCTTTCACTGCTGAGCTCACCTTTGTCCACAGTGGTACCCAGAAATCTATAATTCTCTTTGACTCTCTCCACACTAACATATCCCATTTAATACAGTGGAAAAAATGTGAAATCAAGTGAAAAAAATAAAGATATTTTCCTCTGGACTAAAATATCATTTAAACATAATCAGAACGTGAAGAGAAAATATTTTAATAATGAACAGCAAAATACAAGTAGTAAAAACTCAGCCTATGGTTTCAGCAAGTCACATACCAGGATGAGCAAATGCAGGCAGAGGTTGTATAACAGGGGGAGCCCCGTTAGCCAGGGGGGGCACAGCTGCTGTGGGAACAGAAGATACTAGGGTTGGAGACATTCCAACAACTGGAATGGATCCCATTGGCACTGGAGCAACAGCTGTAAGCGGTGGCATGCTGGCGATACCTCCCATACCTATGAAGAAAAAACAGCTCAACACCATTCACATCCAATCACATTTCAACACTGAATAATAATTAACCCAGTACTGCTTAAAGAAAATCACTTTCCAGCTGTAATATATTCCAATTAAAATAGGGCTTCAAGTTAATCATTTTAAAGAGTAACAAAAATTATGTCAAGGATCACATCAAAAGGACTCAAGACTCAACCTGAAGACAGAACAAACAAGATGAGAATCAAAAAGAATAATAACTGCAGTGGACTTAAAGGCTCAAATATAATTAAATCCATGAGTTCAAAATGATATTTAAAAATAAATAAAATCCTAACTGGTCAAAAAAGGAGGACACTAAGGCAATCAATTTACTACTTTGAAAACTAGTAAATAAAAGGTAGAAAAATCAAACTGCAACCTGCCTTTCCTATGTTTATTATACCTCAGGGAAACCACATGTTTGATGGGGAAAGCATCTTTATTCATTTTCTTTTCTTTTTTCTTTTCTTTTTTTTTTTGAGATGGAGTCTCGCTCTGTCACCCAGGCTGGAGTGCAGTGGCGTGATCTTGGCTCACTGCAACCTCCACCTCCCGAGTTCAAGTGATTCTCCTGCCTCAGTCTCCTGAATAGCTGGGATTACAGGTGCCCACCACCATGCCCGGCTATTTTTACATTTTTAGTAGAGATGAGGTTTCACCATGTTGGCCAGGATGGTCTCAAACTCCTGACCTCAGGTGATCCACCTGCCTTGGCCTCCCAAAGTGCTGGGATTACAGGCATGAGCCACTGTGCCTGGCCCTGGAAGCATCTTTATACAAAAATATTCTAACCAATAAAGAAGAAATGATAAAACAAAAATAAATGTTTCCAGCTGGGCACAGTGGCTTATGCCTGTAAACTCACTACTTTGGAAGGCCAAGGCAGGAAGATCTCTTGAGGGCAGGAGTCCAAAACCAGACAGGGCAACATAGCAAAATCCCATCTCTACAAAAAATTTTAAAAATTAGCCAGGCATGGTGGTACCCGCCTGTAGGCCTAGCTACATGGAAGGCTGAGGTGGGAGGATCACTTATGCCGAAGAGGTTGAGGCTACAGTGAGCCACAATCACACCGCAGTACTCCAGCCTGGGCAATACAGTGAGATCCTTGTCTCAAAAAAAAAAAAAAAAGTAAAAAAGCTTACCTTCTTTTTTATTTCTCTGTCCCAACTTTAATACCTTCTTTCATGTGGAGTAAATAAATTTTAGTGTTTAAATGCCCCCTATTGATTTTTTTTAAATATTTTTGTTTGTTTGAGACAAGATCTCACTCTGTTGCCCAAGCTAGAGTGAAATGGCATGATCATAGCTCACTGTAGCCTTCACCTTCTGGGCTCAAGCGATCGTCCCAGCTCAGCCTCCCAACTTGCTGGAACCACAGGTGTGCATCCCTACACCCAGTTTCATATATATATATACGTGTATTTTTTTTTTTGGTGGGGCGGTAGAGATGAGGTCTTACTATGTTGCCTGAGCTCGTCTCGAACTTCTGGGCTCAAGTGATCGTCCTGCCTCAGCCTCTCAAAGTGCTGGGATTACAAGCGTGAGTCACCATGTCTGACCTTTACTATTTTTTAAAAGTAAATTTTCTTTTCAACCTGAGAGAGCTAACTGAAAAGAGTATTATTACATAATAATAGTAATTAAAATTTTCTTTTTTTTCTTTTATTATTAGAGATAAGGTCTCACTCTCACCCAGGCTGAAGTACAGTCACGTGATCACAGCTCACTGTAACCTTGAACTCCTGGGCTCAGGGGATTCTTTTGCCTCAGCCTCCAAGTAGCTGGGACTATAGACACGCACCACCAAATGCAGCTAAGTTTTTATTTTTTTGTAGAGACAGGGTCTTGCTATGTTACTCAGTCTGGTCTCAAACTCCTGGCCTCAAGCCTCTCACGGTGCTGGGATTACAGGGCTGAGCCACTGTATGCATCCAAAAGTAATTTTCTATGTGGTTGTTGTAGGGATTAAAATCTCCAAATTAATTTATCATAATCAACTTCTAATGGCAGAATATAGAAACTTTACACAAATATAGCTCAATTCCCTTTCTCCTCTTCTGTGCTATTACTGTCACATACATTATAATATGTTATAAGCCCAATAATAGAGTTATAATTATTACTTTATACAATCTTATATCTTTTAAACTTGAGAGAAAAGAAGAAAAATAGATTTATGTGGTCTTCTAAATTAACCTACATATTTACCATTTTTGATGCTCTTCATTTCTTTCCATATATTAAAGTTACCACCTTTTGTCATTTCATTTCATCCTGAAAGTCTTCATTTAGTATTTCTTCTAAGGTAGGTCTAGTAGCAATGAATTCTCTCAGTCTTTGTTTATTTGAAAAAGTCATTATTTCACCTTCATTTTTAAATGATAGTTTTGCTGAATATAGAATTTTGGGTTGAATTTTTTCTTGCGGCATTTTGAATATTCCACTGCCTTCTAACCTCCATTGTTTTCAATTACAAGTCTGCTGTTATTTATATCTATGCTCCCCTATCCATGATGAGTTGCTTTTCTCTTGCTGCTTTCAAGGTTTTATCTCTGTGTTTGGCTTCCGTAGGTTAACTATGATGTGTCTGGGTGTAGATCTCTTTGTATTTACCCTACTTGAGGTGTGTTGAGCTTTTGATTGTGTAGACTATTGCTTTTCACCAAATTTGGCAAGTGTTTGGCTTTTATTCTTCAAATATTTTTCTGTACCTTTCTCTCATGATCCTCCTTCTAAGACTCCCATGACACACATATTGGTAAACTTGGTCTTGTTCCATAAGTCTCTGAAACTTTGTTATTTTTTTTCAATCTTTTTGTTCCATATTCTTCAGATTGAATAATTTCTATTGATTAATCTTCAACTTCACTGACTCTGTCTTCTGCTATCTTGAATCTGCTATTAAGACCCTGTGGTAAATTTTTCATTTTAGTTATTGAACTTTTCAGGTTTTGTTTTTGTTTTGAGACAAGGCCTCACTCTGTTGCCCAGGCTGGAGTGCAGTGGCGTGGTCTTGGCTCACTGCAGCCTCCACTTCCCGGGTTCAAGTTATTCTCCTGCCTCAGACTCCCCAATAACTGGGATTACAGGCATCTGCCACCACGCCCAGCTAATTTCTGCATTTTTAGTAGAGACGGGGTTTCGTCATGTTGGCCAGACTGGTCTCCAACTTCTAACCTCGGGTGATCCGCCCACCTCAGCCTCCCAAAGAGCTGGGATTACAGCCGTGAGCCACCGCTCCCAGCCTTAGTTATTGAACTTTCCTTTTTTTTTCTGTGACAGAGTTTCACTCTTGTTTCCCAGGCTGGAGTATAATGGCGCAATTTCGTCTCACTGTAACCTCTGCCTCCCGGCTTCAAGGGATTCTCCTGCTTCAGCCTCCCACATAGCTGGGATTATAGGCGCCTGCCATCATGTCCAGCTAATTTTTTGTATTTTCAGCAGAGACGGGGTTTCATCATGTTGGCCAGGTGGGTCTCGAACTCTCTACCTCAGGTGATCCACAGGCCTCGGCCTCCCAAAGTGCTGGGATTACACGTGTGAGCCACTGTGGCCGGCCAGTTATTGAACTTTTCACATCAATTGTCATACTTTTCTAGAATTTCAATTTTCCTCTTTTTTGTAATTTCTATTGTTTTTTGGAGAGTGTCTGTCTGTTGATTCATTTCCACGTTTTCCTTTAGTTCTTCAGTTCTTTGAACGTAATTGCTGCTTTGAAGCCTTTGTCTGCTAAATGAATCCAACAGCTGGATCAGAGATAGTTCCTACTGACTGCCTCTTTTCTTGAGGGTGAGACAATACTTTCCTGTTATTTTTTAATGTCTCAAATTTAGGTGAAAATGGACATTCAGATAATACATTGTAGCTACTCTGGCTCTGATTTTCCCCCTGAAGGTTGTTGTTTCTATCTTTATTTAGTAACCGGCATAGGCTAATTCAGAAAAATCTGTCTTCCCTTGTTGTGCAGCCCCTGATGGTTCTGCTCAGTTGGGTTTTTAAAAAATTCGTTTTTATCTTTAAGCCTGGCTTTTTACGGATTGCACCTGCATCTTTGTAGCACAGTAGTCAGCCAATGATGGGACGGAAGTTGTGCTCAAACACCTCAAGTCAGTAAGGCTTCCTTTCTCTGACAATCTGTCAGCACAAAAATGCATTCAAAGTTCAGACCATTTTAAAGTCTTCCTCAACTTTAACATTTCACAGGGCCTTTCTGCATATTCTCTATACGTGCATGCAGTTTGAGGGCTAGTCAGGAGTTTGCAGCTGACTCGGGCCCACCCTGGTCTCCGCGACACATGTGCATAGCCTCAGCCAAGAATATACTTGCCCTGGCCATGACCACGAGTTCAGGATAATAGAGTGGCTGGTCATACCTGCTCTTCTGTGGCCAGAATTGTCATTTCCACTGACAAAGCTGCTGGGCACAGGCATGACTTCCCACTCCCAAAGCAAGTAAGCCCCCTTCAGTGACAGCAGTTAAGACTGCTAATATTTACAACCTGTCCCTCCACATTACCAAGCTGAAGTGTTGGGGGATAGGAAAATGCCCAGGAAAGAATGCAACAGACTTCTGCTTCATATCTGAAGCTCAGCAGCTTTTCAGGCATAAATGATTCTCAGATGTTATATACCTTTGGTTAATTTCCAGAGCACTGAAATGGTTATTCTGTCAATTCTGCCCTTGAGGGAAGAATTTGCTCATCTCAACTCAGGCATGGTCGGAAATCTCACTGCTGAAATGTCTTTTAGGTTTCCTTTAATCCACAGTCCCCTCTCCATCCTTTTCATTTTCTTTTCTGTTGAAAGACCCAGGCCATGTGACCTGTGGAGTTTCCCAGTCTGGATTTTGCTGATTGCATTCTCATGGTGCGGTTCAACATTTCCCTCTATATTCTGTATTTCCTGCAAATACGCAGCTACATCCAAAGAATGGATCAAGCTGACGGTGGATCTCTTTGGCAAGACTACAGGAAACACACAAAATGTAGCTGTCTTTTTGTGATCTTGGCAGTCATTGATGCTTAACGCCTATATTTATTCATTTATGGGGAGTTGAAAATAGTGATGTTCTAATCCTACTATGTCTTTGTCATTTATTAGCTGTAATAATTTTATAAAGAGGTGCTTCTAATGAGGATATACTAGTTGGCTATCCAGTTGTACAGCTCATATACAAAAGGCATAATAAATGCCTGATTCTTTCCCTTTACCTGTTTTCAAGGTAATGAACTGGTTTCTTAGGATCTTCTTAAGGTAAATTATTCTTGTTAAATACATTATTAAATCATTATTGAGTCATAAATTTACAAATATTTATTGAGTTTTAATTCATGGCACATTATCATTCTTGAAGTTCAAACTGTCCTCTCTTTGGCCAATGTAAGCCTCTTCGGGTTGGCTTCTGAGAATTTCTGATATCCTCCTACTATGCTTTGATAACTTCCTTGCTGACCAGTATTACAAGATGGGTCCTTCAAGCTCTTCACATTTCATATCTAGACCTGGATTCAGCCATTTCTCCAAGAAACTCTGGTTTCTTTTGGTGAGAAATGATATTTCAAGTTCACAATCTGGACGCTAAGGATGCTCAGTGCTGCTGGGGTAGATGATTGTATCTAGTCTTTTCAGTGAACAGAACTAGGAGACAAATAGATGGATAGATGAAGAGAATGGGGGGTGTGGTGAGAGACGCCTTCTGAGTTCATATTAATACTTTCAATTTGAAAATTCAAATCCAAGACTATACTGCTTTTTCATTACATTTGATACTATTATATTTGTTATCTCCTTTCTTCCACACCAAGAATACAGATTTCAAAGGTATAGAAAATGACAGAATTAGACTATTCCGTAATTACTTATTTGTTTTTACCACATATCTCAGACAACAGTTTCAGAATAACAATACTAATACTAATTTCTGAATGCATTAAATTATTTTTTTGCATGCAGTCCTGCTCCCCTTAAAGTTTTATCGTATCCAATTGACAGTGCATGGGAATTACATCCGATACTCTCTCCTCCTCAGCCTTCCTTCAGTCTTAGCTCTACAGCTAACTATATATTTAGTGCTCACCATCAGTCCTTATGATGACCTAGGTCTAGCTATTTTGATTGTCTGAAGCACATTCTCTAATAGATTCCTTAAGAAAGGCTCATGTTAATATACCCCGAAGCCTTATAAATTGGTAACGTTTTGTCTGTTTTTTCTACTTGAAAGTCAGTTTTTCTGGACACAAAATCCTTGGCTTGTTCTTTCCCTGAGAATTCTAAATATGTTACTCCATTTTCTTCTAGCAGAAAGCACTGCTGTTGAAAAATCTGAACATAATCTAATTTTCCCCCTTGTAAGTCATATGCTTTCTTTTTCTACATGTCTAAATAATTTCTCCTTTAACTAGAATATATCTTAGTGTTGGACTTTTTAGATTGATATTCTTGGCCACATGATACTCTTTTAAATATAGTTTAGAATCTCTTATTTTAAGAAAGTTGTCTTGAATTCATTTTTATCATTTGTTCTATTCCATTGGTTTAGTTTTCTTCCTCAGGGACTCCTGCTGCCCATACATTCAATCTTCTTTGTCTTAAATACTTGTTACTGTTTCTCAAATTCTTTTTATATCTTTTCCATTTCCTTTTATTTATTTAGGAGACCTAGTCTCACTCTATCCCCGAGGCTGGAGTGCAGTGGTGTGATCTCAGCTTACTGCCACCTCTGCCTCCCGGGTTCAAGCGATTCTCATGCCTCAGCCTCCAAAGTAGCTGGGATTAAAGGCATGTGCCACCATACCCAGCTAATTTTTGTAATTTTAGTACAGACGGGGTTTTGCCATGTTGGCCAGGCTGGTCTTGAACTCCTGACCTCAGGTGATCCGCTCACCTCGGCCTCTTAAAGTGCTGGGATTACAGGCGTGAGCCACTGCGCCCAGCCTCATTTCCTTTTAATTTAAATTTTTTTCCTCTTTGTAACTTCTATTTTTCTTCAGTTAGTATCCCCTGTGTTGCTTCTAGTTGCATCCTCATTTCTAGAATGAATTTTTCTTTTATTTCTCATTCTTTCTGTCACCTTATTTATGAGCCTTAAAAACTCTGATTTTCATCTTTCAAGTCTTGTATCATTTTCTTATTCTCTTTGAGCTTGTTTTGAAGTAGTGATTTACTGGTGTGCTTTCACTGTCCACAGGGGTGTTATTTCTCCCTTTATTCTCCTTTTTCCTAATAATAACTTTGTGTTATTTGACCTTGCTTGACACTTTCTGCAGTGGATTTGACCTTGCTTGATACTTTCTGTTGCTCATTTTTATGTGAGCCTTGCTTCTTAGGAATTCCAGTCTCCATTCTCCTCCCCTACTTTTGTCTGGACCATCTCTTTCCTTTGTATCCATGTCCCTATACTGCTCAATTTTGATTCCACTCCCAGTCATTTTTCCTGAGTATGAAGCCCTGTCCCAAAAGGAAGGCTTGTTGGGCCAGTCTTTTGAGTTCATAGGGGCTGGACTGCTCCAAATCTCTCAGATCCTTTGTACTCACTCAGTACTGCAGAGAGCATAACCCTTTCCTATTTCTATTGCTGCTCTCAGCCTGGTTGAACTTTCTTGCAAATACCTGTTAGCTATTTTGGGGTTCTCCTGTTTCAAGTGCACCAGGTACCCTAATTCTTCCCTCTTCCTCCTGCACTGTTACAAATGTACACAATTCTGTTTTGTTTGTATTTCTTTTTACTAAGAGCATGTATTACTTGTGTAAAATTTTAAAAATAGGGCCAGGCGCGGTGGCTCACGCCTGTAATCCCAGCACTTTGGGAGGCCAAGGTGGGTGGATCTTGAGATCAGAAGTTCGAGACCAGCCTGGCCAACATGGTGAAACCCCGTCTCTACTAAAAATACAAAAATTAGCCAGGCGTGGTGGCACATGCCTGTAATCCCAGCTACCGGGGAGGCTGAGGCAGGACAATCGCTTGAACCCAGGAAGCGGAGGTTGCAGTGAGCCGAGAAGGTGCCACTGCACTCCAGCCTGGGGGACAGAGCAAGACTCCACCTCAAAAAAAAAAAAAAAAGATTTTAAAAATAGTGTTGTTGAACACAGTGGTCATCACTGGGTAACAGAATTAATAGTAATTTTTACTTTTTAAGTCTTTTTGCATTGTTGACTCGCAAGCAGCATCTATTACTTATACAGTAAGAAAATCAGACTATTTCCTTTTTTTTTTTTTTTTTTTTTGAGACGGAATCTCGCTCTGTCGCCCAGGATGGAGTGCAGTGACGCGATCTCAGCTCACTGCAAGCTCTGCCTCCAGGGTTCACGCCATTCTCCTGCCTCAGCCTCCCGAGCAGCTGGGACTACAGACACCCGCCACCATGCTTGGTTAATTTTTTTTTGTATTTTTAGTAGAGACGGAGTTTCATCATGTTAGCCAGGATGGTCTCGATCTCCTGACCTCATGATCCGCCCACCTGGGCCCCCCAAAGTGCTGGGATTACAGGCGTGAGTCACTGCGCCCGGCCTATTTTCATTTTTAAAAACAATGTTTATAGACACTGAAAATCCAACAAAGAGAAGAAAAAAATTCTAACTTGGGCTTTACTGAGTAAGTTTATAATTATAGTCATCTAGATGACTGGTTTACAGTTCACGTGCACACTATCAAGCACATTACCACACATCTCATTTGGAATCAGATTAACTTTACATATCCACACATAGCAACATGTATCAGGTTTACCTTGTCAGTTTTAGAATTCCAAAATTTTCTAAGATTATTTGATAACTATATTTTTAATGTGTTTTTCTTTTTAAAAATTTGGTTCTTTTGATAACTATACTGAATTATACTCCAAATCCTGGTTTTTGCTTAAGTAAGAATGTCAATCTACTCAAGCAACAAATAAAAATAGATGGAAACAAACCAAAAGTTTTCATGAGCCATCATTCAGACTTTCAAAAGGCTTGACACAGCATACTGCGCAACCAGTTAACCTTCAAGACACGTACCCCATCTGTGCTGCAGACCCCTAACCTAAAAGGAGGCTAACCTCAAAAAGACACTGAGGAAAAGGCCAAGTTTAAAAATACTGTTTAATCATCAGACTGGTAAAAGCATCTTTTAAGCTTCCAAATTTGTTAGAAATCTTCTCTTACATAATAATTTTTCCATTTTACAGAAAAGGAAAAATTTATTAGCTATCTATCTATCTATCTACTTACATTAAAAAAATATA
This sequence comes from Homo sapiens, assembly GCF_000001405.40. Lineage (NCBI taxonomy): Eukaryota > Metazoa > Chordata > Mammalia > Primates > Hominidae > Homo > Homo sapiens. Next base: position 33,740,896 of record NC_000021.9, on the reverse strand, counting down.
AATAGGATCTCACTATGTTGCCCAGGCTGGTCCTGAACTAGGAGCCTCAAGCAATCCTCCAGCCTTGGCCTCCCAAAGTGCTGCGATTACAGGCATGAGCCACCGTGCCTGGCCTACTGTGCTTTAAATAGCCACTGCAAAAAGACTATCATCCTTTTGACAACTGACTACCTTTTCTGAATGAATGACTTTCTAAATAAATACATCTACCAGAAGCCGTATTCTGGCTGCCATCACCTCTTCCTGTGTAAGTCTTAATTCTTGAAATTCTCTCCCCTCTTCCAAGCCTCCAATCAGGATTTTGTCCCTATCACTATACTGAAACTGCTTGTCAAGGTCACTCAAAAGCTCATCACATCAAATCTAATCAGCACTGTTCTGCCATATTCTTACTCCATCTCTCAAAAGCAGCTCAAACAATGGAGCATTCCCTCCTTCTTGAAACACTTTTTCTTGGTAGCAGGACACCAATCTTCTGCCATTTCACTTTTGTCAGCCTCAGTTTCTGGCTTCTCCTCTTTTGCCTGACCTTTAAATGTCACATCACATCAAGGCTTGGGTCTACACTGTACTCCTTATAGCTAAGCTTGCCCCTAAGACATGCTCTCCATATCCAAACTGCCCCAGAGCTGATCGATCCTTCCTCTGAGCTTCAGTCAAACGTAGTCATCCCTGTCTCCTTAACATCCCAACTCGGAAATCTACTAGGACTCTCAAAATCACCAAAACTCTTAATTTCTCCTTTAAAACCATTCCTCTTCCTGTTATCCCCATCTCAGTATACACTTATACCATCCATCTAGTTATTCATGTGAAAAGCCTTAATACTCCTTTTTCATTTCTTATTTCCAATCTACTGACAAGTCCTTTTTACTTTTTTCCCAAAATACAGGCTAGAATGAATCTAATCTGTCCTCCACATTGATTATCACCACCAGATATAAATCACCATTGCCTCTTGCCCGTGGCAAAAGCCTCCTAACTGATCTCCAGGATTCCATTCTTGTCCCCTACATTCCAGTCTTCAGATAACACAGATAAGTCTATCAACCACGTCACTCTTCTGCTTAATCTGTTGTTTGCTTGCTTTTCCTTATGGTCTCCCCATGCTTCAGCTACGACGCCCCTCGCACACCTTCCAAACCCCAAGCTAGTTTTTGCCTTAGGACTTTTGCCAGTGCAGTTCCTTTAGCCTGGAAGGCCTCTCCCCTAGGTCTTCACATGGCTCTCATCATCTACATCAGTTCCAAAAGTCATCTGCTCAAAGAATTCTTCCCTGGCCATCTTGTTCTACTGGTTTCTCTCTCTCTGTCTCTCTACTATTACTCTGTTTTAATGAACTTATTGCACTTATTCTCACCTAAAAGTATTTATTTCCTTGCTCCCCACAATTTGAAAATAAGATCCACAGTGGTAGAAGCCATGAGGTCTTGCTGGCCAGCATGTTCCCAGCAACTAGGACACACAGTAGGGGCTTACAAAACACTGGTTTAATCCAATAAAACCATGTACTCTGGCAAAACAAAAACCAAGCAAAAGAAAAACAGACTCCTCCTGTATAAGCTGGGTCCAGAACAAAAGAATTATGCTGAGTGCACACTGGTGAAAGAAGGTACCAAGTCTACCCATAGAATTTCCTACAATAGAAAATTCTATTTTCAGGGTGCTCTAAGGCAAGTCACAGTATCACTGCACCCCATTTTTCTCTCTTCTCTGTAGGGGAGTTGAACAAAATCATTGTTCAGACTCCAGTCTGAGCCTTAATTCTATAGTGTGTTAACAACTACATTAAAAAATATCTGAGGCTTGGTGCCATGGCTTATGCTGTAATCTCAGCACTTTGGGAAGCCAAAATGGGAGGATTACTTGAGATTAGGAGTTTGAGACCAGCCTGGGCAAAAGAGCAAGACTCTATCTATAAAAAAAATTTTTTAATTACTTCAGTGTGGTGGTACATGCCTGTAGTCCCAGCTACACAGGAGGCTGAAGCAGGAGGAACGCTTGAGCCTAGGAGTTGGAGGCTACAGTGAGCTATGATCGTGCCATTGCACTCTAGTCTGGGCAACAGAGTGAGACCCTGTCTCAAAACAAAAAACCCATGCAGACAAGGAACCATGGAAGAGTGACACGTCATGTCACCCAGTTAGTTTGGTGATAATGAAGGCACGGAGAAGGTAATTTTAAAAAACCTAAAGCCATCCGGGTGCGGTGGCTCATGCCTGTAATGCCAGGAGTTTGGGAGGCCGAGGCGGGTGGATCACAAGGTCAGGAGTTCAAGACCAGCCTGGCCAAGATGGTGAAACCCCGTCGCTACTAAAAATAGAAAAATTAGCCGGGTGTGGTGGTGGGTGCCTGTAATCCCAGCTACTCGGGAGGCTGACGAAGGAGAATTGCTTGAACTCGAGAGGCGGAGGTTGCAGTGAGCCGAGATCATGCCACTGCACTCCAGCCTGGGCGACAGAGTGAGACTCCATCTCGCCTTTAGATAAATGGTAGCTTTGGACAGGTTCTATCTCCTTTGTTAGAAATATGGCCTTAAGCAAAATGTTCAATTTCTGAGAATCTCAGTTCCCTCATTTATATAACAGGGCTAATACAGTCTGCATACTTTTTAGGGTTATCATTGTGATCAAATATTATATGTGAAGGCACATACTATATATAAGGGCAAGGAAATGCAGAGTCAGATTTTTGTTTTGTTTTGTTTTTTGAGATAGGGTCTGGCTCTGTCACCCAGGCTGGAGTGCAGTGGCACGATCTCCCTTGGCTCACTGCAACCTCCACCTCCTGGGCTCAAGCCATCCCCTTGCCTCAGCCTCCCAAGCAGTTAGGACTACAGGCACACACCACCATACCCAGCTAATTTTTGTATTTTTTGTAGAGATGGGGTTTTGCCATGTTTCCCAGGTTGGTCTCAAACTCCTGAGCGCAAGCGATCTGCCCACCTCGGCCTCCCAAAGTGCTGAGATTACAGGTATGAGCCACCACACCTAACCAATAATTTTCAATATTAATTAGAAAGCAGGCCAGGTGCAGTGGCTCATCCTGTAATGCCAACACTTTGGGAGGCTGAGGTGGGTGGATCACCTGAGGTCAGGAATTCAAGACCAGCGTGACCAACATGGTGGAACCCTGTCTCTATTAAAAATACAAAAATTAGCTGGGTGTTGCGGCATGTCCCTGTAGTCCCAGCTACTCGGGAGGCTGAGACAGGAGAACTGCTTGAACCCGGGAGGCAGAGGTTGCAGTGAGCCAAGATCATGCTACTGCACTCCAGCCTGGGCGACTAAGTGAGAGTCTGTCTCAAAATAAATAAATAAATAAATAAAACAATGACAATAGTAATAAATTATTTTATTCTCAAGTGGCTCAACAAACTATAAAATATATATATGTATTTTACCCTAGATTGAGCTGAGAGGTAGAACTAGAAAATACTTAAGTAAACTTGATCAAGATCATATACTGGTAACTTCTCCTATGTTCTGATATCCTTCATGGTTTAGCCTCATCAAAATCATTTACTGAGAACATCAATGTGGTGAGGAAAGACAGGGAGAAGTCTGGGGGGAAGAGTGATGGGCTGCCTGGCAGAGTATTAGGTCAGAAATCCTGGCAGGTTTAACAGTAGCAGGTTACTTAACGACTGTAAAACTTTCTCAGCAGTAAGGTCACAACCTCCTGAAACTAAATCAGCAATAGCTCCACAACTGAAATTCTGATGGCAGAATGGAATAAGAGAAAATGAATTAAATGGTACAGGAAAAATTATTGACCCCAGGTTTGAGAGAAAAAGGAGAAATGGGGTGCCTCTAGTCATTTGACCTTTTCTCCACTATGAGATTTCTTCTTGTAGCATTGGAAGAAAGCCAAAAGAAAACCAAATACCGTTGTTTTTTGTTTTTGTTTTTTAAGACAGGGTATCACTTTGTCACCCAGGCTGGGGTGCAGTAGTGTGATCTTGGCTCACTGCAGGCTTGACCTCTTGTGCTCAAGTGATCCTCTTGTCTCAGCTTCCCAAGTGGCTGGGACTATAGGCACCCACCACTATGCCTGGTTAATTTTTAAATTTTCAGTAGCAACGAGGCCTTGTTATGTTGCCAGGCTGGTCTCCAACACCTGGGACCAAGCAATCCTCCTGCTTTGGCCTCCCAAAGCATTAGGATTACAGGCATGAGCCACTGTGTTCGACCCCAAACACCCTTGAATTATTTTAACGCCTGGGTCCTGACCAAAGATTGGCTACAGAGATCTTCAGGGATTCAGAGCAAGTTCCACTTAAATTAGCTGGTTAACTAAAGGCTAAACATTGTGAGCACACACTGGACAAGACAAACAACGGCCCCAGTCATGTGGAGGCTGCTGCAGTGTTCACTTCTGCTCTTCCTCGCCTTTGCTCATATATGGATTTTTCTTTCTTTTCTTGGACCACTATCCTATTTGCCTAAAAATCTTCCAAAACCTTTCCCCTTACAAAAACCAGCCTTGTGGCTAAAACTTACTAAAAGAAAGGCAATACATTGTTTTTAATAGGAAACCTAGTAAGTAAAACCAGAGTATTTCTGTATCTTAGCTTATCATTAATTATATCAGAGACACCCTGAATTACTGTTGACTGCCCCCTCCGAAATCTATTTCACTTTATCACCTATCATCAGCTATCTGAGGATGAAGAGATGAAAAGAAACTCTAGCCACAATTTTCATGTTTTGTTTTAAACTGTTAAAGAACCTCCCCATGAATCAGATGTTAGATTTTATTACTGTGATCTTCAAATTAACCTAAAGTCTAGAATGAGAACAGAAATCAGAACTACTGATCTCAGTCAACTAATTAATCAATTAGCTTATAAGAAAAATACCTGGTTGAAAGATAATTTTTTATGGAATCACGTTTGTTTTGAGACGAAGTCTTGCTCTGTCGCACAGGCTGGAGTACAGTGGCACAATTTTGGCTCACTGCAGCCACTGCCTCCCAGGTTCTCCTGCCTCAGCCTCTCCGAGTAGCTGGGATTACAGGTGCGCACCACCACACCTGGCTAATTTTTTATATTTTCAGTAGAGATGGGATTTCGCCATGTTGACCAGGCTGGTCTCGAACTCCTGACCTCAGGTGATCCACCTGCCTCAGCCTCCCAAAGTGCTGGGATTAGAGGTGTAAGCCACCATGCCCGGCTGGAATTAGGTTTTTAATCAGGATAACAATGTTTATTTTTTCTCTATTCCATTTTGTTCTAAGAAAGAATTTAATGTGGCCAAGTGACTCAGTACTGTGATTCAAAATATATATATTTCTAGATGCCATAATCCAAAGGAATTGTTTATGCACAAGGAGAAACAGACATTATGGAAACCGAAAATCAAAAGGAAGTATGCAACAACCTGAAGGATAATGGAAGAGAAAAAAAAAAAAAAACCCAGAAGCTGCAGCAGCGGACTGTAAGTTTCTTCCTTTTCCCCTGACTGGCGGCCTGCATCTCTGCTTTCATTTTGATTACTTTACATCCCAGGGTTCAAATGTGAACATGCTCCTTCTTCTCCCCAGCACTATCTTCCTGCAGGGGGCCATCATTTTTCAGACAGAATTACCTCCTAGAATTTCATAATGTTATAAACCGAGAGGGAAAAAAAGGAAAACATTTATTTTTAAAATATACAAGAAAATACAGAAACCAATTCATTTTCAGACTTACCAAATGCTGGTGCGCTAGAAATAGCAACTGGTTGCTGTTTCATGACAGGGGGAAGTGCAGAGGGTAGCTGATATCCTTGTAGCTTCAGTTTGATAAGTTTCATAGCTATGGAAAACTCCACTTGATCCATTCTTCCATCATTATTCATGTCAGCTAGTGCCCTGCAAACCAACAGCATGGCCTGAGAACAACTGTGACCATAAAAGAACCTTTCCAAAACCACCACTCCCACCAACACGAAAACAAAATAATTAGCACTCTTACCCCTAGAGACAACAACAGAAAACATAACTGTTTACCAAACTATGGGGAATAGCCTGTAAATACTGGCCAAGTTTTATATAAACATAAAATATCTTTCACTCTGCCACTTTAGCAGGTAATTTTCAGCCTCAGTGTGAGGATTTGTACTTTAGACATCAAAAGGGGTTTCTTTCTGAAGTGATGAAAACATTCTAAAATTAGCTAATAGTGACTGTCGCACAACTCTGTGAATAAACTAAAACCAATGAATTAGATACTTTAAACGAGTAAATTTTATTATGTGAATTCTTTCACAATAAAGCTATTAGAAAAGAAAAAGATTTAGAAGCGGAATGTTAATATTGCTAGAGATACTTAGATTGCATTCTTTGTAGAGCTCTACAAACCTCAATGTGGGAACATGACACAGTATGCTATGCTACCTACTTATGCTATGCTAGGGTTACTCAACTATAATGCTACTAAACCTCTAAAGCTCTTGAAACTAACTTTTCTTTAGAATCATGCCCCATATCACTCAACAATTTTGTAAGTTAGCTTACAAAATGTGTCTGCTATTTGAAAATGGTACTCAAATATACACGGTCCAAGTGCAAACTGTAATGAGCTTTAATGTAAAGTATTTTCTCAAAGAAGAGTAAGCAAAAGGAATCGCTTCTCGGCCTTTTGGCTAAGATCAAGTAAGCAAAAGTTTGTCCTTGTAACTGGAAACTACATTATATCATCAAAACTGTGCATATTCATGACTTAACCTCTTCTGCATAAAAAAGTTTTATTCAGATTTTATTTCTTTTAATCCAGATATTAAAAGCATGAGGATTTTTTTAAACCAATATTATGAAAAATGTATTTGAAAGATCTAAATAAGACAGTTCAATTAAAATACCATGATCTTTTAGACTGAGCCATATCCGGACAGTGTTCACAAAAGAAAATTAAGTTACACAGAAAACAATTCTGCATAGCTGGAATTAACTCAAAGAAAGAAAACATGTAACACAATAAAAAGTATGGCATAAGACAAAGATAAAAAAATCTCTAAAAGTGATCAAGATTGTAAAAGTTGGCACATTTTAGAAAATAAGGATCATAACGCAGGAAACAAAGCTCTGTGGTTGCAGAAACCTTTTTGCCTCAGATAGGAGTTCCCCATTCTCCTGTAGTCATGGGCCCTTCAGCAAAGAATTCAGAATCTGAATTCTTCTCACTACTTGTGAACCTGAGCATCATTTTTCTGTATTTCGTGGCCATTTGGATTTGCACTTCTATGAACTGCTTATTCAAATCCTTTGCCAAATTTTCTATATATTGCATGTCTTTTGTTGTTAGTTTATAAGAGCTCATAGTGTATCACAAATTAACTGTTTATCTGCTGACTGCTGAAAGACTTTTAAAAATTCATTATTTGTTGATTTATGTATATGTACGGCATAAAAATTCTAAATTTTTGTATATAAAATATTTCTTTTATCATATGATTAGAAGGTTGTTAGTCCTTGATTTTCTAACATTGTATTATTTTATTTCATTTCAATCCTTAAACCAATAATTATGGGTAGGGGTGGGGGAGTTATTCCAGGGTCCAATCACATTTCTTCTACATGGATTCCTAGCTTTCCCAGTAATATTTATTAATCAATCCCTCTTCTTCTCACTGAACTAATATACATTTTTATCATGTATCAAATGTTCATATGAAGTGAGAACTATTTCTGGACTATCTGTTCTGACTGAACAATTTCCAGGTCAATATTACAATGATTTGATCACACTGGCTCTCTGGTATATTGTGATCCGGGAAGGTCTGGGAAGGTTTTTTTTCCCCCTTGGTTATTCATGGGTGTCTATTTTCCTATGAACATTTAGATTATTTTATCTGTTATACAAACAACCCTACTGGGATCCAAAAACTGCCTTAGAAGGGGATTTTTGGAGAATTGATTAAACCACAATTGCTTTTGCACCAATAGTTTACCCAACCAAAGAAAAGACAATCTTTCCGGTTGTTCAAATATACTATTTCCTTTAATAAAATTGTATCACTTTTTTCATATAATATGCTTTTCTTGCTAAATGTATTCTGAAGAATTTTATCATTTTTGCCAGATTTTAGATGAAACATTCCCCCCATTTCCATTTTTAGGTGCTTATTTCAAGCACAGAGAACATTTTTTATTTTAAAAAATTATTTAGGCTGTATTTAGCTATCCTACCAGACTCCTACAAGTTCTTATTAATGTTTTAAAACTAAAATCTCTTGGGTGTACTAAGTATACAATCACATAACTAGAAAAAAATGAGCATTATCTTTCTTTTCCAATATTTAGGCCAATCTTTTTTATTGGTCTTACTGCCTTCTAAGACATTACTGAATGCGTTCTTGCTCAGTTCTGAGTTTAAATGAAACAGTAGATTTACTAGAGCTAATAGTTTAATAGAGTTCATTGTTTAGAATGACAGTTGGTAGTGATTTCTGGAAAGTAATGTAAACTGAAAACAAAATTTTGAGCCCCCCACCATCTGAATGGACCCCTCATCTCAGCCAAGGGCATTTCAAAATTAACCTGAAAAACTAGTTCAAGCCAAGATGGGAAGAGGAAGTCAGACATGCCTCATTATACCCTCCTCCCTTTTGGAATTCAGGCCCAGCTGACCAGCATTAGCATCAACACAGGCCTTAAGACTGATAAAGGAGGCTCTTAAAGTCTGATAAGAAATATTTACCATCTATTTTCTCTGAAGTCTACTACCGGGAGGCTTCACCCGCATGACAAAACTTTGTTCTCCAAAACCACTTATGATAACCCACACATTCCCTTCTATTGATTCCAGCTCTTTGGATAATAACTCTTTCAATGAAATGCCAATTAAAAACTCTTGAATCCACGTATGACCTGGAAGCCTCTGCTTCCAGTTGTCCCATTGTTCCAGACCGAAATAGTGTACATTTTACATATATTGATTGATGTCTTATGTCTCCCTAAAATGTATAAAACCATGTTATATACCAACCACCTTGGGCAAATGGTCTCAGGATCTCCTGAGGGCTGTGTCACAGGCCATTGGTGACTCATATTCGGCTTGGAATAAACCTTTTCAAATATTTTACAGAGTTTGACTCTTTTCATGGATAGTAGTCTCACATATTTAAGTAGTTTCCTTTCTACTTATTAGAAATGGTTACTGTATTTTTCATCGGGTGCCTAATCTGTAATTACCAATCCGATCACAAGTTTTCTTCTTCCTTTTATCTGCTGAAATAATGACTAATGTTGATAGAATTTTTCGACTCTGAACCAATCTTGCACCTCTGGCATAAAGTTGGTCATTGTGTATTCTTTTCATACATTGTGAAATTCTATTTGCTAAGATTTTGACTTTTTTGGATCTATGCTCATAAATGAAACTGGCTTCTGGTTGCTTTATTTTTGTACTACCTTTCAGGTTTTATAAAGGAAACTAAGTAAATAAAATGAAATGGTGAACTTCCTTCTTTTGCTAAGTAGTTTTTTAAAAGATACGCAACTATTTAAAACGGTTTGGTGGGGAAGAGTTCCCATTAATAAAAATCAACATCAACATGCACACTAAAACCAATCAATCAGTCAGGCAGGTGCCCACTCCCTGTTCCCCACACCACTGCCCAGTATGGTCTCTGGTGAGAAACAGGAATATCCAGTGTGGGATAATGAGTAGGTTAGGGGAGAAGACTTTAGGTAATGGCTTAATTAGACTCTAAAGGTGTCCTACAGAAGTGTTTTCATGGGTGAGGAGAAGAAACTTAACCATGAGGTTCTAGGGACTTGACTTTAAACCACATACGACAATCCCAACATTTAGTTGAAAATGTCGTGATACTCAAAAAACGCTTTTCTCAATAAACATAACTGTGGGGAATCCCTGGTAATGAAAATTCTAAGAAATTTATGGAAATATGGTAGTTACGGCTGGGCGCGGTGGCTCATGCCTCTAATCCCAGCACTTTGGGAGGCCGAGGCAGGTGGATCACCTGAGGTCAGGAGTTCGAGACCAGTCTGACCAACAAGGTGAAACCCTGTCTCTACTAAAAACACAAAAATTGGCTGGGCACGCGGGCGCCTGTAGTCCCAGCTATTTGGGAGACTGAGGCATGAGAATTGCTTGAACCTGGGAGACGGAGGTTGCAGTGACCTAAGATAGCACCTCCAGCCTGGGTGACGGAGCAAGACTCCATCTCAAACAAAAACAAAAACAAAAAAACAGGCTGGGCACGGTGGCTCACGCCTGTAATCCCAGCACTTTGGGAGGCCGAGAAGGGTGGATCATGAGGTCAGGAGTTCAAGACCAGCCTGGCCAAGATGGTGAAACCCCATCTCTACTAAAAATACAAAAAATTAGCTGGGCATGGTGGCACGTGCCTGTAATCCCAGCTACTCAGGAGGCTGAGGCAGAGAGTTGCTTAAACCTAGGAGATGGAGGTTGCAGTGAGCCGAGATCACGTCACTGCACTCCAGCCTGGGTGACAGAGCAAGACTCTGTCTCCAGAAAAAAAAAAAAAAAAAAAAAAAAAAAAGAACAGAGAGCATTTATAGCAGGTTACCTTAATGTAAGGAGGAAAGGAAGTAATTTAAATATGAATACATACACGTTATATACATTATGTACCTGCTTTTTTCCAACAAAAATAAATGAAGGATAACAGGAAACTAATACAATGGGTGGAAACAGGGTAAAGGGATAGAAGAGGGAGTGACCTTGTCTGAGCACACCTTTTTGTTAGTTTCGGTTTTTAGAACCTTTTTAATCTGTTATGTATTTAAATAATAAAATTAAGTCCACAAAGATGAGGAGGCATATCTAAATTAAATAAAAATGAAAATAAACCTAATCATATTATAAATAACTAACATATCCACGTAAGAGGTAGAAAAAAAAGCCTAGTCCAAGTAACTTCACATAGTACTTTATATGTCCTCTGTTTAAAAACAAAAGGAACTACAAAGTAATCTTGAAATCTACTGTGAAAGGAAAATAAAAACGCAGGACTTCAATTCACTATGCAAAAGGTAGAAAAGTAAGCTGAAAGCTGAGTCCCTGAAAGCTGAGTCCCTTTGTTCCTAAGCAGGGAGCTACAAATAAAAGGTCAAACACCTCTACAGGCTACTTTATGTTCCATTTTATCTTATGTAAAGTGCCGACTTACTGAGCACTTTACTGATTTACTATTACCTAACTGACTATTCCCCTGCCTGCTCCTTTTCTCTGGCAATATATGGATTACCATATCCTCCCTCTTTGCCCTCCAGCCTACCTGTTCCCTTTAAATACTGAAGCCATCAAAATCATCGTTGGAGAAAAGCACAGTTTCTGTGATTCTGTGCTTATTTCCTCCCGGCATGTCCTTAACTTTAGCAAAATAAACTCCTAAAATGATTGAGACCTCTTGTCTCAGATACTTTTTGGTTTACACTACTTACTAGGTTCTTTTTTTTTTTTTTATTTGTTTGTTTGTTTGAGACAGGGTCTCACTCTGTTGCCCAGGCTGGAGTACAGTGGCACAATCATAGCGCAATGCAGGCTTGAATCCTCAGCTCAAGTGATCCTCCCACCCCATCCTCTGAGTAGCTGAGACTACAGGCATGTGCCACCATACCTGGATAATTTTTTTTTTAAAGTAGAGACGGGGTCTCACTATGTTGCCCAGGCAGGTCTCAAACTCCTGGGCTCAAGTGATCCTCCTGCCTCGACCTCCCAAAGTGCTGAGATTACAGGCATGAGCCACTGCACTGGGCCTAAATTTGTTGTTTGTAGTGGAGGTGAATGTAACAATTCTGAAACTACTTTGTGTGTGTTACAGGATGAAGGGATGAGGCCAGGCTCCTCTTGTCCCACCTCATTCCCTGCAGTGTTGGCACCTACAGATTCCTTTAGGAGCCCAGTTCATCCACAAAGCCTGGCCTCAGGCTGCTCATCTCTCACCTGCTGCCCCTTGGGCTGGAGGTGAGACCCAGCAGCAGTGCAGACTAATCCAGTCATTCATTCTCATTCATTCAAAAACCAATTATGGGGCAGGGGGGAGTGGGGGGCTGGGCATCTATCTGGAAATTGGGGTTATATCTATGAAAAAGACACAGTTCCTAGCACCACAGAGCTTATATTTTAGTGCAAGCAGAACTAACAAGAGAACAAACCAGATTATTTTACATGGTGATAAGTGCTACCAAGGTAAAGGGAAAGAGGTGGGCAGAGGGGACCACTTTACACTAGCTGGTCAGGGAATGCCACTTTGGGGAGGTGACATATGAACTGAAACCTGAAAGGCAATGAACCTGCGATGTGAGGAACTAGAGCAACTGAATTATAGGAAGAGGAAACACTAAGTACAATGACCCTGAGGCAAGGAGAAACCTGGCCCATTTAAAGAACAGGAAGAAGGCTGGGCAGGGTGGCTCAAGCCTGTAATCCCAGCACTTTGGGAGGCCGAGGCAGGCGGATCACAATGTCAGGAGATCCAGACCATCCTGCCCAACATGGTGAAACCCTGCTACTAAAAATACAAAAATTAGCTGGGCATAGTGGCGCGCGCCTGTAGTCCCAGCTACTCGGGAGGCTGAGGCAGGAGAATCACTTGAAGCTGTGAGGCAGAGGTTGCAGTGAGCTGAGATCGCACCACTGCACTCCTCAAAAGATTATTCCTGGCCGGGTGCGGTGGCTCATGCCTATAATCCCAGCACTTTGAGAGGCCGAGGCAGGTGGATCATCTGAGGTCAGGAGTTCGAGCCCAGCCTGGCTGACATGGTGAAACCCCGTCTCTACTAAAAATACAAAAATTAGCCAGGCATGGTAGTGTGCACCTGTAATCCCAGTTAGTCAAGGTGCTGATGCAGAAGAATCACTTAGACCCGGGAGACAGAGGTTGCAGTGAGCCCAGATTGCGCCACTGCCCAGCTTGGGCGACAGAGTGAGACTTTGTCTCAAAAAAAAAAAAAAAAAATTCCAGCTGCTGTTTGGAGACTAGACTCTAAAGGGGCAAGTGTGAAAGAGAGAACCCAGTCCAGATGCTCGAACAGTGGGCCCAGGTGAGATGACAGGTTAGGATGGTAGCAGTAGGAAAGAAGTGGCCAGATTGGGGATAAAGTCCGTAAATGCAATTACGTTGATGGACTGGGTATGCAGGGTGAAGAAAAGAGGGAAATCAAGCACGGTGCCCAGGTGTTGGTTTGGGCAGCCAGGTAACTAAGATGTCATCTTAGTTCAACGCCATGAGCTACTGGATGGTAAAGACTCAGGAATGAGGGATGGAGGAGAGGGGATCAAGAGTCCAGGGTGCTTATTCTTTTTTTTTTTTTTTTTTGTATGAGTTTAGCAAATTGATCTTGTTGGGGCTGAAGGCCCTTCTGACACATACTCAGGAGTGTCTTAAGAAAGTACAAACTATGACTATATGGCTGTTTGCCCTGACACCCATTCTGAACCAGATCACAAAGTTGATCTAATCCTTGCCTTCATGTGTCTGGCTCCCTTCTTTCCTCTCAGGGCCCATTTCCAGGTAGTGCTCCCTCACTCCCTCTTTTCTCTCCATTTCTGCTGGCCCTCCGTCTCAGATTCCAGAGCCCTCATCCAGCCTCTTCACCCCGTCTCTTCTTCCTTCCTGTACCTTCTGGCTCTTGTCTATTCCCACTGCTTTATTCTCCTCCCCTCCACATCATAGCAAAGTTGAAAAAATTCTAAGCACTTCAATTGCCAAAAGGATATCTGCCAACCTCCTTCCAGCTCCTTATTAATAAGACAATTTCTAGGAAGATGTACCATCTTTGGCCACGGTTATAATTTGGCATGACACACACTGACTTGACTCCATCCTCCGAGAATTAAGGTTTTCTTGTATTCTTAATTGGAAATCAGCCAGGAGAGACAAGGAGTCCCCAAAGCATTAACAGATTACAGTTGAAAGTTAACAAATTAGTTAACTGGAATATAGTTTCTACATGGAAATAAAACATAATAAAGGTTTCTAACATATACTGTCCATCAGTTCGTATCACTCAAATATTTGAAACAAAGTCCAGAACAAAGTAAGTAAAGCTCAGAGAGAGAAACTAGACACAGTTTCCAATTCTTAATCCAAACTTCTCTTCTTTGCTGGATGTGATGGCTAATGCCTATAATCCCAGCACTTTGGGAGGCTGAGGCGGGCAGACGGCTTGAATCTAGGAGTTCAAGACCAGCCTGGGCAACATGACAAAACCCCATCTCTACATAAAATACAAAAATTAGCCAGGCATGGTGGTGTATGCCTGTAGACTCAGCTACTCAGGAGGCTGAGGTGGGAGGATTGTTTGAGTCCGGAGGATTGTTTGAGCCCAGAATATTGAGGCTGCAGTGAGCTATGATCATGCCACTGCACTCCAGTCTTGGTGACAGAGTAAGACCCTGTCTCAAAAACAAACAAAAAAGCAAAAAATTATCTTCTTCCCCAGATGACTGACACAAGGACTGCCTAAAACTTCAGAGTCAAACCCATTCTTCCGTCTACCAAAAGGAGTAAGGACTTACCCTGGGACCCTACCAGAAAAATCACAGAAGAACATAAAAATAGTATGGGGGTTGGAGGGAGCTGCTTCTTTAGATCAGCTATTATTAGTTGCAATTTTAAAAACCTAGGCTTGGCCGGCTGCAGTGGGTCATGCCTGTAATTCTAGCACTTTGGGAGGCCGAGGCAGGCAGATCACTTCAGGTCAGGAGTTCGAGACCAGGCTAGCCAACATGGTGAAAACCTGTCTCTACTAAAAATACAAAGGTTAGGCGGGCATGGTCGTGGGCACCTGTAATCTCAGCTACTTGGGAGGCTGAGGCAGGAGAATCACTTGAACCTGGGAGGCAGAGGTTGCAGTGAGCTAAGATCGTGCCATTGCACTCCAGCCTGAGCAACAGAGCAAGACTCCGTCTCAAAACATAAACACAAACAAACAAACAAAAAAACCTAGGCTTTAAGAGATCAAGTACTACTCAGGGTTACTATGTGAATAAGTATCAAATCAGCTCAGTTGAAAGGCAGATCTTGCTAAACTCATAATTTGCACTGCATTATTCCATCATCTGGGCAGGATATCAGTGGTTCATGAAATTTCCAATGACTTTTCAAAGACATTTCTTTTGGGAAAAGAGAGTTACAGACATTTTTGATAGTAAAATACGCCATCACAAATTTATTTAGCAAAACGTAAGAAAAAAATTAAAGATTCATTCAATCTAAGATTGCCACATTACCATCTTTAATTAATATACATAGTCATTATAAAAACCTGACTTTGGGCCACTCAGGTAAAAATAGTTTAGAAAGTTAGGACAACTGTTTTTATTTTTTAGAGACAGGGTCTTGCTCTGTCACCCACGCTAGAAGGCACAATCATAGCTGACTGCAGCCTCAAACTCCAGGGCTCAAGCAATCCTCCCACTTCAGCCTCCCTAGCAGCTAAGACTACAGGCATGCACCACAATGCCCAGCTAATTAAAAAAAATTTTTTTGGCCGGGCACAGTGACTCACGCCTGTAATCCCAGCACTTTGGGAGGTCGAGGCAGGTGGATCACAAGGTCAGGAGTTTGAGACCAGCATGACCAACATGGTGAAATCCCATCTCTACTAAAAATACCAAAATCAGCCAGGCGTGGTGGTGTACGCCTGTAATCCCAGCTACTCAGGAGGCTGAGGCAGGAGAATCGCTTGAAGCCGGGAGGCAGAGGTTGCAGTGAGCTAAGATCGTGCCATTGCAATCCAGCCTGGACAACAAGGGCAAAACTCCATCTCAAAAAAAAAAAAAAAAAAACAAAAAAAAAAAATTTTTTTTTTTTTTTTAAAGATGAGGGCTCATTATATTGCCCAGGTTGGTCTCAAACTCCTGGGCGCAAGCGATGCTCCCACCTTGGCCTCCCAAAGCATTGAGATTACAGACGTGGGCCACCACACCCAGCCAAATGTCACTTTTTTCAATTAAGACAGTTGTCTTTGCCAGGCATGGTGGCCACACCTATAATCCCAGCACTTTGGGAGGCAAAGGCAGGAAGATGGCCTGAGTCCAGGAGTTCGAGACCAGCATGGACAACATAGCAAGATCCCACCTTTACAAAAAACAGAAGAAAAAAAATGAAATTCATTAGAGTGTATTTTATTTTTCTCCACCACACTTACCACCATGTGACAATTTTTGTGTTGTTATTGTCTCCCTCCACTAGACTGCCGTTTCAGTAAAAGAATGGATTCTGTCTATTTTGTTCATTGCTATATCCGCAGCACCTCTTAACAGTCCCTGGCCCACAGGAGATATCTGATAAATAATTTTTCAATGTTGAAAGAATAAATGAACTTTGAAAAATTGGGAATATAACACAAAAGCATAATCCAGTGGAGGAAGTTAAGTCTGCGGAAGAAGGTTCCAGCGAGAGGTCCTGATGGTATGAGACATGATCATGTATGAGCTGCAAAGCAGAAGCTTGTTAAAATTCACAAAGGTGCCACAGGTCTCTTGCGTTTAAACTTTCACATTTAACTGACAGAACAGGGCTTCTGTGCTCACTTGCACATGACTTCTTTCTTGCAGGCTGTTTCTTCATCTGAGCATCTTACTTTACTTAAACTGTAATTCCAAAACCGCTTGGTTATCTGATTTTTTAGCTCTAATAGATCAGAAGTTAGAATTAGAATGGCTTCAGAGGAGCAAGCACACTAGTTTAGAGACAGTCTGGCGGCCAATATGCTGACAACCAGGAAAAAGAAAATAAAGCAGATACCCAAAAAAAGCACAGAGATCTGGTATCATTTCGTTTCAATTCAAATATATCCAAATACACACACACACACACACAAACACACACACACAATCTCCTGTGAAAGTTTTGCTATTTCAGGACAGTTACTAATTTTCATAATGATGACATTTCATCAAGAAAAGCTTAGATTGTGTTCTGTAGACTGTGCTTAAAAGAAACAAAAAGCTGTATCAACCTTTATTAATTTCCACAAGATTATAAATTTAAAAGTTTGGTAATTTAAGAGGACAAAGTAGTTAGCTGGAAAATTCAGTTATGTAGAATACCCAGCCCCTGGAGATGATACCTTTTTGGGTTTTACTTTGAGGGCCTATTATGTGACAGGAGCCACAATAAGTCCTTGGTTTTTCTGGAATCCTCTCAACAACTCTCACAAAACTATAACCATTCCTATTTTCTAGATTAGAAAACTTGAGGTCAAAGAGGGTAACTGTATCTCCAAATCAGAGACACTGAAAATGGTACACCTGGGAATCAAACTCAGGTGTACGACTACAAATCACATGCTCTTTTTTTTTTGGAGACGGAGTCTCGCTCTGTCGCCCAGGCTGGAGTGCAGTGGCATGATCTCGGCTCACTGCAAGCTCTGCCTCCTGGGTTCACATCATTCTCCTGCCTCAGCCTCCCGAGTAGCTGGGACTACAGGCGCCCGCCACCACACCTGGCTAATTTTTTGTATTTTTAGGAGAGATGGGGTTTCACCGTGTTATCCAGGATGGTCTCCATCTCCTGACCTCGTGATCCGCCCGCCTCGGCCTCCCAAAGTGCTGGGATTACAGGCATGAGCCACCGCGCCCAGCCTACATGCTCTTTCTTCATAGCGAGCTGCCTTCGTATCACTAATTAACTCAGGGAAGTGAAGTATTAAGCACCCTTGGTGAAAAAAATGAGACATCTTAGAGGACAACAGAATTCAGCATGGCTCTCCAAAGCCATGAGCCAAGAATCCAAAACTGTATTTGCCACCCTTTTTATTATACTCTCTGTATTTCCTGTGGCTTAAAAGATTGAATGCCTATTTGTGATAGTCAAATAATTCACTATTATCTATTAATGTTATGGATTTACCATGCACTAACTCTCAAATATTTTCTTTACCTTTTATTCTTCAGTCAATGAAAGATAAAAAATCATTCCATTATAAAGCAAGAAATGTGGGACATTCAAATAAATGTGGGTGATATGGGTGAAGCCAAAACTAATTGGTGAAGGAACACCAAAATTTAGATGTCTCCATGGAAATTCAACTTTTTGACAGTGTTGTCATTCAAATGTCACCACTTTTTTTGTTGTTTTGTTTTAGTTCCATATGAGAAAGACACTTTTCAGACATAACTCTCTGGTAAGAAGTAACAAGATATTTCAGGCTAGAGATACATGTTCTCCTTTTATAACATAAGAAATCATATTACCAAATAGAACAAAACGATATTTTATTTTGCCTTATGCTTATGTAAAATTTCATGTAAAATTCCAACTTACCATATCTGTGCTAAAACAGGTTGAGGTAACCCAGATTGAAAAAAAAAGTTTCTAGCTTGATCACCTGTAAATTAAACAGAAAAAGTTTCAGGAAAAAAAAAAAAAAACAACAGCTGACAGAAATCCTGTAATAGCAAAATTACAAAATTTACAAAGAGGCTGGTAATACTATAAATACCAGTTGAGTGCATTATAAAAGTCCAAGGATAAGCCCATAGGCAACAGTAAAAGAATCCATCAGCACTGACTTTAGAATTCAAAAAATCATCTCAAAAAGGGCCTACCATTTCCTGGCATAGATTTTCCACTTTAATTAATCTGCTATTAACTAAGATATGAACAGCTACCCATTGTGCAAAAGCACATTTATAGAAATCCTTAGGAAACTGATGACCCATACTTTCACTTTATAAAAAAAGTTATTTGCCATTCCCAATACCTATACTCCAAATTCTGGGTACTTCTGAAGTATTTACAGAGAATAAATAACAATGATTAAGAACGACACCTGAGGTCAGAAGTTCAAGACCAGCCTGGCCAACATGGTGAAGCCCCATCTCTACTAAAAATATAAAAAATAAGCTGGGCATGGTAGTGGGTGCCTGTAATCCCAGCTACTTCGGAGGCTGAGGCAGGAGAATCGTTTGAAACTGGAAGGGGAGGTTGCAGTGAGCCGAGATCACGCCATTGTACTCCAGCCTGGGTAACAAGAGCGAAATTCTGTCTCAAAAAAAAAAAGAAGAAGAAAAAATTAGCTGGGCATGGTAGCAGAACAATTCCCCTGGAAATAAAGATTCCACTTTTTATAAAGTGAATTCTGAAAAATAATCAAACAGGAAAATTAGTTTGTTTATTTTTGAGATGGAGTCTCGCTCTGTCACCCAGGCTGGAGTGCAGTGGCGTGATCTCGGCTCACTGCAACCTCTGCCTCTAGGGTTCAAACAATTCTCCTGCCTCAGCCTCCAAGTAGCTGGGATTACAGGCGCCCACCACGACACCCAGCTAATTTTTTATTTTTAGTAGAGACGGGGTTTCACCATGTTGGCCAGGCTGGTTTGGAACTCCTGACCTCAAGGGATCTGCCCACCTCGGCCTCCCAGAGTGCTGGGATTACAGGTGTGAGCCATTGGTCCTTTGATCTTAACCAATTCCCATAAATTACATGCACAAAACAAGTGGTTTGACATGCACTAAAAATTGCAAACAAGGTATGATTCCATTATGTGTAAAAAAATTGTAAAAGGACAGGCACAAGGTTAGGGCAAAACAGGTAAATGTCTCTCCTTGGTCATATTTGCCCATCTCGTCTTTGCATGATAGAGTTTCCACAGACATCTGCACTACTGATAAGTAAAAATGAAAAAATGCTGACTGTGATTACCAGTAATGAATCCAGATATTGGCTTTAAACTATGGAACTGCTGATCATGCTTCGCTCTTTCCTCTACAGTTATGGCCCAGATATCCAGGCTGCCTAAAATCCAAAGAAAAGACAAACAAATTATTCAGTGAGAAAAGGAAAACAAAATGCTCTCACACACTATTTCCACAGCACTTCAAGATTCTGTCAATGTATTATAAAGACTTGATAAATTCACATCTTCTTGTCCTTGGAAGTTATGCATATAAAGTTAGAAAAGTGTAAAACAGGACACAAAATGTAAGAAACAGAAAGAGAGAGAATGGGAGGGAAAGAAAAGAAGAGGCACACATTCCTTTTTTAGAAACTTGTTTTATAATCCCATAGTTAGCAAGATTATAGTAAATTAATAATTTACTTACATAAACCCAAGCAACAGACTAAATTAACTTAAACCTAAAACTGTACTCTCAAGTGCCTTAAATGCCACAGGCAAAAGTTATGAAAGAAGAAGGTGAGTGTGATAAATATCCATGAAAATCTTTTGGGGGGTGATTAAAATATTAATATATTAGATTGTGGTGATGGCTGCACAACTCTATATAATTTGCTAAAAATTATTATACAACTAAAGCTAGTAAATTTTATGGAATATAAATTATATTTCACTAAAGCTGTTTTTAAAAACAGGTATCTCAGTATGCAGGAAACAGACTTAAAAAAAAAGAAGGGCAGGGGATGTCCTGATATGAAATAATAGCCAAAGAGAATGGGTTTTAGGTTTTCCTTCAGTTTCAGCTCTTAGGCTGACTAGATGTCCACTCACGACTGAGATCTTGCAGACTTTAGTCCTAGGTCTCCTCAAATTGACTAAAATAATTCTAGATTACATACATGAAAGCTTTCAAAAGCTCGGACACCTTCCACAAAACTGGGAATACACAATACGTATGTTTCACACAAAATGTGAATGTGCCCAGCACACCAGCAAAAACATCTAAACATTGCATCTCTCCTCTCTACCGGGTCTGGGATGACACTGACAGATAAAGTAAAAATCCATTCAGTCACTGGAAAAATATTTACTGTGGGGATGAACGGGTGTCCAAGACAGAAATGACCCCTTCCTCACAGGCCTTACAGTTCTGCAACTTCTAGAAGAAATTTTCACTGCCCTGTCAGAATTCATCCCTGTAACTATAAACAAAAACCAGAAATTGTACAGTAATTAAGAAGGGGGACAAAAATAAAATAGAATAACTAGTGATTTTTAAAAGTTTACAGATCTCTGTACCAGAATCCCACGGAGACTTTTACTCTCTTCATGACAAGATTAGACAGCTTCCAAGAGTAATCCGTTAATATGAACTTTTAATAAGTATTTTTTAATAAGTACTTTTTAATAAGTATTTTTGTTAAAAAGTAACTTGGGTGTAAGCAAGAACACTTAACAATTTCCTAATAACATTAGGAAAAATTACCCAAAAAACACATTTTATGCAGACTGATATGTTTCAAACTTATGTTTAGTTTAACTGAAGTAAAACAAACAAAAATGTCATGCTTCAAATCCAGGCTTTGAAAAAGTGTAAATGACCCCATCACTTCAACAAATAACTTGCTGATAAAAAAACAGAGGAGTGGGGGAAAATTCACTAAGAGACTTGGGAAACACATGACCTAATTGCAATGTTTGTATCTTATTTGGATCCCAATTTAAACAAACAAACCATAACAAGAAATGTCTAAAGACTATCAGGGAAATGTCCAAAGACTATAAGGTACAGACTAGATGTAGCGAACATTTTACAGGTACAATAATATGGTATTGTTTGTTTGTTTGTTTATTTAGAGATGGAGTCTTGCTCTGTCGCCCAGGCTGGAGTGCAGTGGTGCGACCTCGGCTCACTGCAACCTCCGCCTCCCGGGTTCATGTCATTCTCCTGCCTCAGCCTCCCAAGTAGCTGGGACTACAGGTGCCTGCCACCACGCCCGGCTAATTTTTGTATTTTTCATAGAGACAGGGTTTCACTATGTTGGCCAGGCTGGTCTTGAACTCCAGACCTCAGGTGATCCACCAGCCTCGGCCTCCCAAAGTGCTGGGATTACAGGCGTGAGCCACCATGCCCGGCCCGGTATTGTAAATTTTTATAGATGTGATAATGGTACTGAAGTTATGTCTTTAAACGTTTTCTTATCTTTTAGGTACACATACTAAAATATTTATAGATGAAATGATGCCTGGGAGTTGCTCCAAAAGAATCCAGATGAAACAATATTGGGCATGAGTTGATAATTAATGAAACTATATGATGGAATACATGAATGCTGATTATATTATTTTCTCTACTTTTTAATTTTAAATTTGCCATAATATCAAGTTTTTAAAATCTGGTCCCAAAGTACATTAAAAAGAGAAATTTCTGAAAACTTACCACCAAAAGGTGTTGGAAACTGAGCCATGGTTCTGTTACTTTTACCTTGCTAATCGACGCCTGTAAGTGAAAATGCAACATTTAAGTTTATGAAAACTTAATTCCTGTATAATCATAAACACACCAACATGCTATCTTTAATGGTCAGAGGACTAATACTAGAGCCAGAGCATAGCTCTACAATTAAGGAATTCATTCATTCACGTGTTACTTTTTAAGTATACAGTTGTCCCTCATTATCCCAGGAACACTGGTTCCAAGACCTCCCATGGATTAAAAAAAAATCCGTGGATCCTCAAGTCCCTGATATAAAATGGCACAGTATTTGCATATAACCTAAGCACGTCCTCTTGCATACTTCAAATAATCTCTAGATTACTTACAATATTTAATACAAGGTAAATGCTATGTAAACAACTGTTATTCTGTAAGCTTAAAAGTCTGTACATGTTTAGTATAGACATAATTTCTTCCCCCAAATGTTTTCAATCTATGGTAGGCTGAACCTATGGACTCTGTGAAACCCATGGATACGGAGGGCTGACTGTACCTTTTTCTTAACCATCTATAATTACCAGTCCATCTACTTGATGGTTATAATCAAAGCTTCTTTTCATTGAGCATTTAGTACATGCTACACATTATACTAGGTAATTTATTATAGGTCTTATCTCTTCTACTCATCATCACAGCCCTGTGAGATAGGTTACCATTATTACCATCCCCATATTATGGATCAGGTAAATGAAAATCAGAAAGGGTACGTGATTAGCACGATATCATTCGTTTGGTGACCAAACGCTGTGGAGTTAGCTGTCCTGCTAACTCCATATCCTGTAAACAATGCATATTACACTAACATCTGTCCCAGACTACCAAACACAAATCTAATGCTCCAAAAATCTCCATCAGGCATTATTTATTCATCAACAGCCGATGTGAAAAAAAGCCAGTCCTCTTCTCTAACTAAAAACAAAAATCCAGATTTAGGGCCGGGCGCAGTGGCTCACGCCTGTAATCCCAGAACTTTGGGAGGCCAAGGCGGGCGGATCACAAGGTCAGGAGATCGAGACCATCCTAGCTAACACGGTAAAACCCCATCTCTACTGGAAACACACACACACACAAAAAAAATTAGCTGGGCGTGGTGGCGGGCGCCTGTAGTCCCAGCTACTCGGGAGGCTGAGGCAGGAGAATGGCGTGAACCCAGGAGATGGAGCTTGCAGTGAGCCGAGATTGCACCCCTGCACTCCAGCCTGGGTGACTTAGCCAGACTCCGTCTCAAAAAAATCCAGATTTAGTGAATATTTTTCCTTACGTTTAATTTAACAGGGTAAATGCACAGTTAAAAATGAGTATTGACTGGGCACAGTGGCTCACACCTGTAATCCCAGCACTTTGAGAGGCTGAGTCGGGCAGATCACTTGAGTCCAAGAGTTCAAGATCAGCCTGGGCAACATGGCAAAACCCTGTTTCTAGTAAAAATACAAAAATTAGCCAGGCGTGGTTGCATGAGCCTGTAGTCCCAGCTACTCAGGAGGCTGAGGTGGCAGAATAACCTGAGCTCGGGAGGTCAAGGCTACAGTGAGCTAAGACGGTGTCACTGTACTCCAGCCTGAGCAACTGGAGAGAGACCCTGTCTCAAAAACAAAAATTAAAAAAAAAAAAAGAATGAGTACTAAATACTCACAGATTTAAAATCTTAAATTTAAATTAAAAAAAATGAGTCTCTTGCCCTAATACATCTCAATTTCATCTTCCAATTTGTCCACAGAAGTTTTTTCCAACTATCACATTTTTAAATTTCCAAAAGCACTTTCTTGTTCTCTGTTCTTCTGTTTCTTGGATCATTGGATTCCTCTGGGTTCCTTTTTTGTTCATTGGCTCATTGACTGGGTCTCTTTCACTTTTTTTTTTTTTTGAGACGGAGTCTTGCTTTGTTGCCCAGGCGATCTCAGCTCACTGCAACCTCTGCCTCCCAGGTTCAAGCAATTCTCTTGCCTCAGCCTCCTGAGTAGCTGGGATTACAGGCTCGCCCCACCATGCCCGGCTAATTTTTGTATTTTTAGTAGAGATGGAGTTTCACCATGTTGGCCAGGCTGGTCTCGAACTCCTGACCTTGTGATCCGCCTGTCTCGGTCGTCTCTTTCACTTTTAAGGTTTTCCTTGTATATCTAGTGGTCCCTGGATGCGCCTCCATATTTAATAATGAGGCACTAAAAAACTGCCCAAGCTCAGCGTGGGTGGCAAGCTTGTTGACTGATGGGCTTCTCTGTAAAATGATCAGGTATATTGAGTTACCTTTTCATTGGGACACCTCCAAATGTTCAGTAATGTGGAGGTTTCTTCACCGAAGCTGTTAAGTTTTGCCAGGTAGAACGAACTGCTGGGTGGGGTGTGAAGGGATCAACTCATCTAAGTGCTGCCTTGAGGAGGAGTGAAGAAGGAAGGAGGTAGGGCCCTACACTTCAGTGTGCAGACCTGTACAGGCTCACTTGACTTTCAATCCCGTGCTTCACCTCTCTAGTCTGGAGCACTTCCGGTTCTAGCGCTCCTCCCATTTCCCCAGCAGACGGGACTGAAGTAGTTACCCATCTGCTGGAGTGTAGGAGAGGAAGGTCTAAGAGATCTGGATATGGACTTTTAAGGAATTTCCACTGTGAGCTGTAAAACTGACTTCAGCCTTTTGGAATACGTGGAGCCCCCAAGCACAAGGAACTCTCTCAAGATATCCCTGGGGCATGCTGTTATCTCCATAACTGACCTCTGCAGGTACTTAGGTGGTATCTTTCTCTGTGAACTCAGTTACTACTCCCTCCATTCACTTTCTGTTTTGAAAAATTGTTAAAATCTTTGGTCACTGTCTCCTTTACTGTTATGTTTCTCCTTATGAATTAAGATTTCACTTATTTATGTATTTTATTATTTTATTTATTTATTGAGACAGAGTCTCACTCCGTCCCCAGGCTGGAGTGCAGTGGTGCAATCTTGGCTCACTGCAACCTCCACCTCCTGGGTTCAAGCAATTCTCCTGCCTCTGCCTCCGAAGTAGCTGGGATTACAGGTGACAACACCCCATCTGCCCAGCTATGAATTAACATTTTTAAGCTTCCTTTGAGATTATTGCAGACTTTAGGGAAGGAGAAAACAAGTGTAGTCAAGACACCATATTTAACCAGAGGTTTGTGAATCAGACTACTTCTCACTGTAGATTCCCTTTAGAAATTGCAGCTGCCTTTCTTTTCCTCGACAATTTCTCATTCAATATATTGTATAGGCAACCTTGATAATTCTCTTGAACATTTTAGTGTGTTTTATCTCACTTAGTCCTCATAAAATCCTTTTGGAATCAACATGTCATATATCTTTTTGTAGAGTTTCCCAAAAATGGTAAGCTCTGGATTTTAAATGCATAGTAAAACAGATATTTAATATATATGAGAATACATTCTGTTCATTCAGTTTTACTTCCATTTTTTTACTGTGTTGCAAAATAAAGAGGTTATTGATTTCTCTTCTTTGTATCCAGCTACTTTACCATACTTTCTTATTAGTGCTAATAGTCTCACATATGAATCTCTTTAGATTTCCTAGACCTATATTTTCTGGAAATAAAGAATTTAGCCTTACATTACTAGCCCAAAGCAATAATACTAAGCTATACAAAATAGTTGTGATAGCAATAATTTTTGTATTGCCTGTGACTTTCACAGTGACAGTTTTGGTATTTCATATTTTAATAGGTTGGTTTGTTGTTGTATTTTAGTAAAGATTATTTACCATATTTATGTAGTTTCCTTCTATTCCTATTTTTTATAATTTTATTAAGAAATGGCTAAATTTTTTTCAGAAGCTTTCTTTAAGCATCTAGTGAGATAATGAATTTCTCCTTTACTTACATTCTGAATTATAGTGACATATTTGCAAATACTGAATTATCCTAGAATTTGTACAATAGACCAATTCATATATGCATGTTATTCTTTCACTACACAGCTAGGTTTGATTTGCTAATATTTTCTTTAAGCTTTTTGTTTAAGAAAATGTTATACATAATACTATGCAACAAATGGCAAATCCAGAGGAAATGCATGCATTTCTACCTTCCTATAAATCTCAAAAATTATCTTAGGAAAAAATGATTTTATGAAGTTAGCATTAGCTTAATACTCAACTATGATACTGAAGGCATTAAAATAGACCATTTTTACTTATAGATATAGATATAGATATAATAATTTTATGCCTTACTTTAAATATTTCACAGCTACTATGAGAGGATCACAGCAAACATAAATATAACTCTTATGATTTCAAATATACTTGTAGTCATTATCAGTTCCTGACAAAGCACCTAAGACTATTTGTTATTTACCATGCTACTCTAGAACTTAGGAAATAATTCTCACCCTAGGTGAATCTCTACCCTCCAAAAGCCTTCACCTCACTATGACTAATATTAGACTACATTTACCTTCTGGCCCTTCTGACCTCCAACTCTACTTCTCCTTCATCTGTATCTCTTAAGTGACAACCAAAGGGACTCCACGTTCTCTCTCTTTCCCTCCCCAATTAAAGCCCGATTTCTTTAGTGTCATGTTCTCAGCTGGATGTGAACAAGGAATCTACCTAATGAAAACTAAATTATGTTTATGTATGAATGAAGATGTACCTTTCAGGTTTATTCACTAACACAATAGCCAAATTATGGCTTAAAGATGAGGCTGGGCCAGGGGCGGTGGCTCACGCCTGTAATTCCAGCACTTTGGGAGGCCAAGGCGGGTGGATCACGAGGTCAAGAGATGGAGACCATCCTGGCTAACACGGTAAAACCCCGTCTCCACCAAACAAAAAATTAGCCCGGTGTGGTGGCACATGCCTGTAGTCCCAGCTACTCAGGAGGCTGAGGCAGGAGAATTGCTTGAACCCGAGAGCCGGAGGTTGCAGTGAGCCGAGATAGCGCCACTGCACTCCAGCTTGGGTGACAGAGCAAGACTCCGTCTCAAAAAAAAAAAAAAAAAAAAAAAAGATGAGGCTGGAATGTTCCCAGGTAATTTTCTTCCAACCACAGGTCTTTCCAATGCCAATCACAGCGAGGTTCTCCTTGGCTCCTAAGGAACCCCAGACAATAGTAGAAACATGTAGATGAAGCAACATCTTTCAATCACATCTCCTTTTGTGTTCTATGCTACCTGGACAGACCATGGAGATGACATCTTGGCTTAAGGTGTTTTGTCCTACCATTATATATGCTTGCTGTATGAATTACTACAATTTGAAAAAAATATAGTAATTTGTAAAAGGCTACCATGTTGAGACCGGGAGTGGTGCTCACGCCTGTAATCCCAGCACTCTGGGAGGCCGAGGCAAGCAGATCATGAGGTCAGCAGATTGAGACCATCCTGGCTAACATGGTGAAACCCCGTCTCTACTAAAAATACCAAAAAAAAT
Source organism: Homo sapiens (assembly GCF_000001405.40). Taxonomy (NCBI): domain Eukaryota; kingdom Metazoa; phylum Chordata; class Mammalia; order Primates; family Hominidae; genus Homo; species Homo sapiens. The sequence continues at coordinate 33,713,405 of NC_000021.9, read as the reverse complement.
TAGCCAGGCGTGGTGGCGGGCGCCTGTAGTCCCAGCTACTCGGGAGGCTGAGGCAGGAGAATGGCGTGAACCTGGGAGGCAGAGCTTGCAGTGAGCCTAGATCGTGCCACCGCACTCCAGCCTGGGAGACGGAGCAAGACTCCGTCTCAAAAACAAAAACAAAAAAAGGCTACCATGTTGAAAAAGAATAATCACATATCCAACACATTAAATAATGTCACAAAACCTGGTCAGGCACGGTGGCTCCCACCTGGAATCCCAGCACTTTGCGAGGCCAAGGCAGGCGGATCACTTGAGGTCAGGAGTTCGTGACCAGCCTGGCCAACATGATAAAACCCTGTCTCTAATAAAAATACAAAAATTAGATGGGCGTGGTGGTGGGCACTCGTAATCCCAGCTACTCAGGAGGGTGAGGCTCAAGAATCGCTTGAACCCAGGAGGCAGAGGTTACAGTGAACCGAGATCCTGCCACAGCACTCCAGCCTGGGCAGCAAGAGCAAGACTCAGTCTCAAAAATAAAAATAAAATAAAATGTCACAAACCAGAGTTCTGCTTCTGCTATAGCAGACAGAACACAAAATGTAACTATAATACTTGAGGACAATAAGAAGTAGACAAAAGCAGGCAGATTTGGGAGGTGAGTAAAAAGTTTCTAAAAAGTTTCCTTTCCATGGAGTAAAAACTTTCTTTTTTGTCTTTTCTCTACAACTCTGCCCCACAGGTGGGCCCCAGTCAGGGAGCTATGCAGTGAAGCACAGGTGCAGAGACTAAAACTCCAACAGAAACACGGTCTTTGTGGTTAAAGGAACTAATGAAAAAGGCACCTGTGGGCTGTAAAGTGTGGGGAAAACCAGAGAGGAAAGAAGGTAGAAATGGGACCTGCCATTGTGTGAATTAACTCCCGCTTGTCTTAGGCTCACACCTGAGATATGGATATGCACGGCAGGCTCAAAGAAGCACAGCACTCACTGGTCTTGAAAACTGAACTGAGAAAGGAACCCCTGTCCACAGACAGCATAGAGAATTTATAGTCTGGTATATAACCAAGGCAGATCTAACCAAGTTAGATACCTACTGAAACAAACAGCATTCTGCAGAGGATTACAACAGCACACAACATCTATACAACATGAAACTCACAATGTCCAGGATATAATCCAAAACTACTGGACATACAAAGAAGTAGGAAAATCTGACAAATTCTTAAAAAAAAAAAATTGCAATCAACAGATGCCAACTCCAAGACAATGAAAATGTTGAGATTATCACACAAAGACTGTAGAACAGCCATTACACCTACTTTCCATGAGGCAAACACAAACACAAATGCATGGAAAGATACAAGTTATCAGCAGAGAAAGAAAAACTAGTTTAAAAAGAATCAAATGAAAATTTTAGAGAGAAGCTGAGATCTTTAAGAATGAAAGCAGAGCAAAAGAAATGGCAAACATCTGAGTAAATATAAATTTATTTTTCCTATTAGGGTCTTTAAAATATGTAGACTGTTGAAAGCAAATACTGTAACACTGTGTAGTAGGGTTTCAACATAAATATAACACATATGACAACTGTAACATAAATGTCTCTGGGGGGAGGGTAAAGGGACTTTTATGGCTGCAAGCCTTCTACATTCTATGTGAAGTGATAAAATATTAACTCTAAGCTGATAATAAAAGGTTAAGTAAATATATTTACTACCTGGAGCAATTACACAACACACACACACACACACACACACACACACACACACACAACACACAGAAAAAGACATAGCCAAAAAGTCAAGAGGCAAATGAAAATGGAATGTTAAAAATCCAAAGATGTCAAGAAAAAAGAAACAGAAGAAAGAAAGAAAAAAAAACAGAAAGGACAAACAAAACCAGTAATAGGAAGATGGCAGGTCTAATTCCAACAACCGATAATTACATTAAATGTTAGTAATCTAAACAATAACAGAAAAAAACTTGGAAAAAGAAATGTAAACCAACAGTAAGTAGAAGAAAGGAAATTACAGTGATATGGCAGGATGAATAAAAATGCAGACAATAGAGAAAATTACAAAATCAAACTTTGGTTCTTTGAAAAAAAAAATTTACAAACCTCGAGCTAGATACAGAGAGAAAAAAAAATCGTAGAAATAAGGGGCATCCCCATCAATCCTACAAACATTTAAAAAATAAGAAATAGTAAAAAGCCTTATGCCAATAAATTTGACAGTGTAGATAAAAGAAACAAATTTCTTGGAAAATAAAGCTTACTAAAATTGATACGAGAATGTGAATACTCTTATATTTATTAAAGAAGCTGATTTTATCATTAAAAACCTTCCCCGGCCAGGCGCGGTGGCTCATGCCTGTAATCCCAGCACTTTGGGATCACGAGGTCAGGAGATCGAGACCATCCTGGCCAACGTCTCTACTAAAAATACAATAATTAGCTGGGTGTGGTAGCACGCGCCTGTAGTCCCAGCTGCTCAGGAGGCTGAGGCAGGAGAATCACTTGAACCCAAGAGGCGGAGGTTGCAGTGAGCCGAGATCGCAGCACTGCACTCCAGCCTGGCGACGGAGCAAGACTCCGTCTCAAAAGAAAAAAAAAAAAAACAAAAAACTTCCCCCAAAAGAAAGCCATAGTCTGTTTCACTGGTGAATTCTTTCAAAGAAGAAATAATACAAAAATTATGAAAAGTTTTACAAACAAAAAAAAAGGAGATCACTACCCACTTCACTTTTTTAGGTCATACAACTATAATACCAAAACCTCACAGACGTTACAAAAAATAATAGAACAAGATCCCTAAAGAATACAGATACAAAAATCATTCACAAAAATTAAAAATTGAACATCAATATTATATAAAAAGGATACTAAAATATAACCAAATAGTTTATCCTAGAAATGGCAAGATTAAACCATTCAGAAAATGTAATATACTATATTAGCAGAATAAAGCAGAAAGCCCATATGATCATGTGAACAGATATTTTTTTAAAAGCTTCTGACAAAAACGCAACATCCAATCATGATTAAAAAAAACCAGGCCGGGTGTGGTGGCTCACGCCTGTAATCCCAGCACTTTGGGACGGGCGGTTCACGAGGTCAGGAGGTCGAGACCATCCTGGCTAACACGGTGAAACCCCGTCTCTCCTAAAAATACAAAAAATTAGCCAGGCGTGGTGGCCGGTGCCTGCAGTCCCAGCTACTCGGGAAGCTGAGGCAGGAGAATGGCGTGAACCCGGGAGGCAGAGCTTGCAGTGAGCCGAGATCATGCCACTGCACTCCAGCCCGGGTGACAAAGCGAGACTCTGTCTCAAAAAAAAAAAAAAACAAAAAAAAATGCCTCTCAGCAAATTAGAATTAGTAGGAAACTTCTACAAACAGATATAGGGGATCCATGAACAACCTACATCTAACATCACAGTTAACGGTTAAAGACTGAATTTCTCAGCCTGAGATCAGGAAGAAGACAAGGATATCTGCTTTTACCACTTCTGTGCAACACTGATATGGAGATTACTCAATAAAGTAATAAGACAAGAAAAACAACAAGCAAAAAATAGGCATGAAGATTGGAAAGTAAAAATAAAGCTCTCCTTATTTACAGATATCACTATTTATATAGAAAATCCCAGAGAATCTAGAAAACAATAACTATATTCAATAAGTGAATTTAACAAAACTGCAGGATAAAAGGTTAATGTATTAAAATGAACTGAATTCTTAAATACTAGCAAGCAAAAAATTGGAAAGTGGAATTAAGAAAAACAACTGTTTTACAGTAGCATCAAAATATGTAAAATTTCTAAATGTAAATTTAACAAAAGACAGGCTGGGCGCGGTGCCTCACGCCTGTAACCTCAGCACTTTGGGAAGCCAAGGCGGGTGAGTCACCTGAGGACAGGAGTTCGAGACCAGCCTGACCACTAAAAATACAAAATCAGCCAGGCATGGTGGCACATGCCCGTAATTCCAGCTACTTGGGAGGCTGAGGCATGAAAATCGCTTGAACCCGGGAGGCCCAGCCTGGGCAACAAGAGTGAAACTCCGTCTCAAACAAACACACAAAAAAACATATACAAGGCCTCTACACTTAGAACTACAAAATATTGCGAAGAAAACTTAAAGAAGACCTAAATAAATGGTACTAAGATACTAAGTTCATGGGTTGAAAGATTAAATACTGTGAAAATGCCATTCTTTCCAAAGGGTTTGTATATTCAATGCAATCCCAATCAAAATTGCAGCAGGCTTTGTGGCAGAAATCGGCAAGCTGATAGTAAAGACCTAGAATAAGCAGAGCAACTTTTTAAAAGAACAAAGTTGAAAGATTTACCCTGATTTCAAGATTTACTATAAAACAACAGTAGTCAAGGCCTTTTGGGATTGGTGTAAAGAGACAGATCAATAAAACAGAAAAGAAGAGTTCAGAAAGACCTACCCGTTTGGTTAACTGATTTTTGGCAAAGTTGTAAAGACAAATCACTGGAGGAAAAAAGTCTTTCAACAAACAAAGTGGATCAACTGGATATCCAGGTGGGGAGAAAAGCCAACACTGACACTTTACATAATACACAAAAATTAATTCAAAACGGGTCCTAGGCCTAAATGCAAAACCATATATGCTTCATATAAAAATCTTAAAAGATGGGAGAATATCTTCCTGAACTTAGGCTAGGCAATTTCTCAAAACACAAGGAAGCATGATTTATAAAAGAAAAAATTAGGCCGGGTGCGGTGGCTCACGCCTATAATCCCAGCACTTTGGGAGGCCAAGGCGGGTGGATCACCTGAGGTCCGGAGTTCCAGACCAGCCTGACCAACATGGAGAAACCCGTCTCTACTAAAAATACAAAATTAGCCGGGCGTGGTGGCGCATGCCTGTAATCCTAGCTACTCTGGAGGCTGAGGCAGGAGAATGGCCTGAACCTGGGAGGCGAAGTTGCTGTGAGCCGAGATCGCGCCATTGCACTCCAGCCTGGGCAACAAGAGCAAAACTCCATCTCAAAAAAAAACAAAAAAGAAAAAATTAGTAAACTGGGCTTCAAAGTAATAAAAAAAACAAAAAAACAGTTCTTCAAAAGATAACCCTTATGAAAACAAAAAAGCAAACCACAAAGAAAACACTTACTTGCAACACATACATTAGAAAAAGTACTTGTATCCACAATATCTAAAGAACTCTTACAATTTAAGAATAAGACAGCTCAGTGAGGAAATGGCTGAGATGTAAAATAACTTCTAGAAATGGGCAATAAACCCATGAAAAGATGTTCAACATTATTAATCATCAGGGAAATGCAAACTAAAATCACACTGATATGCCACTATATTTCCACTAGAATGGCTAATATGAGAAAGAATGACCACATCTAGTGTTGGTGAGGATGTGGAACAGCTCTACACACTGCTGAGAGGAATGTAAAATTGTACAAACTTTTAAAAATATAGTTTTCTTAAAACATTACACAGCTACCACTCCACCTAGCCACTCTACTTCTAGGTATTTGGTTAAGAGAAATGAAAATTTATGCCCACACAAAGATTTCTATACAAATGTACTATCAAGCTTTATTTTTAAGAGCCAAAAACTGAAACCCAAATGTCAATCAACTGATCAATGAATAAACAAATGATGATCTATCCATCCAATGAAATGCTACTTGGCAATAAAAAGTAACCAACTGTTACACAGGCAACAACATGCGTGAATCTCAAAATTATTATGCTAAGTGAAAGAAGTCAGATTAAAAAAGAAGTATATATCTATGATTCCACTTCCAGAAAAATTCTAGAAAATGTAAACTAATTATAGTGACAAAAACCCCATCAGTGGTTTCCTGAAGATGGGAGGAGAAGAAAGGACACAAAACAGAGAGGCACAAGAACCTTTTGGGGGAACAGAAGTGTTTGCTCTCTTGGGAATGATGATTTCACAGGCATATGCTCATGTCAAAACTAACCAAACTGTACATTTTTAAATATACACATTTAAAGTGCAGTGCCTCACATCTGTAAAGTGCTTTGGGATGCCAAGGTGGGAGCATCACTTTAGGCCAGGAGTTCAAGACTAGCCTGGGCAACATAGTGAGACCCCCCAACACACACAAAAAATAAAAAATTGAAAAAACATAAAAAATAAGTATATGCATTTAGTACACTTCAATTACATGTTAATGAAGTTGAAAAGAGAGCCACAAGCCACAAAGAAAAGACTAAGTATGAGTCAAGGGTACAGCATTCCTAACAGTTCACTATAAACTAGCATATCTATGTTGATGGAATTCACATCTCTCCCCCAAGAGACATAGCAATTCTTGATATGCCTCAACACAGATTTTAACTTTTAAAAAATATCTCGTTTAAGCTCAAGTTAAAAACTGAATTGAGGCCAGGTGCAGTGGCTCACACCTGTAATCCCAGCACTTTGGGAGGCCGAGGCGGGTGGATCACTTGAGGTCAGGAGTTCAACACCAGCCTGGCTAACATGGTGAAACCCCATCTCTACTAAAAATACAAAAATTAGCTGGGCGTGATAGCGCACGCCTGTAACCTTAGCTACTCGGGAGGCTGAGGCAGGAGAATCACTTGAACCCAGAAGGCAGAGGTTGCAGTGAGCCAAGATTGTGCAACAGCACGCCAAAAAAAATAAATAAATAAATAAACAAATAAAACCTGAATTGAAAGGATAGAACAAATGGTGTGGACTGTAAGGCTTCTGAGCAAGTTAAGTGGCAGATCTCAGATTGTGAATAGGAATCCTGAATGACATTATTTACTAAAGCTGACAAAAAGAAAATTTCTTTTTAAAAAAGGTTTTCTAATAGAAGTGAGGTAGGGTGAAGCATAGTCTATGTTGAATCCAAAATGCTTTACTGGAAAATACTAATTACTCATTTTAAGGTCAATATATCCAGTGTTTTTTTTTTTTTGGTAATAAATGCCTTTTATTAAAATTCTAAGATCAGTGCTTTTCCAAATACCTTTATGACCAAGTAACAAATAACAGCTATACTCTCATTTTAAATTTCATATAAGTGGGGAAAATGTCTGGAAAGTATAAAATATGAGGTATTCTTTAAAATGCCATCAATTAAAAACTTGGTGGCTCATGCCTGTAATCCCAGCACTTTGGGAGGCTGAGGTGGGCAGATCACTTGAGGTCAGGAGTTCCAGACCAGCCTGGCCAACATGGCGAAACCCCATCTCTACTAAAAATAGAAAAATTAGCCAGCATGGTGGCACATGCCTGTAATCCCAGCTACTCGGGAGGCTGAGGCAGGAGAATCACTTGAACCCAGGAGGCAGAGGTTGCAGTGAGCTGAGATTACACCACTGTACTTCCAGCCTGGGTGACAATAAGTATATGAACAAAATTCAAATATAAAAGATGATATGAAACTTCACAGACATCAGTGTTTGATTTGTATGAATAAATATATATACTTCAAGAGGCAAGTTATAAAGGGCTCCAATATGAGTAGGCTTTCAGAAAAAAAATTAAAGCTGCTTTTACTGCCATAACTCACTAAATATATAGTCAAAATGAAACATCAATTTAGAATGATAGGAGAAATGAACTTCAGTACCTCCATTTCTAAAGGAAGAGCATTTGACTGAATATTTTATTAAGGTCTTTCCATTTAAACTTCTGGAGTATATTTTAGATTAAGCAAAATTTTCAAATGTTAAAAAGAGAATTGAAAAAAATGTAGGTTTTAGCCAGGTGCAGTGGCTCACGCCTGTAATCCCAGCACTTTGGGAGGCTGAGGCGGGCGGATCATGAGGTCAGGAGATCAAGACTATCCTGGCTAACACAGTGAAACCCTGTCTCTACTAAAAATACAAAAAAAAAAATTAGCCGGGTGTGGTGGCAGGCACCTGTAGTCGCAGCTACTCGGGAAGCTGAGGCAGGAGAATGGTGTGAACCCAGGAGGCAGAGCTTGCAGTGAGCTGAGATCGTGCCACTGCACTCCAGCCTGGGTGATAGAGCGAGACTCTGTCTCAAAAAACAAATAATAAAGAAAAAATGTAGGTTTTAATTTTTGAGTCAGAGCACTAGCATATTAAATATTTTTCATATTCTTCTTTTTATAATCAGATTATCATTTCTATTTAGAGCTTACTTAAAAATAAACCTTAATATCTTTCCTACATCTTATTAATTTACTCAGGAAAAATTTTTATTTTTATTTCCAGGTACGGTACAAAGCTATACTGATCCAATATAAAAACAACAGGCTGGTTCAGTGATTTTTATCTCCTCATTAAAACATTTTGTCTTTTTTTTTTTTTTTTTTTGAGACGGAGTCTTGCTCTGTTGCCCAGGCTGGAGTGCAGTGGCCCGATCTCGGCTCACTGCAACCTCTGCCTCCCAGGTTCACGCCATTCTCCGGCCTCAGCCTCCCAAGTAGCTGGGACTACAGGCACCTGCCACCACGCCTGGCTAATGTTTTTGTTTGTATTTTTTTTTTTTTTTTTTTTTTTTAGTAGAGATGGGTTTCTCCATGTTAGCCAGGATGGTCTCAATCTCCTGACCTCGTGATCTGCCCACCCTGGCCTCCCAAAGTGCTGGGATTACAGGTGTGAGCCACCGCGCCCGGCCAAGATTGTCTTTACAACTGATTTCGAGGTCCTTATCTCATTCAAATGACAACTTAGCCTTACTCCCGGAATCAAAGATAATAGTCTACAATAACATTATGCCAAAATAATGAAGTCAATTTTGGTGAGGATTTACTGGCATGATCCTTAATAGTAATAGCTTATAATAACGAATGGAAAGTTTAAGTGCTTGCAAGTACACCTGACCTATATTAGCCAATTTAATCCTATTAACAAAGCTATGGACTAAATATTATTAGTATTCCCTCTTCCAGAGACTAAAACACAGTTTATACAGTTATTAAACAATGGAAGAGAGAGTCTGGATTCAGAGCCCATGATGATAACCTCATACTTTTAGGAATACGAACTTCACCAAAGAGGCACAAAGTAGTTAGCCTGGTAAACTAACCAGGGTGAAGCGTGGGTGCAGGGGATACTGTTCCATGCAATAAAGGCACTGGAAAACGAAAGAAGAAAGATAAACCAATTTTTTTTGTAATGTCATAGCAGATCACAGAAACAAAATGGGGGAATTAAGATTAATAGAATGCTGACATATAAGTCCAGTGAGCTTCTACTTCTTACACACAAAAAGGAAAAGCTTCCTGACGTGTAAACATTTACCATATGTAAGCAGGAAGTCACACATTTTTTGAAAATCTAACAGAAAGCCTAGAGCAGTTAAGAAAAGAAAAAAGTGAACGAAATCAGTTCTATCTCTATGAGGGGACTTCAGCAGCATAAGGTAGGTCACCTACGCTGAAAACAAACAGAAACATACCTAGAGAAAAGGAAAGGCATTCTTCTCTCTGAGGTCCCTGGCCCTGTGGCCTAGAAAGCAGGAGAGTTACCCAGGAGTGCAGGAAGCTCAGCCCCAAGCAGAGGCAGCACCTCAGGGCTAAGGGCCCGGAGCTCTTCGGCGAGGAGACAACACACGGAAAAGGGCAGCACCAAGTAGGCAAATAGGCACAGTCCCATTTACTTCTGTTTTACAACAGGGCCTACATCATGATTGCTTACACTTTCCCCCTTTAAAGGTTATAGGTGACAATTGTGGGAAATTTAGAAAACTGAAAAGATAGGTGAAAAAAAAATCCACAATTCCACTCTCCGAAGGCAACCTCTATCAACAGCTTGGTATTTATATTTCCTTTTAGTCTTTTCCCAGTGAAAGTACAATTGTTTCCTTCTTTGCCACACTTTACACAAAATGCATGCTTTCAGCAAGTTATTAAAACCTTTCTAAACATATTGCTGGACCTAGATATTTTATTGAGACAAACACTCCTTATTTAGGTACAAAAAATAGAAAAACATAGAGACTAAGTATTAAGCAATGAAGAAACAGGTAAATAGTTTCTTCAAGTTTGGATAATGTTCAGATTTTTAAACCAAAGCTAGAATATGTTTAAGAAGTCTTTAATCTTTCTTCATTTCAGCTTCAGGAAAAAAGAGCCAATTACAGAAAGTCAAAAGAAAAAATACTGATGATCCTTAATTTTGGCACTTACATTAAAATCCCTAATGTTGATATAGATAAGTAGAAGGCCTCTAATAAACATGTATTTATAAACTAGAATGACCATCCTTAAAACAACTTTATTTCTTTATATATATACGCATATATATTCTTTATATATATATTCTTTCTTTATATATATACAATTTATATATACGTATATATGTGTATACACACACACACACACACACACACACACACAGACAGAGTCTCGCTCAGCCACCCAGGCTGGAGTGCAGTGGTGCGATCTCGGCTCACTGCAATCACTGCAACCACCATCTCCCAAGTTCAAGCGATTTTTCCATCTCAGCCTCCCGAGTAGCTGGAATTACAGGCACCGGCCATCATGCCCGGCTAATTTTTGTACTTTGGTAGAGACAGGGTTTCACCATGTTGGCCAGGCTGGTCCTGAACTCCTGACCTCAGGTGATCTGCCCGCCTCAGCCTCCCAAAGTGCTAGGATTACAGGCGTGAGCCACCGTGCCTGGCTAAAACAATATTTATTAAAATGTCATTTTGCATGATAAAAAAGTATATTGAAACAGATTTGTTATTTCAGTTCCAATGTTTTGCTATCATAAACATGGGAAGATTATTCAGAAAATATGCAACAATTCCAAAAAATAAAAATCAAAACAAAACATAAACAATTAGGGATTTTAGGTTCTAGCACATAAATACTAAGTTGAATAGTTAAAAAGGTAAAATTTAACCATGTGGAATAAAATGTCTAAAGTATTAATTACTGGCATAATTTAAAACTTAACTTTATATCAAATAATTAAACTGTAATTGGTCTTTTAAAACAAGTATGTCATTGTGCTGTTCTTTCAACTTTCCTGAATGTTTGAAAATTTTCAAATTTTTTTGGCCAGGTGCGGTGGCTCACGCCTGTAAACCCAGCACTTTGGGAGTCCGAGGTGGGCAGATCGCCTGAGGTCAGGTGTTCGAGACCAGCCTGGCCAACATGGCAAAACCCCATCTCTACTAAAAATATAAAAATTAGCTGGGTGTGGTGGTGAGCACCTGTAATCCCAGCTACTTAGGAGGCTGAGTGCAGGGGAATCGCTTGAACCTGGGAGGCGGAGGCTGCAGTGACCTGAGATAGTGCCACTGCACTCCAGCCTGAGCAACGGAGCAAGACTCCGTCTAAAAAAAAAAAAAAAAAAAAAAAAAAAAAAAAAAAAAAAAATTTTTTTGTTTGTTTTTTTGTTTTTTGAGAGAGAGTTTCGCTCTTTCGCCCAGGCTGGAGTGAAGTGGTGCAATCTTGGCTCATTGCAACATCCGCCCTCCAGGTTCAAGCACTTCTCCTGCCTCAGCCTCTCCAGTAGCTGGGATTATAGGCACCCACCACCACGCCCAGCTAATTTTTCTATTTTTAGTAGAGACGGGGTTTCATCATGTTGACCAGGCTGGTCTGGAACTCCTGAGCTCAGGCAATCCGCCCACCTCAGCCTCCCAAAGTGCTAGGATTCCGGCCTTTTTTTTTTTGAGATGGAGTCTCGCTCTGTTACTCAGGCTGGAGTGCAGTGGCACAATCTCTGCTCACTGCAGCCTCCGCCTCCTGGGTTCAAGTGATTCTCCTGCCTCAGCCTCCCAAATAGCTGGGATTACAGGTGCGTGCCACCACACTTGGCTAATTTTTTTTTTTTTTTAACAGACACAGGGTTTCACCATGTTGGCCAGGTTGGTCTCAAACTCCTGGCTTCAAGTGATCCACCCACCTATGCCTCTCAAAGTGCTGGGATTACAGGCGTGCGTCACCATGCCCAGCCAAATTTTTTAAAAATTAAAGGGAGAAAAGGCATGTTAAAAATAACAAGCATGCAAGATGAAATGAGGTAATTCAAACATATTTACAGGCCAGGCACAGTGGCTCACACCTGTAATCCCAGCACTTTTGGAGGCCGAAGCAGGGAGATCACTTGAGTCTAGATCAATTTCCCACAACAGTCACAGGAGTTCAAGGCTGTTCTGGGTGACGTGGCAAAACCCCGTCTCTACAAAAAATACACAAAAACTAGCTGGGCGTGGTGGCATGTGCCTATAGTTCCAATTACTTAGGAGTCTAGGGCGGAAGGATTGCTTGAACCCAGGCCTAAGCAAGCCTAATCCATTTATAAATGTTCCATTATATACAAAATACCCTTTCTACCAACAGTAGGTTCTTAACTACTGAGACCAGGCATGCTTTGGTTGTGACTCCAGCAACATGGATTGGTGGCATTGCATGAGCTGAGATTGCACCACTGCACTTCAGCCTGGGAAACAGAGTGAGACCACATCTATAAGAAAACACACACACACACACACACACACACACACACACACACAGAAAAAAGAAATCTTCTACATGTACTACTAATACATAGTCCAGATAATCAGCAAATTTCTAATACACCAAAATAGGCTAATCTAGGCTTAATGACCTAGAGACTAAAAGGTGATTATGAACATACATCATCTGTTTTTCACTTAATTATTGACCATCCCCTCACAAAAATCTTATAATCCTCTTATATAAATGAAGAAACTGGGCCCAAACAATTAGTGACAGGCAAAATTTACAGAAGGGGAGAGTGGAGGCCCAGGCTGTTCAGTGTAAGATGCCACCAACCCGCGCTGCTGGAGTCACAACCAAAGCATGCCTGGTGTCAGTAATTAAGAACCTACTGTTGGTAGAAAGGGTATTTTGTATATAATGGAACATTTATAAACGGATTAGGCTTGCTTTCTCCCTACTACTGTCCATAAAGTCACAGTGTTTCAGCAGCTCTCAACTGTGAACAACTACATCTGTCTCCCTCCCTTCCAAAGTAAGGCAAGATGGCTAGAAGGTATTAGAGGCCAGAGGAGTAAGGACAGCAGAGACCTCTTCATCTTCATATTTAAACAATTCAGGGCCAAGTGCGGTGGCTCACACCTGTAATCCCAGCACTTTGGGAAGCCGAGGCAGGTGGATCACCTGAGGTTAGGAGTTCGAGACCAGCCTGGCCAACATGGCAAAATGCCATCTCTACTAAAAATACAAAAATAAGCCAGGCATGGTGGTGGGCACCTGCAATCCCAGCTACTCGGGAGGCTGAGGCAGGAGAATTGCTTGAACCCAAGGAGGTTTAGGTTGCAGTGAGCTGAGATCGTGCCACTGCACTCCAGCCTGGGCAACAGAGAACAAGACTCCGTCTCCAAAAAAAAACAAAACAACAACAAAAAAAAAACAATTCAAGCAGGGCAGGTGGCTCACACCGATACTCCTAGCACTTTGGGAAGCTGAGGCAGGAGGATCTCTTGAGGCCAGGAATTCAAGACCAGCCTGGGCAACATAGCAAGATGCTGTCTCTACAAAAAACAAACTTAAAAATTGGGTGTGTGGTACATGCCTACAATCCCAGCTACTTGGGGAGGCTGAGGCAGGAAAAAATGCTTTTGTCCCAGGAGTTCGAGGTTGTAGTGAGCTATGATGGCACCACTGGCACTGCAGCCTGGGCGGCAGTCAGACACTGTCTCTAAATAAAATAAAATGAAATTGCCTTTGGGCTTGCTTATTTATTTATTCTATAATTTTTTGAGATAGGACCTGGCTCTGTCACCCAGGCTGGAAAGCAGTGGCACAATCTCAGTTCACCACAACCTCCACATCCAGGGCTTAAGCCATCCTCCTACCTCAGTCTCCCAAGTAGCTGGGACTATAGGTGTGTACCACCACACCTGGCTAATTTTTGTATTTTTGTAGAGACAGGGTTTCACCATGTTGCCCAGCCTGGTCCTGAACTCCTGAGCACAAGCAATCTGCCCGCCTCAGCCTCCCAAAGTGCATGAGGCACCGTGCCCAGCCAGCTGGACTTGTATTTTAACAGGTCTATTTCTAAACCCACTGAATGGTGTCCCTTCCCATCTTCAGACTCATTTATTTGAAACAGATTTTTATTATGGTACTAAGGTAATAAGTGTAATTGATCTTTTATAAATAAATATTTTTAAAAATTTGTTTTAAAGTTGCTCAAAAGGTCTAATTTCAGCTTGAAGAAACTATAGGATAGTAAGATATAGAATACAAGATTAAAATTGGTAGAAATGTGGCATCAATGAAACATTGAGGGGAAAGAAATGTCCAAATGTGGGAGAAACATAAAAATGTGTATATTTTAAATATCTCAAAGGATATAAAAACATCCTCAGAAACATAAAAAAAAATTATCTGATATTTGAGAGTTGTTAGGGTTTCGTTTCAGGTATTAATCTATCTATATCTGTCCTTGATCTAGAAAAACAATTAAAAGATACCCCAAACAAATACTGCCTCCACATATTATCCTTTTAAAGGCTTTGCATCTATAACAATTCAAAATTGGAAAACATTAAAGAAAAATACAAGGAAACCTTTCTCTTATTTAAAATAATCTGCAATGAATGAAAACAACTGGAAGAGCCTATGTCCCTGTTCTATAAGTGAGTCTTATACCAGATTCCTATCTTGAGATGACTCTTAGAGCAGGAAATGAATGAAAAAGAAGAAAGCTGCCCTGTAAGATTACACATAAAGGCAAGAGGTACACAAAGCCCTTTTAAAACACAGAGAAAAGGTACTGAAAGCGAGACAAAAAATGGACAAAGGAACTGACAAATCCCAAACATATAGCCAACCTGATCAATGCCCTATTGTCATGTCTGAAGCCCTGAGCCTCAAATGTGGCTTCTACATGTGCTATTTGAAGTAGAAGAACAAGATGACCTAAAAGGGATATGCAGCTTGTTCATAAGTAATATTTTAAAACTGCATAAAGGATAAAGAACCTGATAAAAAGAAGAATCTTATTACTAAAACTGAAAAAGGTCATTGTCCACATTATATCTGACAAACTATCATGATCACTCAAGTTGTCCTCTAAATAGGGAACAGGCATTCCTCCCAGAATTTCTGTTGTTGTTAGGGGGGAGTGGCAGCAGGGGATGGGAGGTGAAAAGGAGACACTCAGGAATGACCAGGGTCCAGCAATCACTGTCAGGTACAGCTGTCAGCACATCACTTGGCAACACTCAATGGCATTTCGGACGATTTGTCCCTTTACTCCTGCTTACTTTCCACAAAGAGAAATGTCAGGGTATCTAGCCTGGAGAGCTTCAATAGGCAGATTTTAACCTCAGTTCTTCTAAATCATCCTTACTTTAATATTGGCAGGAAGAGAGAATTCATCAGGGAGCTAATAAAACCAAAACCTAGCTACAACATAAAGGTGAAAAATAAGGGACAGCAATGAAAGACAGGAAAGCAATTCCTGTTCAAGAGATAAATGGAATTAACAGTCCCCTCTTTGAAGCTCTTTTTTCTTCTTCCAGACCACCAACTAACTGCAAAGTAACATCTGAAAAGTTATTATCCATAGTTTGTCTATTTGTTTGGAAAAATCAGATTGTAGAGCCCTACAGATGCAGATAGGAGAGCCATTCATAAAGCTTCAATAAAGTGACTTTATTTCTTCTAGAAGGTTCTATTTTCCAGTGGGTCATCAAGAATAAAACATTATATCAAGTTCCTGAAAGCTAAAAAAGTACTTCCTGGAAAAAAAATATAACTCTAAACAGCAAACAATAATTTTAAGAACCACTGATTGAGATAAGAGCCTTTCAAATCAAAATTTTATTTTAAATATAAGTTATGGAATAGATTCAAATTAACAGCCAAATTAATAATGAGATTGTATAAGTTTAAACTATTTTCAACTCACATACTTTCCAGTCCTCTCAAATATAAATTAATAAGTGATGAAAAAATTAAAATTTCACAAATAATTGCAAACACTTTGTCACATGAAAAAAAAATGTAATGGCCTAGGTTACAGGAAAACAAAATGTTGTCATCTGTGTAATGTAGATATATACAGTCACTAAAGAAGAGATAATCTAGGCTAGGCACAGTGGCTCACACCTGTAATCTCAGTGCTTTGGGAAACCGAGGCAGGCAGATCACCTGAGGTTAGGAGTTTGAGACCAGCCGGGCCAATATGGTGAAAGCCCATCTCTACTAAAAATACAAAAAAAAAAAAAAAAAAATTAGCCAGGTGTGGTCGTGTATGCCTCGGGAGGCTGAGGCAGGAGAATCGCTTCAACTCGGGAGCTAGAGGTTGCAGTGAGCCGAGATCACGCCTCTGCACTCCAACTTGGGCGACAGAGTGAGAATCCGTCTCAAAAAAAAAAAAAAGAGACAATCTAAAAGTTGTCTTCCAAAACTTCCAAATAAAAACTCAAGTTTCAACCATTGCAAAGCCCATACATAAAGGAAAACATTAAAATAAACTTCCATGTTGTAGCATAAGAACTGAAATCACACTTAGTCTTAAGACAATACAGTGCACTAATTTACTACTGTCACCTTTATCTCTGGGTATTTAAATTGTATACCTCTAAATACAGCCAGCAACCAAGCCTGGTATTATCAGCTCATCGGCACGAACAGTGGTTAAAGGTAAGCAGAGAAAAGTTTGAGAGATATGGCCCTTCAGCTTTAGGAAAGAAGAAACTACATAGAAAGTACTAACTGTGTAAAATAACACCATAACACCGAAAAGGGCAAGAAAGTAGGGAAGCCTCCTGCCAGATTTTTAAGCCAGTTTCAACAAAACAGTGCAACAGCTGCAAATGGATGAATTAAATATGGGCTGAAAGACGGTAGTAAAAGAAATGAAATATGCACATACTGTATAAAAAACCATGAGCCAGTAATTATAAAATGCCCTACATTTAAACATATTCATCAAAATTAAATTGGCTACATGTAAGCCTTGATAACGAGTAAGTAACTGAGAATCCAGTGAATACTTCACATGTATGACATCTTCACAGCTTTAGTGCCACAATGGACAGCAAAGACAATAAGATTTTCCTGTCCAATACAACTGAGTCCTTTTGCCAGTTAGAGTTGGTGGAAAACTCAATGGAGAGACTGCTAAGGACTGTTAAGTATTTGCCCAATCAGGAGATAAAGGCAATCTGCACAGGTACATATTGATAAATCTGATCCACACATAGATGCTGGCTACCTCCTGCTACAGCTGAAGATTATTTACCAATGTGTAAAGAATGGGAGAAGTCCAACAACAAAAAAAAAGCCTTACTGCAACATCAATGAAAAGTCACTGGGTATCACGAATGAGAGCAAAGGACAATGCAGTCATTAACAAAAACCAACTGCGCTCTGCTAAGTGACCTAGGGGACTTCTATGCACAAGATTTATCACTACTAGAAGTTTTAGAACTAAAAACCATTCAATAACATTAGCATCACTAAAACACTAAATAGACTGCAGCCAACAGAAAGCCAGACCATTTTAGAAGGCAACAGACAGATGACTCAAATATTTAATCTCACTTCACTTGATTGAGGTGCACTGAAATATATTCAAGCCTGAGGAAAGGGAGAAAAGCTGAAAAGAATCCTGCTGCTGGTCATCTTTCCTGGGGATTTCACTCCTTTTCTTTACATGGATCTGGCTGCACCATTAAAGTACAGAAAAGAACGTTTCTGTTAAAAATCACAAACACACTGAGATCCAAAATAAAAAGAAGAAAATCCTAGATTTCCTCAATTTCTTATTTTCTTTAGAAAGGTTCACCTTCTACCCATAATATAAAAAACTTTCTAAAGGCCCACTTATACTCAAAATGTGTTTGGTTTATAATCTAATTTATTCACAATTCCAGTTTATGTATGTTTGCACATTCAAATTTCACTGTGTTTTAGTTTCACGCTTGCAAAATCCAGCAGAGGTATTAAGCTTTAAAATTCCAAATACCATGGAGAAGATTTTTAAAAGATAACAACTGTTACTGAAGAAAAGTTCACACATTCAATATGTACTTCACTGAATAACATTTCCCTCTCTAACAAAGCTTTTCCTATTTCCTTGACACTCCAACTTTTAAAATGGATCTTATAAAGTTTTTGTCAATTTTATTTGGGAATCTAAACCAGTTTACTTTAGGTCAACCTAGTTCAGAAAGTTTACCACAAGGAAAGAGGTAAGGCCTCAAAATAAATAAGTTTAATACAGATATCTGATATTAATACTGTTAGAGCAAAGAGACCCTCTCTCACACCACTGGTGGGAGGGCAAACTGTTACAACTCCTTTGGAAAGCGTATCATAGGTAAGTATATCAAGAGTAGAAAAAAGTGGCCGGGCACGGTGGCTCACGCCTGTAATCCCAGCATTTTGGGAGGCCAAGGCAGGAGGACTGCTTGAGGCCAGAAGTCTGAGACCAGCTGGGAAAGATGGTAAGACCTCATCTCTACAAATAAAAAAAACAAATACAGAAATCAGCTGGGCATGATGGCACGCACCTGCAGTCCTAGGAACTGCTCAGGCAGGATTGATGGAGCCTAGGAGTTGGAGGCTGCAGAGAACCATGATTGCACCACTGCATTGCAGCCTGAGTGAAAGACCCTGTCTGTTTTTTGTTTTTTGTTTTTTTTGAGACACTCTTGCTCTGTCTCCCAGGCTGGAGTGCAGTGGTGTGATATCGGCTCACTGCAATCTCCGCCTCCCAGGTTCAAGTAATTCTCCTGTCAGCCTCCCAAGTCGCTGGGATTACAGGCACCCACCACCACGCCTGGCTAATTTTTGTATTTTTAGTAGAGACGGGGTTTCGCCATGTTGGCCAGGCTGGTTTTGAACTCCTGACCTCAGGTGATCTGCCCGCCTCGGCCTCCCAAAGTGCTGGGATTACAGGTGTGAGCCACAGCGCCTGGCCAGACCCTTTCTCTTAAAAAATAAAGGAAAAATGTTCTTTCCATTTTACCCAATAACAAAACTCCTGCAAATCTGCCATAAGAAAATAATCCAAAATACAAAGATATATGTCCAAAGGCATTCACCATGACTTTATTTTTAACAATTAAAAACTTAAATAATCTTAACTGTTCAATAGCATAGGAACAGTTAGGTAAATTATGAAACATCCAGCCAGGCATGGTGGTTCACATCTGTAATCCCAGCACTTTGGGTAGCCAAAGTTTGGGAGGATTCCTTGAGCCCAGGAGTTTGACACTAGCCTAAGCAACAAAGTGTTTAAAAATAAATAAATAAGTAACAAAAATAAGACCAAAACATTAGCTAGGTATGGGAGCACATGCCTGTAGTTCCAGCTACTTGGGAGGCTGAGGTGGAAGGATCGCTTGAGCCCAGGAATTGGAGGCTGCAGTGAGCTACGATCGTGCTATTGCACTCCAGCCTGAGCAAAAGAGCAAGACTCTGTCTCCAAAAAAGATATATCCATATAATGAAATATATGACAATTAAAAATATAAAACTTTATATGAGGTATTTGTCCATTGTGTTTAAGACACAGAAACAAAATATATCAAAAACTTGTAAGCTGGATAAAGTGTTGTAAATATTTTCACTTATATATAAAACTTTTACTATGATACAGTTACTCCTTTCGTACACATTGTATCAGATAAGATAACCCTGTGCCCTTCCACAGGACTGTGAAAGCCCAGAGAAAAAAGCTACCAACCCTGACTGAAAGAGTAAGAAATCACTGCAGAATAGCAGTGTGTATGATTTAAATTAGGAGTGCTATATAGACACAAGTGGGAACAGCATTGCAGGCTAAAACATAGCAAGAAGGGGCTGGGTACAGTGGCTCACGCCTGTAGTCCCAGCACTGTGGGAGGTCGAGGAGGGTAGATCACCTGAGGTCAGGAGTTCAAGACCAGCCTGACCAACATAGTGAAACCCTGTCCCCACTAAAAATACCAAAATTAGCAAAGTGTGATGGCGCATGCCTATAATCCCAGCTACTTGCAAGGCTGAGGCAGGAGAATTGCTCGAACCTGGGAGGCGGAGGTTGCAGTGAGCCGAGATCACACCATTGCACTCCAGCCTGGACAATAAGAGTAAAACTCCATCCCCCACCCCCCCACCAAAAAAAACAAAACAAAACAAAACAAAACAAAAAACAGCAAGAAGGGTATGAGCAAAGCACTATATAAAAATACAAAAGGTATCAAGACTAGTCCCAAGAGAAGAGCGGCTATGTATCTGATTTTTTACTTTTCTTAGAAAATTGAATAAAATCACATAAAAAATTGTCAGATTTCATGTATTACCATTTAGAAAACAGTTGATTCATAAAGCTTACAGCGTTCACCTACATTTGAAGAGCTTTTCATAGAAATAGATTTTACTGGGCTGGGCGCGGTGGCTCATGCCTATAATCCCAGCACTTCGGGAGGCGAGGTGGGCGGATCACATGAGGTCAGGAGTTCAAGACCAGCCTGGCCAATATGGCGAAACCCCATTTCCACTACAAATACAAAAATCAGCCTGGCATGGTGGCATGCAAAAATTAGCCCGGCATGTTGGCATGCCCCTGTAATCCCAGCTACTCAGGAGGTTGAGGCAGGAGAATCACTTGAACTGGGAGGCAGAGGGTGCAGTAAGCCAAGATCGTGCCACTGCACTCCAGCCTGGGTGACAGAGCAAAACTCCGTCTCGAAAAAAAAAAAGAAATAGATTACTGACAATGTTTAAAATTATCTTTTATGTTCAAACATCTGAAATCCTAATTTTCATATTTCCTTCCTTCTATGACTATATTTAATGGATGAGATTCCATTATTTCTAAATTTAGTCAAATTCAGAAATTTGATGTAAAAGAAGTTATTCTGTTGTATAAAGAAACTAGAAATGCATATAAATGAGATACTTACACATATATTTTAAATTTCAAGAAAGCTGCTAAAATGTAAATGTTACCCAGTGTTGTAACCTGAGTATGTTGCTCCAGTGGAAATCACAGGATTGACAGCACTAAGGGCAGCAAGACCATGAGTAATTTTAAAGCAGAGGCAAACTCCCACTGATTCTCACAGCAGGTTAGCAAAAGCAAATTGAGCCATCACAGGCAGGGTCCAGATGATCAATGCTTTAAAGTTATGGAACAGAAAGCACGCCAGCTAGAATCCAGGTAGGGTGCTTACTGGTACGGACCTCGTGAGTTGCTTAGCCTCTTTCTAAGCTTCAGATTCTTTGTCTATAAAATGCTAGTATAATTAGCACCTAAGTTAAAAGGCTCCTAACAGTGACAAAGACCCTCTCCTTGACCAAACTCAGGCTTCTCTGAGCCCTCCTCAACGAAGCCGCAACCTCCTCCAGTCCCCTCCTGTCTTCAGCCTACCTAACTCAGTTTTACAAACAATCCTGCTAAGTCAGTTTAGTGAGAATCACCCCCATCTGAGATATCTGATCACCTTTGATATTTGATCAAATTCCTCACCCCCACCTTTGATGTATACATTCTAGGCCTGCCTTCGGCAACAATCTTGTTAGGTCAGTGCCATGGACCAAATGTGTCCTCTCAAAATACATACACTGAAGCACTTATCCCCAAGGTCATGGTATTTGGAAAGCGAGCCTTTGGGAGGTAATTAAAATCATGAGAGTGGAGCCTTCATGAATGGGATTGGTACCCTTATAAGAACAGACATCAGAGAGATGATCTCTCCTTCTGCCAGCAGGAAGGTGACTGTCTGCACACCACAAAGAGGGCCCTCACCAGGAACTAAATCTGTCGGCATCTTGATCTGAGACTTAGCCTCCAGAACTATAAGAAATAAATTTCGATTGCTTAAGGCATCTAGTCTATAGTAGTTTGTTACAGTAGCCCAAGCAGACTAAGCCAGTTTTATAAGATCTACTGACCTTGATGTCTCCACTTAGCAATTTACCATTCACTGACCATATTCTGCTACTTGACTGTAATTCTCTATTTGTCCTTGCTGGATTCAGAATTGAGCTGGATCTCTCCCCGCCATTGCAATAGTCTTGAATAAAGTCTTCCTAACTATTTTAACAAGCATCAGAGTAATTCTTTAACAAAGATAATTAAATGAGTTTTAACATAAGTAAAACACTTAGTTAGAATTGTCCCAGGTGGAGTAAAAAACTTAAAAATGTTTTTTTCAGTCACCATTATAATCCAGTAAATGTAACAAAATTAATGTTTAAGTGTTACATTGCTCAGCTTAAATCAAGTATTGACTGTTTATTATATGACAGTTACTGCGACAAACGTAAAGGTCCAAAGAAAGACACAGGTCCTGCCTCAAAGAGCTCATATTTAGAACAGGAACAGAAAGTAAACAAACAATTCTGGCACAGTGTGTTTCATACAACACCGCAGAGCAGGCCAAAGAACAAAGGAAGCAGAGAAGAGAAACTGATTAACTGAGCATGGAAGAAAGGCCACCAGCCTACGAAGGATGAAGAGAAGTTCACACAGCTGCTTTCCAGGTGAGGGTAAATACTCAGCAGGAATGAAAACAATCCCAAAGGCAAGGATGTGAGAGTGGAAACAGGACTTGCCCATGGCCCATTGGGGTGATGGAGTCACTGAAAGATTTTCGGCAGAAATGGGTCTTTTTTTTTTTTTTTTTAACTTTTACATATATATATATATATATATATACATATATATATATATATATATATATGTATATATATATATACACTTTTTTTTTTCTGAGGCAGAGCCTTGCTCTGTTGCCCAGGCTGGAGTGCAATGGTGCAATCTCAGCTCACTGCAACCTCCACCTCCCCAGTGCAAGTCATTCTCCTGCCTCAACTTCCCCAGTAGCTAAGATTACAGGCATCCACCACCATGCCTGGCTAATTTTTTTTTTTTGAAACGGAGTCTCGCTCTGTTGCCCAGGCTGGAGTGCAGTGGTGCGATCTTGGCTCACTGCAAGCTCTGCCTCCCGGGTTCACGCCATTCTCCTGCCTCAGCCTCTCGAGTAGCTGGGACTACAGGCACCCGCCACCATGACCGGCTACTTTTTTCTATTTTTTAGTAGAGACGGGGTTTCACCATGTTAGCCAGGATGGTCTCGATCTCCTGACCTCGTGATCCTCCTGCCTCAGCCTCCCAAAGTGCTGGGATTACAGGGTGAGCCACTGCACCGGGCCACGCCTGGCTTATTTTTGTTCATTTATTTTTAATTCTTTTTGAGACAGAGTCTTGCTCTATCACCCAGGCTGGAATGCAGAAGTGTGATCTTGGCTCACTACAACCTCCACCTCCCAGGTTCAAGCAATTCTCCTGCCTCAGCCTCCTGAATAGCTGGGACTACAGGCATGCACCACCACGCCAGGCTAGTATTTTTGGTAGAGATGAGGTTTCACTATGTTGGCCAGGCTGGTCTCAAACTCCTGACCTCAAGTGATTCGCCTGCCTTGGCCTCCCAAAGTGCTAGGATTACAAGTGTGAGCCACTGCACCCGGCCTTATTTTTTTTTTTAATTATTTTTTTTTTTTTTTGAGACAGAGTCTTGGTCTGTCGCCCATGCTGGAATGCAGTGGTGCAATCTCAGCTCACTGCAACCTCCACCTCCCGATTTCAAGCGATTCTCCTGCCTCAGCCTCCTGAGTAGCTGGG
This sequence comes from Homo sapiens, assembly GCF_000001405.40. NCBI lineage: Eukaryota > Metazoa > Chordata > Mammalia > Primates > Hominidae > Homo > Homo sapiens. Next base: position 33,689,849 of record NC_000021.9, on the reverse strand, counting down.
ATTACAGGCGTGCGCCACCATGCCCGGCTAACTTTTGTATTTTCAGTAGAGACAGGGTTTCACTATGTTGGCCAGGTTGGTCTTGAACTCCTGACCTCAGGTGATCCACCGGCCTCAGCCTCCCCGAGTGCTAGCATTACAGGCATGAGCCACCATGCCTAGTCTATTTTTTATTCTTTAGAGATAGGCCCTTGCTACCAGGCTGGAGTACAGTGGTGCGATCATAGCTCACTGTAGCCTCGAACTCCTGAGTGCAAGCAATCCTCCCATGTTAGCCTCTACGGTAGCTAGGACTAGAGGTATACATCACTGTGCCTGTTAATTTTATTTATTGTTATTTTTTGTAGAGACAGGGTCTTGCTACCAGGCTGGTCTAAAACTCCTGGACTCAAGTGATCCTCCCACCTCAGCTCCCAAAAAGTGCTGGGATTACAGGCCTGGGCCACTGCGCCAGGCTCAGATTTACCTTTTAGAATGCTCCCTCTGGGGCTACACAGATGCCGCATTTGGGAAGGTGACAGCTTAAACCTAAATAGACACAAATTACATAACTGTCAAGAGACTGTAGACACTGTCCATCAACAAGTTCAAAATTGAAAAGAAAAATTGAGCACTGGTAGTTTATAGAAGCATACCAAGAGAATGATATTCTAAATCAGTAAGTCAACATTAGGCAATCCTGAACATTTGATTTACTGTAGAACTTCTTCAGATTAATAACTATGAGCAAGTGACCAGGCCAGGCACAATGGCTCATGCCTGTAATCCCAGCACTTTGGGAGGCCGAGGTGGGTGGATCACCTGAGGTCAGGTGTTCAAGACCAGCCTAGCCAAGACGGTGAAACCCCATCTCTACTAAAAATACCAAAATTAGCCGGGCGTGCTTGTAATTCCAGTGACTCAGGAGGCTAAGACAGGAGAATTGCTTGAACCTGGGAGGCAGAGGGTGCAGTGCACCGAGATCGTGCCACTGCACCACTGCACCACTGCACTCCAGCCTGGGTGACAGGAGCGAAACTCCATCTCAAAAAAAAAAAGAAAAAAAAAAGGACTAGTGAACTATTCTTAGAGAACTGAATTTATCCTTTGCAGAACACTGCCCAAGCTCCCTCTGTCTTTCCTCTTTCTTGCCATTCTAAACTTGGGCCATGGGTCCTATTTGGACCCCAGAATGGTCTCAGTGGATTTTTTCTGTTGTTCCCTCTGCATGCTCTAAGCCTACAACTAGATCTATTGGAAACTGATGTTCATTGTCTGTTTCTCAGACAAGACTACATTCCCCTGAGAGCAAGAACTGCATTCCCAGCCTCTGTTACATGGTTTGGCCCATAAAAAGCACACAAACCATGTGTATTCAATGAACGCATTTTAGAATTAATAAATTAAGTTCTGAGTAATCTCTGTGATCACCCTTCCACCTTCAATGGTCACTTAGTCCTCATCCACATAAACTCAGAACTAAACAAGGAGTGTTTTCTATTCAGATTCCTGCTACAGTGTAGTCCTACGAATGTTTGGGAACAAATTTTAATTCCCGAAAGAGACAAATACCAAAACAAAGAAGAAATAATGATTTTGATCTTGAACCCACATACGTTCCAAGGAATACAACAGAAATGAGCCCTTAGTTTCCTAAACTTCATGGTATTATATTAGCCATGTAAGTTTCAAGTCCATTATCCAGCGTTCTAACAGAAATACATGAAATAACAGTCCAGCTAATAAGGCTGATGCTTAAACACATGCCTTTTCAAGAAAAAAAAAAAAGGCAAACAAAACAGTGATGATTTTTTGAAAACTTTATATCATAAAATAGACAAAGCAGCTTTTTGAAATCTTAGATAAAGTAGGTAATCATATTCTAGAAATCTGCTATTTTGGAAGCCACAATCAAAATTCTTAGGAGGTTCCTCTATCTGTACAAAGCACAAGTTTTCCTAGAAACAGTCTTTGTATATTCAGCCTGAAAAATCAAACAAACTCAGCTTAACATCAAAGGTTCGCATGTTTATTTTATTTACTCAGTCTCAAAGTATGTTACTTACAACTCTTTGTTAAGCATCTTTTAAAAGCAAAGTGATTGTCAATGAATGCCAATTCAAGTTGTATGATATGAGGGCCATTTTCAAACACTCCAGAAGCTACGAACAACTGTCCCTAACTATGTATTTGGAATGCTGTCCTGAAAATGTCATTTCATTTGTTCCTGAACGTTGGTTCATTTTCAAAGTTAACATGTTTGAGTAGGTCAACATAACATAGATCACCTGAGAGAAAGAGGAATGCTGTTCCCTAAAAAACTACAAAATCCTTAGGCCTTCAAGTTCTACAGATTAGAAACATCAAAACTCAAATACATTTCAGATTGTCTTATTATGTAAAACTCATGCCGATAAGCATCCTAATGTGGCTTGAAAATTCTTTTTTTTTTTTTTTTTTTTTTTTTTTTTTAAGATGGAGTTCTGCTCTTGTTGCCCAGGCTGAAGTGCAATGGCACGATCTTGGCTCACTGCAACCTCTGCCTCACAGGTTCAAGCAATTCTCGTGCCACAGCCTCCCGAGTAGCTGAGATTACAGGTGCACGTCACCAAGCCCAAATAATTTTTTTTTTTTTCTTTTGAGACAGAGTCTCGCTCTGTCACCCAGGCTGGAGTGAGGCCTGACTAATTTTTGTATTTTTAGTAAAGACAGGGTTTCACCATTTTGGCCAGGCTGGTCTCAAAACTCCTGACCTCAGGTAATCTGCCCACCTTGGCCTCCCAAAGTGCTGGGATTACAGGCATGGGCCACCGTACCCAGCTGAGGCTTGAAAATTCTTTAACTATTAGTTATAAAGTTAACCAAAAGAAAAAGACCATTCTGCAAAATATATAGGAAGCATGTCCAAATTGTGTTGAAATATCCACCACATTGGCCACTGACAAACAAAACCACCCAAACCAGATAAAGAGAACAATTCCATCCATAAACACATAATGAGAACCCAAAAAAACTGAGGAGTTTCGTGACCTAGCTCTAGTCTCAGATCTGTTCACACATTCATTCTATAATTCTCTAATTTATGCCAGGTAACATGCAGGACCTCATTTTGACTTTATTAGATGGCACCAATCTTCCCTGGAGTGGTTAGACAAGTAGATCATCCATCTTGAAATGTGATATATAAAATGGAAAGGGGAAATGAGACAAAAATTGAGCTCAAGAAAGCCAGGCAATAGACGAACTGATTCACACTGGCTGGTCACACAGACTGTGAAACATGTCACTGTAAACAGTAACTCTACCCTGAAAATGGAGAGGCCAGAAGGATACATCGGCGAGCACTCAGCACAGTTCAATTACCTTGCCATTAACTTACCCACCCAGCCAGACTCATCACTTGCACTAAAAATAGGACATAAATGCTTTTCTAGCATTCCAGCTATGAAAAACTTAAGATAACAAATTTCAAAACATTTATCAGAAAAATATACCAGGAAAAGAGAAAAAGCAATATATATATATTTCTAGTGACAAAAACACAAATTGAGAAAAATGACATTAACACCTTGCTTTGATATGGCACCTATCTGTAAAGAAGCTTAAATACATTTGGAAATTAAAAAAAAAAATCTAATCACAGTAATTCTAACAACATCCCTATGAAATAGGTAGAATGTAAATATATAATTACTTCTGTTTAGCTACTGAAGAAAAGTAGACACATATTTCCCATTCACTGCTAATGACATTCTTGAACTAGCTCAGTCCAGCACTTTGAGCATACCACAGAGCCAAGTCATCAATTACCTTCTAAGTTGTAATAAAGCAAAATATAAATGTGAACCCCACAGTTTTCTATGCTTAAGTACTAAACTCTTAAGAATGCACAAACAAGTATGGCAAAATTGGCTTCAGCTTTAGAAGGAAAACAAATATTCAATTCAGTCTGATGAATCTACTTTTTTAAGAAGTAAAATTGAGAAATAGTTATGATTATTATTAAAACCACTTGAAATGCAGAAATTATAGAGAAGAGTGAAAACTCAATTTCCCACACTCACCAACAGGAACTGACAGCTTTATGCCTCCCTCAAAGGACAAAAGGAATTCAGTTTAAAGTGCAAGGTCAAAGTATACAAAAAGACACACTGGCCTGAGAAACCAAGAGGTTTAACAACAAAGAATGAGTCAACCAATACTTGCTGATCTTGAGTACTAAAAAAAGAGAATTTTTTTTTTTTTTTTTTTTTTACTCAAAAAGGAATTAATTTGTCCCACTGATGGCTAGGAAAAAGGATCACCTCTAAGTGTTTTAAATGTGTTTTTAAGAGCTATTATGAGGTAGCTTTAAAAGTTGGTATATTATTACAGCGTTGAAGGGGTACTTCCTAAATATACCCAATACATCTAACTCCTTTCAAGGCCAACTCTTGGTGAAATAATTCTTTCTTCCTTTCAATACTATTTAGATAAGGCACCACCAAAGCAGTACAGAATGACTAAACCTGAACTTGCTACAGGAATTTCCAAACAGATAAGAACTTGCAAATACGTCCCTATTTAAAAGACAAGGGAAACTTGAAGAAAGTCTCTGATTCCCTGAACGCCGAGTATATCCAGTGAAAACATAAACTCCTTTCTTAAAACATAAGCTCTTCAATGCAGACACTGTCTCCTTAAAGTTGTATTCAGACCTTAGCACCTGTGCCAAGAGTAAATGGTTTCTATTGTCACTATGAAACGCAACTTGCTTTAATAAAAGGAAGTGATGTCTAGAATTTGCTTCAAAATAATCTGGAGTGGAGGGTGGCAGGATGGAGACAAGATTAGCTGAGAGTTAACAGTGACTGTAGCTGGGTAATGATACTACTCTCCTTTCTTTTGTAGATGTTGAAATTTTTCATAATAAAAGGTTAGACAGAAAGAAAAGAAAGCTAGTTTTAGAAAGTAAATCCCCTTTAACTTGACTATTTCTTTGAGAGTTACTTAACAAAGAATTCACAAGGACAGCAATTTAATCTCTTAAATTCTTTAAAGTTATAAAACAATTACAATTACTCTTCAGTTCTTCTGTAGTTCACACAAGTGGAAGAAGCTGAACTAGGAAATTACCTACTCTAGATTAATGTTTTCTCTCTTATATGTCATAAGAATTACATGACATATAAGAATCATATAAATATCAGGAATAAATTAAACCTGATTTAAAAGAATGACGGGTCATTTTTTTCCCTCATCCTAATAAGAGACCCTCTTTCTGAGATAATTAAAGGAAATTATAAGTACCCTAGGAAAACTGTTTCTACCCCCAAATACAGGTTTTAAGTAAAGCTTAACAAATTTTTAACTATCTCTTATATCAGTTCCTACAAGCTAACCTTAGATTAAACTGAACTTTTAAACTGCCTTAACCTTAATAAATGTCCTCATTAATCATGCTATTCCACATTTTAAAACTTTCATTTTTAGGATCCTGCTAAGAATTACAACACACAAAGGAAAACAACCCCTTGACTGTCTTTTAGTGTGAATCGGTACTCAGATGAGTGCCATCAAGATCAATTTAGTCTCTAGCAATGAGTTGAGACATTTGACAATTAAGATTAATGTCTGACCTGTGAGTTGACCCTAATGGACACCTTCCTTAAAGCAGATGCATGGCAGATTAGATAAGTAGTCACATGGAAACAAGGTTATTACTGAATCACATTTCTCTAAGGAGTTATCAGCATTCTACTTATACAGAATTAACCGAAATGCTTTAATGGAACAGGAAAAATAAAAATAAAACATAGCATGGGAAATGAAGACTAACTCACAGGGCTCACATTGAGTCTCTAACAGATGTTACACGGTGGCTTCATTCTCCTCCTTTTTTCCCCCTTTCCTCTCTTTATCTGGTAGCTTTACTTAGGGGCATCGGCTCCAATAGCAAACAAGCACATTATTTAAGCTGTCATTCTTGCACACATTCCCAACCTACTTGGCAGAGTGGATATTTCTAAAATGGATAGCAACTACAAATATTAAAATAGAGAAATTCATCAAAATGCAAATGAAAACTGGTCACTGAGTTCCCTAAATCTACATTTAGTATTTCAAATATTTGGAAACTGCATTAAGCACAGGAGTTATTTAAAGGAGTTTAATAAATAATCATGTCAGATATCTGTAAAATGGACACAAAAGGTACCTTTTAGTAACATATTTATAAGGAATTCAATCTGTTCATTGCAGGAGACAAACCAGTTCTCAGATCTCTACCGAGAACAAAAAATATTTCACACATTCACCTCAGCAGGGTGGATTTCCAGCACTGGGAAGAGCCAGATGACTCAAGACTCAGCCATGTTTCCATGGCTTGAAGAAAAGATGATTAATGATGCAAAACAACTAGGCATGGGGAACTTGTACAATGGCTTGCTTACCCAAGATCAGCTGCTAGCTAAAAAATGCTTCAACCTCTGATAAACAGGGCCCTCAATGGACAGGTTCAAACAGGGGCTTGGTTCTTGAATGACTCACATTAAGCTTATCTAGCACATCCGTCACAAAAAGACAGTAGGACTAAAATCAACTTATTATCAAGCTCTTCACTTTTAGATCATTGAAATGACTGCACAAATCCCAAAATATGAAAAGATGATCTCTGAGTAAAAGCAGGAGGAAAAAAAAAAAAGTCAGCGCCTGATTCCCCAGGAGCTGATTATCCAGTCTGAGAATCGCCAAGGCACCTTATTTCCTCAGGCCAACTGTCTACCTTTCATCATTCTGGTCCCTTTCACTCTTGCCATGGTGAGAGGGAAGAGAAAGAGAGTGTTTGGTTAAGTAAATAGTTCATATATTTGAAGGAGGAAATTCAAGAAGAGAAAAAGAGAACAAGGGTAAGATAAAATTAATCTTATAAATACTTGTCTATTTCATCTACGACCTTTACAACTGCCGATTGGCAACATAACAAATAAAGCAATAGATACTACTAAAAGTACAAAACTAAGTGATCCTAGTGTGACAATAAATATAAACAATGTTCAGAAGCCATATGGGGAAAAAAAAAAGGGCTCAAGCCTGCAATCCCAGCACTTTGGGCAGCCGAGGTGAGTGGATCACCTGAGGTCAGGAGATCAGCCTGGCCAATGTGATGAAACCCCGTCTCTACTAAAAATACAAAAATTAGCTGGGTGTGGTGGTGCACACCTGTAGTGCCAGCTACTGGGAGGCTGACACACAAGCATCACTTGTACCCGGGAAGCAGAGGTTACAGTGAGCCAAGATGGTGCCACTGTATTCTTCCAGCCTGGGCAACAGAGAGAGGCTCCATCTCAAAAAAAGAAAGAAAAGAAAAGAAAGAGGCTGGGCACTATGTGGCTCATGCCTGTAACCCCTGCACTTTGGGAGGCCGAGGCGGGTGGATCACCTGAGGTCGGGAGTTCGAGACCAGCCTGACCAACATGGAGAAACCCCGCCTCTACCAAAAATACAAAATTAGCCGGGCGTGGTGGCGCATGCCTGTAATCCCAGCTACTAGGGAGGCTGAGAAGCGAGAATCGCTTGAACCTGGGAGGCAGAGGTTGCGGTGAGCTGAGATTGCGCCATTGCACTCCAGCCTGGGCAACAAGAGTGAAACTCCATCTCAAAAAAAAAAAAAAGAAAAGAAAGAAAGGAATTATATAGGAGGATATATAACAAAACACCAATAGTTGTCCTGAGTAGCCAAATAGAACACAACCTCTACTTGCTTGTATTTAATGCATATTTAAAATTTTTTCTGTAATTAGTATGTAGTTTTTTTTTTAAGCACATAATCTTTTGGTATGGCAAAATGACCCCCAAGAAAGCACTTTTCATTTTAAATATAAAAGGAGCTATTGTAGGAACTGCTCTATAAAACTGGTTCCAAGGCCAGGCGCGGTGGTTCATGCCTGTAATCCCAGCACTTTGGGAGGCCGAGACGGGTGGATCACGAGGTCAGGAGATCAAGACCACCCTGGTTAACACGGTGAAACCCCTCTACTAAAAATACAAAAAAATTAGCCGGGCATAGTGGTGGGCGCCTGTAGTCCCAGCTACTCAGGAGGCTGAGGCAGGAGAATGACGTGAACCCGGGAGGCGGAGCTTGCAATGAACCCAGATCTCGCCACTGCACTCCAGCCTGGGCGACAGAGCGAGACTCCGTCTCAAAAAACACGAAAACAAAAACAAAACAAAAAATAAAATAAAATAAAATAAAATAAAATAAAATAAAATAAAAACTGGTTCCAAACTAAGCGGAGGCATCAAATAGCATGAAAATAATCTGTTTACTTTCTTTTGTTTTTTGAGACGGAGTCTCACTCTGTCGCCCAGGCTGGAGTGCAATGGCATGATGTCAGCTCACTGCAACCTCTGCCTCCTGGTTCAAGCAATTCTCCTGCCTCAGAATACGTTACTTTCTTGCTATTTTGTTCATTAATTCAACAAACATTTATTAATCAGCTATCATGCATTAGATCCACTGTCTGCAGAGATGCCAAAAATGGTAATAAAGATGTAACTAGTTAATTCTCGTTCTCATGAAGCTTGATACCATAGGCTACAGGCTGCAGAGCTTCCTGCCTGCCCCCAACCTCTCAGCTTCAATACCCCTCAAAAAACCTAGGAAACCTTCTTAAATATCGCTCCATACAAACACATAGTACTGTTATCCAAATATTTGCTGCCCTTCCTTAACAGACCCTTTCCTACCTGTCCATCCCCGGGCGGGTAAATATTTCTTGCTTACTGAGGCCCTGCATGACCACGTGACTTGCTTTTGGCCAATGAAGTATGAGTTGAAATGGCACATGCCACTTTTGAGGTTCTACCATGGCATGAAGCCCACAAAGAGCCTTAAACTGAGAAACAAAGTTTTGTTGTCGTAAACTACTGAGATTTGGAGATTGTTACCACAACATAATTTAGCAAAAGCTGACTAATTAATATACCCGACTAAACTTTGACACAACAGAGAATATTAAATAACCTACGAGCAAGGGATACAAATAAGTAATCTCCACCCTGGCTGTGCTGACTCTGGTTTACAACTTAATGTTCTAAGTGGTAGATGAGGATAATTTGGTCCAGAAACCATGCAGTCATTAACCTACTGATTGCTTTGCTGTGTTTTCTCTCCAAAAGTCTGGGCAGGACTTCAGACATTTGGTGGACTTCAGACATTTGGAACCTTCCTTAAAGAAAAATGCAGAAAGTATGGCACCAGGCCACGCACATCGGCTCACGCCTGCAATCCCAGCACTTTGGGAGGCTGAGGTGGGTGGATCACTTGAGGTCAGGAGTTCAAGACCAGCCTGGCCAACATGGCGAAACCCTTTCTCTATAAAAACACAAAAATTAGCCGGGTGTGGTGGTGCATGCCTGTAATGCCAGCTACTCGAGAGGCTGAGGCATGAGAATCGCTTGAACCCAGCAGGCAGAAGTTGCAGTGAGCCGAGATTGCGCCATTGCATTCCAGCTTGGGCAACAGACAGAGACCCTGTCTCAAAAAAAAAAAAAAGAAAAAAGAAAAGAAAGAAAAAGAAAATACGGCACCAATGAAAACATTCCTCAGCACTGTCCTGAGTTAGAGAAAGAAAAGAACAAAAACAGAAAGAAAATATTCCACAGGACACAAGACAACAAACATCCAGAGGAATAAAACCCCCACTGCTTCCCCTTGAAATAAATTAACTAGAAGTTATTTTTCTTAATTAGAAGATATTTGCTTTAGAAACAATAAAATGCAAAAGAACATTATATCTATTACATAGGAATAAAGTGTTATGAAAAAGACAGCAGGCCAAGCGAACTAGAAATGCACCTAAAATAAAATGACAGATTAAAAACAAAAGGATGGGCTGGGCGCGGTGTCTCACGCCTGTAATCCCAGCACTTTGGGAGGACCAGACAGGCGGATCACGAGGTCAGGAGATCAAGACCATCCTGGCTAACACGGTGAAACCTCGTCTCTACTAAAAATACAAAAAAATTAGCTGGATGTGGGGGCGGGCACCTGTAGTCCCAGCTACTTGGGAGGCTGAGGCAGGAGAATGGCATGAACCTGGGAGGCGGAGCTTGCAGTGAGCTCTGCCACTGCACTCCAGCCTGTGTGACAGAGCGAGACTCCGTCTCAAAAAAAAAAAAAAAAAAAAAAAGGATAAGGATCAAAAAACACACAAAAAAGGGAGGACTGCTAAATTTAATAAGCCTTTCAAGGCAAAAACTGTCAATACGATAAATTTTATTTTCCTAAAACCTATAATCCACAAAGAAAGCAACAATTGTAAAACTTTGTACTCCCAGTAACATAACCTGAAAATACACATAACAAAAACTAAAGGCAATCTCTTTGTATTTACTGATTAAAATGTAGAAAGCAATAACTTAAAATACAACTGAGATGCATTTCTAATTAACTGAGTAGCCAAAAACTAAAATAGTGAAATTGTCCTAGGACAGATGTCACAAAGTCAACGAATATCTGGGGAGCAGCAAGCCATACACATCAGAGTACCCATGCAGTGAAGAGTTGCAATGGAAGCACAGACATCATCAACTAGAACGTTTACAATGTCATAGGAATAAGAGAACACAAATACTATGCATATATATGTATATAGATACACACACACACAAAGGGAATAACACACCTGAAACATAAATATTTACATAATAAGGTTATACAAAGGCTTTGGCTTATGATTCGGGAAACACTCTTTAAGGGTAAATATAAGATGATGTAATCTCATAATCTTTCTAATTATAGGATAAAACAATCTATGGTAGGTAATTCAACATGTAAAGAAAAAGTACTCTTGGACAGGAACTGTGAAAAATCATTATGCTATTTTCATGCTTATGCCTTCAGGTTAAAAAATCAAGAACCATATCAACAATACATTATGAAGTAGATGGAACACTGACAGAAAATCTCTGCTTCCGTGAAACCCTGTCTCTACTAAAAATACAAAAATTAGCTGGGCGTGGTGGCGCATGCCTGTAATCCCAGCTACTCAGGTGGCTGAGGCAGGAGAATCGCTTAAACCCGGGAGGCAGAGGTTGCAGTGAGCCATGATTGCGCCACTACACTCCAGCCTGGATGACAAAGCGAGACTCGGATCCCCCACCACCCCTCCAAAACAACAACAACAACAAAAACTTTGCTTCCTCACATATCCTTAGAATAAATCCTCATCTTCCAAGAAAATCATCTTCAGGCTTTTGTCAACCAAGAAAACTTTCTGTAAACAAAACCTCCCACTGAAGCTCACGATATAAAAGCTGAGCTGCTGTGATTAAAGTGTGAATGCAGGCCGTGGGGTGGGAACAGTTCCAAAAATGGTCACCTAGTACTTACCACAAATGTCATGGGCCAAGCACGGGGCTAAGTGCTAGGGATTCAGAAGTGAACAAAACAGAGTGTCCTCTGGGAGCTTACATTCTCGAATAGGAAGACAGCTAATAAACCAGTAAACAAATAAAGAAGATCATTTTACATACAGAACCCCACTTTAAGAAAATAAGTAAGGTTAACAAGATAGATGGTGACTAGAGGGGGTGTGTGGGGCTTCTTCATGTGCCTGGGGATAGTCAAGGAAAGTCTCTCTGAGAAGACATCAGAGGTAGCTTCTAGTTAGTTCTAGAGGAGGTTCAGCCTGTATAAAGACCCAACGAAAGAAAAGAACCTGTTCAAGAGATAGAAAGAGACATGTTAGGCTACCGCAAAGCAGACAAGGGGAGTGCAGAAGGAAGAAACTGGAGAAGCACAGAGGCCAGACAAGTGGATCTTTTATAGTAAGGCTTGGATTTTATTTTAAATGTAATGGGAAGTCTTTGAAAGGTTTTAATCAAGGGAATAATATGATCTTATTTACACTGTAGAAGCTACTATGTGAAACAGATTACAGGGAGAGACAAAGTGGAACCAAGACAACGTCCAGAAGACCACAATAAACACCCACATGAGAGACAGTGGTGGCCTAATGTTTTAACAGTGGAAATGATTAGGAGTGGTCAGACTCAGGATATATTCTGGACAGAAAGTCTACAAGACTTCATGATGGAGTAGATATAAAGTGGTGGAAGAGCGGAATCAAAGACACCTTTGAAGTTTCTGGCCTGCCTAAATGGGTGTTTGACAGCGCTATTTACTAAGACGAGAAAGGACTGGGGTGTGCGCATTAGGGTGGGGACAGCATCAAGAATTCCGTTTTGGGCTGGGTGCGGTGGCTCAAGTCTGTAATCCCAGCACTTTGGGAGGCCTAGGCGGGTGGATCACTTGATGCCAGATGTTTGGGACCAGCCTGGCCAACAGGGCGAAACCCTGTCTCTACTAAAAATATAAAAATTAGCTGGACATGGTGGCACACAACTGTAATCCCAGGTACTCGGGAGGTTGAGGCAAGAAAATCCCTTGAACCAGGGAGGCGAGGCTTGCAGTGAGCCGAGATCATGCCACTGCACTCCAGCCTAGGTGATAAGTGAGACTCTGTCTTAAAAAAAAAAAAAAAAGAATTCTGCTTTGGCTATGTTAATTTTGAACAGCTTATTATTAGATGCCCAAGAAGATCTGCCTACTAGACAGCTGCCCATCTAAGCCTGCAGTTCTTGGGAGAAGTAGGAGCTGGAAATACCCACATACTTGCTCAGTTCTCCCCTCTCCTGACCTCCACTTCCATGGCAAACTCTTTTTTTTTAATTATACTTTAAGTTCTAGGGTACATGTGCACAACGTGCAGGTTTTGTTACATATGTATACATGTGCCATGTTGGTGTGCTGCACCCATTAATTTGTCATTTACATTAGGTTTATCTCCTAATGCTATCCCTCCCCCCTCCCCGCACCTCACGACAGGTCCCGGTGTGTGATGTTCCCCACCCTGTGTCCAAGTGTTCTCATTGTTCAATTCCCACCTATGAGTGAGAACATGCAGTGTTTGGTTTTCTGTCGAAAATGTGGCACATATACACCATGAAATACTATGCAGCCATAGAAAAGGATGAGTTCACATCCTTTGTAGGGGCATGGATGAAGCTGGAAACCATCATTCCGAACAAACTATCACAAGGACAGAAAACCATGGCAAACTCTTTAAGCCTTCTCAGAATTCCCAGTGCTCCTCAGAACAGTGTGACACTTAGTGGCTTTTTCCAACTTTATACCTAAATTTGCCTAATGTTTGCACAGTGCAACCAAAATAATTCAATATTTAAAAATGTAAATTACATTTGGCCACACTAAAATAAATGTATTTGCTTGCATCAAAACAAACTACAGACAGTTTGAAGACCCTAGTGAACAAATGAAATCATGGAAGTGTGGCAGAGGCTGGGCACGGTGGCTCATGCCTATAATCCCAGCGCTTTGAAAGGCTGAGGTGGGAGGTTTGCTTGAGCCCAGGAGTTGAAGACCAGCCTGGGCAACTTAGCAAAACTCCACCTTTAAAAACGTTTTTTAAAAAAGAGAAAGTGTTGTAGAAGAAAATGCAGGTTAATATTCGTAAAATCTTGAAGTGACAGGGGATGTTCTCATTTGACACCATGAGCAGAAATCCTTAAAAATGGAAAATCAGGACAGGCGCAATGGCTCATGCGTGTAATCCTAGCACTCTGGGAGGCCGAAGCGGAGGGATCACCTAAGGTCAGGAGTTTGAAACCAGCCTGACCAACGTGGTGAAACCCCGTTTCTACTAAAAATACAAAAATTAGCAGGAATCGCTTGAACCCAGGAGGCAGAGGTTGCAGTGAGCCGAGATCGTGCCACTGCACTCCAGCCTGGGCAACAACAGCAAAACTCCATGTCAAACAAAAAAAAAAACAAAAAAAAGGAAAATCATAGTGGATGGCACTTCTATGAAACACTTAAAACACTTCTATGAAAGAAAAAAAATTCCACAAGTTAGTTTTAAAAGCAAATGAAATTTTGGAAACAAATATCTGAAGCATATGATGTAAGGAATTAATGTCCCTAAGTATGAAGAGTTCATATAAATCAAGAAAAAAGATTAACCCCAAAAGAAAATGTGACAAGGACAAGAGCAGAAATTCAAAAGAAATTTAAACGACCAACTGACACATGAAGAAAAGTGTTAAGCTTCTTATCAGTAAAAGAAGTGAATGAAAAGATACTATTTTCACCTATCAGGCTGGCAATTATTAAACCGGCAATGAGCATAGACTTGGGGTCTGGGTACAGGCACACAGCTACTAGTGAGAACAGAAACTTCTATGCCCTTTGTGGGTATCTGGTAATACATATCAAGATTTATTCTTTATTTTTTATTTTTTGAGACAGAGTCTCGCTCTGTCGCCCAGGCTGGAGTGCAGTGGCGCAACCTCGGCTCACTGTAAGCTCCCCGTCCCGGGTTCAAGTCATTCTCCCACCTCAGCCTCCCAAGTAGCTGGGACTACAAGCACCCGCCACTGCACCTGGCTAATTTTTTGTATTTTTTTTTAATAGAGACAGGGTTTCACCGTGTTGGCTAGGACGGTCTCGGTCTCCTGACCTCATGATCCCCCTGTCTCAGCCTCCCAAAGTGCTGGGATTACAGGCTTGAGCCACCGTGCCCGGCCCATATCAAGATTTTTACATGCTCTTTGACCTACAAATTCCTAGTAGAGAAATGAGAAATGGGAGGGGCCAGTGGATGAAGAGCATCAGCTACAACAAAGTTTTTCAGAGTAAGATACTCTGCGCCTAAAAAAGATGCTTCAGAATTACATCTAATGATATGAAAAGATAGTGACTGAAAAAATTAGGTTATAAAACCATATGGTCAAGGTAATTCACATAAATGGATATATTCACATGAAGAGATACCAAATAATAAACTTCAGTATGTTATCAGTATTGTTTCTGGAAAGAGTGAGTGTCCTTTATGATCTTTCTTTTTCTTTCATTATAATGAGCATATATTATTTTGACAATAAAAACTTTATTTCATGGCAAAACAAAAACAAAAGTCCTACACATAAAAGAGATACTGAATGGACATTGCCAAAAATGTCAGAAGATACTTTGGGGAAATTTTTCCTCTCTTTTAGAATAGAAATGTTTCTGTATTTATGACACTTTCCATTATGAACATGCATTACTCCTATAATAAAAAAGGTAAAATAAACTTTTTAAAATTAAATTATTTCCAAATCTCTTCTCCTATCTTAATTTTAAGGACCACTGCAACTATCAAACAGTATTTTCTAAAGTTTATGTCTATTTTCCTTCTTTTCAGGTGCCAAAACCAGTTTTTCTTTACTGCTCTATTGTCTGTGGAGAGCACAAAGGGATCCTGTTCCCAAACACACTGGGCCCCATTTCCCCTCCATATTATTATTTTTAATTGTCTTCCACACTTTAGCCCAATAGTTCTCAAAGTCTGGTCCCCACACCAACAGCACCAGCATTAATGGGGAACTTGTTAGAAATGCAAACTGTTGGATCCTGTCCCAGATCCAGTGAATGCATGCTAGATTTGAGAACCACTGTTTCAGCCTATACGCTGTGGGCCTTCAGAATCCAAACTCTCTTGAAAACAGTCAAATTGTATTTCAAAGTAATTTTCAATAGTAACACATTAAATCATTCAAACAGACTGAGCTGCTAAATATCTAACAGCTGAAAAACTTTTGAAAGAAAAAAAGAATCCACAGTAAAAGAAAATCATACCTGTAGAGATGCCTTAAAGGTACCAATGAGTCCTAGAGACATGGCAAGCCTTCAACAGTTCTGAGGTAAATACACCTGGCTGCCTCAAGGAACACATTAAATACAAACTCATTTAATTACATATGTCAAAGGCAGAGTTATACAATCAAACATTCAACCAGATTCCTGAGTAATAACAATATCCAAGCCCAATCTAGAAGAAATACAACTATCAGGTGTGCTAAAAACTTCAAAAACATTTTATCCTGAACAAATAAATGATCCCATTTGGGGCAAGATGTACAGAAGTTTGATGTAATAATTAACATAGTTGTTTACCTCTGATGGAGGTTTAACCATGATAAACATGAAACAAAGTTTAAACACAGTCCAACACCAATAGCAAATTTTCTGCCACATTCATTTGTTCAATAAATTAATGAGCCAGGTCCTGAGCTGGTGCTAGGTGATGAAAAGGTGACATCCTGGCTGCTCTTGAGAAGCCTGCAGTTCAGTTAGAAATGAGCTGAGGACAAACAGCTGGGATTACCCCCACTGAGGGGTAGGTTCCGACAAGACACAGTTTCTCTAATACGTGTTACAGATAAGAAAACCGAAGGTTTGAGAGATTAAATCACCAAGGCCACCTAACTTTCCGCAAGTCCACGCTCTGTCCTCGCCCCTTCAAACCGGCACCTCTTCTTTGTTTATTGTATAATTTAAGGTACATGACACGATGTTTTGTTATACATATACACAGTGAAATGGCTACTACAGTCAGAAGTAATACATCCATCTCCTCACATAGCTACGTGTGTGTGTTAAGAGTACCTGAAATCTACTCTCAGCAAATTTTCCAATACAATATTAGCCAGAGTCATCATGCTAAATATTAGATCTCTAGTTTTATTCATCCTATGTAACTGCAACTTTGACCTACATCTCCCACTTCCCCTTCCCCCGATAACCACTCAGCCACTCTATTCTTACATATTCAGCTTTATTTCAGATTCCACATATAAGTGAGATCTTGCAATATTTTTCTTTTCTTTTTCTAGTTTATTTCACTTAGCAGCATGCTCTCCAGGTTCATCTATGTTGTCACAAATGACAGGATCACCTTTTTAATGGCTATTCCACTGGATGTATATGCCCCAATTTATTTTTTTTGTCTGGCAACAGACACTTATTAAATCGTTTCCGCCAGGCGTGGTGCCTCCCGCCCGTAATCCTACCACTTTGGAGGCCGAGGCAGGTGGATCACGAGGTCAAGAGATCGAGACCATCCTGGCCAACATGGTGAAACCCTATCTCTACGAAAAATACAAAAATTAGCAGGGCGTGGTGGCACGCACCTGTAGTCCCAGCTACTCGGGTGCCTGAGGCAGAAAAATTGCTTGAACCCGGGAGGCGGAGGTTGCAGTGAGCCGAGTTTGCGCCACCGCACTCCAGCCTGGCGACAGAAGGAGACTCCGTCTCAAAAAAAAAAAAAAAATCGTTTCCATATCTTGTCTATTGGGAATAATGCCACAAGGAACATGGGAGTGCAGATATCTTCCCAAGATGCTGATTTCATTTCCTTTGGGTATAGGGATTGCTGGGTCATACAGTAGTTCTATTTTTAATGTTCTGAGGAATTTCCATATTGTTTTCCATAACTGCTTCATATCAATTTACATTCCCACCAACAGTGTACAAGCGTTCCCTTTTCTTCATATCCTGGCCAATTCTTATTATTTCAGTCTTTTTTTATAATGGCCATCCTAACATGTTGGAGGTGGTACCTCATTGTGGTTTCATTTGTACTTCCCTAGGTAGCACCAGTTTTCATGTTAAAAAGAGACTTATGAGTATACATTGTTTGCATCTTACCTGAGATTGTACTAATTGTATGATAGAATGAAGAATAAAACTGATTTTGTTATGATTTTTAAAAACACGTGAATTAGATAAAATTAAGTAGCATCAAGACATCAATTCTTTTTTTTTTTTTAGACAGAGTTTCGCTCTTGTTGCCCAGCTCACCGTAACCTCCGTCTCCCAGGTTCAAGCGATTCTCCTGCCTCAGCCTCCCGAGTAGCTGGGATTACAGGCATGCACCACCACGCTGGCTAATTTTGTATTTTTAGTAGAGACGGAGTTTCTCCATGTTGGTCAGGCTGGTCTTGAACTCCCAACCTCAGGTGATCTGCCCACCTCGGCCTCCCAAAGTGCTGGGAATTACAGGCGTTGAGTCACTGTGCCCAGCCAAGACATCGACTCTTTTTAAATTTTTAAATGATCCCATTTTTGAATGGAAAAAAACTACAAATGTACAAAAAAGGACAAGATGGATATACAACAAAATATTAACACTGATTAACGGTGAGATTCAAGTAATTATTATTGTAAGTTATTTATTTATTTATTTATTTATTTGAGACGGAGTCTCGCTTTGTCGCCCAGACTGGAGTGCAATGGCGCAATCTCAGCTCACTGCAACCTCACTCAAGCAATTCTCCTGCCTCAGCCTCCTGAGTAGCTCGGATTACAGGCGTGCGCCACCATGCCTGCTAATTTTTGTATTTTTAGTAGAGATGGGGTTTCACCATGTTGGTCAGGCTGTATTGTAAGTTATTTTTTAAATTATCATCCAACTTAAAAAAACAAAACAGGCCGGGCACAGCGGCTCACACCTGTAATCCCAGCACTGAGGTCAGGAGGTCAAGACCAGCCTGACCAACGCGGTGAAACCCGTGTCTACTAAAAATACAAAATTAGTCGGGCGTGGTGGCCGGCGCCTGTAATCCCAGCTACTCCGGAGGCTGAGGCAGAAGAATCACTTGAATCCGGGAGGCGGGGGTTGCGGTGAGTCAAGATCACCACTGCAATCCAGCCTGGGTGACAAGATTGAAACTCTGTCTCAAAACAAACAAACAAACAAAAAACAAGAAAAAAAATACAGCCAAGATTCCACTTATCAGTGTTCTTAATAGGTATGTACCATTCCCTAATGGATGTGTGAAAATCCGTGGGGTATTTTTGGTGGTCTCATTCGCTGGGAGGCACCACTGGCATTTATTTAACAGGTTGTGCAGAACAGTCCCATATGAGGAATTGTCCCATACGACTTTTGAATGTTTCTCTAGATAGTAATGTAGGGGAAAACCCCATGTATAATTATCGGAACCTAAAACCAAATTCCATTTCACACAGAATCACAAAAGACTTTTTCCAAGTTTCACTACACATTCAATTTGCTAGGAATATAATTACCACATAAATCAAAAGACTGTTTTGTATTTTACCAAAAGTTGCTCACAGTTTTAGAGAACATGTCATTACATCTAATGCCCTTCTTGATATTTGAATCACCAAGTAATGTACCTCTACCGTGTGCATTTGCAGCCACTGCATTCTCAGTGCACCTGACCTAGTGAGCATGTGATCCTAGTGTAGCTGAGACAACACTGACACACTGAACTATTATCATGTTAGTATGTTACTTTCATTTGAATTCTGAGATGAATACATTTCTTAAGAATAAAAGAAGCATTACCAAAGACTTACTACAAAAAGAGAGTGTTGTCTGACAGGGTTGAGACCTGGCTGCAATGATTCATGCATGTATGCACTGGATGAGAAACTCTTCCATCCAGGCAGACATTAAGGAGGTCTGCAACACATAAGTGAACGATGGCCACTCTTCCGACTACATTTTATGTTGTTGTTTTGGGAAAAAAAAAAAGCGATTTTCATTAAAAAGCTATGTATACTAACTTTACATGGGTTTATTTTTCATTTTAAATAAGTTAATAACCAAATCATAAATTAGGGAATAAGTAATTTCTCAGATTTTGTTTTGTTTTGTTTTCTGGGACAGTGTCTTGCTCTGTAATCCAGGCTAGAGTGTCATGACATAATCACGACTCAATCCAGCCTCCAACTCCTGGGCTGAAGCAATGCTTTCACCTCAGCCTCCCACATAGCTGGAACCACAGGCACATGTCACCACCCCTGGCTAATTTTTTTACTTTTTGGTAGAGGCAAGGTCTCACTATGTTGTCCAAGCTGGTCCTGGGCTCAAGTGATCCTACCACCTGGGCTTCTCAAACTGTTGGTATTACAGGCATGAGCCACGGCACCTGGCCTCTCAGTTTTAATCAAAAAGTTTGACAACTACTGCTCTAATGGAAAAAGATATGGAGAGGTCAAAACTGGCTGGAGAGAGAGCACCTATGAGTCTAGGGCAACACCTGAGTGAGAGTGAGAGAAGTTCCAGAACTAAGCCAGATCAATAGTGCACAATTAAATCAGGTGTAAGGGGGAGGAAGGAATTCAGGATAAAGAATAAGGTTCTACATTGGGCATACGAACAAATGATGAAGCCACTCAAGAGAGATCTCAACACCAACACATGTCATTTTCTGAGATTAAAAAAAAAAAATTAAGACGTTTTCTACCCACAAACATATTAAAACTTAAATGAGGGCCGAGAGCGGTGGCTCACGCCTGTAATCCCAGCACTTTGGGAGGTCAAGGTGGGTGGATCACAAGGTCAGGAGTTCAAGACCAACCTGGCCAATATAGTGAAACCCCCATGTCTACTAAAAATACAAATAAATTAGCTGGGCTTGGTGGCGCATGCCTGTAATTCCAGCTAATCGGGCGGCTGAGGCAGGAGAATTGCTTGAACCCGGGAGGCGGAGGTTGCAGTGAGCCGAGATCGCACCACGACACTCCAGCCTGGGTGACAGAGCGAGACTCCGTCTCAAAAAAAAAAAAAAACTTAAATGAAAAAAGTATTGGCACAGTGACCCTTTTTCATGCAGATATAATACCAGTTTGGGCCAGGCATGGTGGCTCACACCTATAATCTCAGCACTTTGGGAGGCCAAGACGGGTGGATCACTTGAGGCCAAGAGTTCAAGACCAGCCTGGCCAATGTGGTGAAACCCCATCTCTACTAAAAATACAAAAATTAGCCAGGCATAGTGGCGCACACCTGTAATCCCAGCTACTCAGGTGGCTGAGACAGGAGAATCGCTTGAACCCAGGAGGCGGAGCCTGCAGTGAGCAGAGATCGCACCATTGCACTCCAGCCTGGGCAACAGAGCAAGACTGTCTCAAAAAATACAATACCTTCTTCTCTGTCTGTTTCTGGAACACATAAACAAACCAGAATGTTTGGACAGGAGTCTTGAACCTGTGGCCACCACAGGTGGAAAGGAGCCCTGAGGGAGGCCATCCACTTGCCACATCCCCTTCAGCCGCCTAGGCATCTATCTCTACAATCTCATACATATTTTCTTTAAATATTCAGCTTCAAAAACCTTTTAGGTCAGAGGTTTTCAAAGAAGCAGGACGGAGGAGCCACCTACTGCCCTTTCACACTTTTCCCTGGAATTCCTGTGCCAAGTGTGGGGTCACTGACCTGCAAGGCTCTGAGCTTGCACTGTTCCACTGGGAAGGTTTGGGGCTGCCATGCACAGAGAGTTAAGGACAGTTACAGATATGGCCACAGAGTAAAGAAAATCTCTTGAGGTAAGAGCCTTTAACTCAAAGTACAAGTGGAGAAGAAAGTATCAGAAGGCCTAATCTTTAACACCAATGGAGCCACTCCTTCATGCAAACTGCCTAGAGCATCCCCAGGCCCCATCCCTGCATCCCACTTTACCCCAGCAAAGGTCGTGGACCCTAGAAAGGGATCTGCGGTAGTAAAGACTGATAGTAAGAAGAGCAAAAGGGAAGTAGGCGGGGATGTCCTTCAGCCCCAGTGCAGATCTCCTGACAACACTCCCTGTTTCTAGCCAGTAGCTGGAGGCACTGGCTTACTCCTCATGGCAGAGAGCCCATCCTAACCTCAGTGATGACATGCCTTGGGGGGGCCCACACCACAGTGATGTGACCCTCTTAGGGAGGTTGACAAATTGCGTTTCAATAATATGAATCCTAAAAGACTCCAATTTGTATCACTTATCTTTTGAATACCATCTCCCTCTTCAACTTTTTCTTTCATTTCTAGTTGGTAGTAAAAACCCTCAGAGAAGTTCAAAGGCAGTAAGTGCTAGACTCAAGTAAAGAGGTTGGGAGAAAACTGTGAAAATGCATCTTGCTCCAAAGGACTCCAGAAGGGGAAGAGGTCCTATTATAAAGCCATAAGTGGAGCCAATCTCTAGGAAGGAAAGGTCCAACTTTCGAACTGGACCAGAAATATCCTGGGCAGGAGGTCTGGCCCCTATAGCAGCCCATCCTCCTATCCTTGCTCCCTATCTGTCTTCTAACCATCTGCTTGCTGGAGCCCCTGCCATAGGCACCAGAACCCAACCCACCTCACAATCACTGCCACCACTATCAGTGCAGTACTACGATGCCAGCCTTCCAAATGGGAACTTCACACATACATTCCCAGGGAGCTATTATTATACAATGTACATAAGGAGCGGTATTACATAGATCGCATACTGTGAACAGTGCAGACTCAGGAAACAGACTTCATGGATCCAAACACCAGACCTGCCACTTACTAGCCGTCGGACCACAGATAAGTTACTTAACCATTTTGTGCCCTGGTTATAAAATCCAAGTATCAGTACCTACTCCACAGAGCTGCTGGATTAGAAAGTTCAAAACTATAGATTTAATCAATACCAGACATCCTTTTTTAAAACCAGAAACCTACCGCATCCCAAAAAGTACACTTTGGTTCCAAATCTAGTAACCTCTGAAGCAGTAAAGATGATAAAAGCTAAGCAGCCAAAAGAGTCATTTGGCTTACAATTTATTTTCCTTCTGTTTTCAAAAATATATAATACAAGTAGTTCGTATATGCTTTTTCATTATTGGCACATACATTTTTTACCAAGACATTTTGTTCTCAAACTTTTTGGCCTCAGGACTCTTTTATACACTTAAAAATTATTGAGGATCACAAAGAGCTTACCTTAGAGAATTGTAAAAAAAAAACAAAAAAATCCAGACATATACAAGTACATAGACCATTAGCCAACAAAGAGACTACACCATCATATATTATAGAGCGTTTGGAAAACTACACTTTACACCTGTGGAGAAAAAGAGTTTAAAAAAAAAAAAAGCAAATAGGCTGGGTGTGGTGGCTTATGCTTACAAATTCTGTAATCTCAGAATTTGGGAGGCCGAGATGGGGGTGGATCACTTAAGCCCAGGAGTTCAAGATCAGCCTGGGCAACATGTGGCAAAACCCCATCTCTATGAAAAATAAAAAAACTAGCGGGCATGGTGGCATGTAAATGTAAAACAATGCCTCCCTGCAGTCCCAGTTGGGAGGCTGAGAGGCAGGAGGATCACTTGTGCCCAGAAGTCGAGGCTGCAGTGAGCTGTCATTGCACCACTGCACTGCAGGCTGGGGACAGAGCAAAGCCCCGTCTCTAAATAAATAAATAAATAAAAATTTGAAAAGCAAATAACTCTCAACAATTACTATGAAAATAACCTGAACCTGCAGACCCTTTGAAAAGGTCATAAGGAGCCCCAAGGGCTCCACAATACCCTTTGAGAATATCTGCACAAGGCAAAGACATACTTAAAACTCTCATGGCTTTCATTTTTCATCTTTTCTAGATTTACAAGAGAATAAAACAACTACGATATATTTCATTCAACTATATATAAAGTGCAAATGATCTTAGCCTAAAATTACAATAAAATGGTTTAAGAAAGTATTTTGGCAAAATTACAACTAAGGTAAACTTGGAAAAAACGTCATGTCGAAATATTTATTTTTTTTAAATTGCAGCATCATACAAATAACATAAAATTTACTGTTGAACTGATTTTAAAGTATGCAATTCAGTGACATCTCAGACAATCATGAAGTTGTGCAACCACCACCAGTATCTAGTTCCAGAACATTTTCATCACCCCAAATAGAAATCCTATGCTCTGCCCCAGCTACTCATCTGCTTTCTGTCTCCACAGATTTGCCTATTCTGGGTATTTCATATAAATGGAACCATACAGGCCAGGTGCAGTGGCTCAAACCTGTAATCCCAGCACTTTGGAAGTCCAAGGCAGGTGGATCACTTGAGGTCAGGAGTTCAAAACCAGCCTGACCAACATGGTGAA
Source organism: Homo sapiens (assembly GCF_000001405.40). Taxonomy (NCBI): domain Eukaryota; kingdom Metazoa; phylum Chordata; class Mammalia; order Primates; family Hominidae; genus Homo; species Homo sapiens. The sequence goes on along the minus strand of NC_000021.9, from coordinate 33,666,124 downwards.
ACCCTGTCTCTACTAAAAATGCAAAAGAATTAGCTGGGCACGACAGTGGGCACCTGTAATCCCAGCTACTCAGGAGGCTCAGGCACGAGAATAGCTTGAACCTGGGAGGCAGAGGTTGCAGTGAGCTGAGATCATGCCACTGCACTTCAGCCTGGGCAACAGAGCGAGACTCCCTCTCAAAAAAAAAAAAAAAGGAACCATACAGTATATTGCCTTCTTTCACTTAGCATGTTTTCAAGGTACATCTATGTTATACATGTTTTCATGTTTATTCTACATGCTTTCAAGGTACGTTTATACTGTACCATATATCATTCGTTTCTTTTTATAGCTGAATCATATCCCATTATATGAATATGCCACATTGTCCACTGATGCACAAAAGTTGATGGACATTTGGGTTGTTTCCACCTTTTGGCTATGGTAAATAATGCTGCTATGAATATTATGTACAAGTTTTTGTTTGAACACCTGTTTTCTTTTGGTATATAGCTAGGAATGGAATTGCTAAGCCATATAACTCTGTATCTATCTAATTGAGGAGCTGAAAAATTATTTTACACAGCTGTGGCACCATGCTACATTCACACCAGCAATATATGAGGATTCCAGTTTCTTCACATCCTTACCAATACTTGTTATTTTCCTTTTTAAAAAAAAATGATAGCCATACTAATGGTTGTAAAGTGGTATTCTCATAGTTTTGATTTCCATTTCCCTAATGACTAACAATTTTGAGCATCTATCTGTTCATGTACTGGTTGACCATTTGGATATCTTCTTTGGAAAAATGCCTACTCAGGTCTTTGCCCACTTTTTAATGACGTTATCTTGCATTATGTCTATTTTTTTCTTTTTTTTTGAGACAGAGTCTCATTCTGTCACCCAGGCTAGAGTGCAATGGTGCGGCCTTGGCTCACTGCAACCTCCACCTCCCAGGTTCAAGCGATTCTCCTGCCTCAGCCTCCCGAGTAGCTGGGATTACAAGCACCCGCCACCACGCCCAGCTAATTTTTGTATTTTTAGTAGACACGGGGTTTCACCATGTTGGCCAGGCTGGTCTCGAACTCCTGACCTCGTGATCCACCCACCTCGGCCTCCCAAAGTGCTGGGATTACAGTAGTGAGCCACTGCGCCTGGCCACGTTATGTCTAATTATTTTTTATAAGTAGATGAGAGCAATTTAAGCCTATCATGCATCTTTTCCTCTCATCTCTTCAAAGGTTAAAACAAATGGCGAAGCTTCCAGATGATGGAAAGAGCAACTGAGAAATTAAGAGAGGTCATATAATCAACTGGTAACAAAACTACATATAATAACTTCATTCGTATCTTAAATTATAAATTCCAGGCTTGGATCACAGGTGATAAGAATAATAACAATCATTTCTTATACAGTGTTTACTATTTAGTGAGGCACTGCGCTGTTTTAACATCCTCACAACAATCTTATGAGACAGGAACTGTGATCGACCTCATTCTACAGATGAGGAAACTGAGGCACAGAAAAGTTAAATAGCTTGCTTATGGTTACACAGCTAGTAACTGCTATGTGTCCCCACCAAATCTCAGGTTGAAATTTGGTCCCCACTGTGGCAGTGTAGGGAGGTGGGGCTTAGTGGGAGGTGTTTTCAGGTCATGGGGTGGATCCTTCATGAATAGATTAAGGCCCTCCCCAAGAGTGAGTGAGTTCTCACTCTTAGTTCTCACATGAGCTGGCTGTTAACAACCTGGCCCCTTCCCATCCCGCTCCTACTACCTCTCTCACCATGTGACCTCTGCACTCTCTAGCTCCCCTTAGCACAGCAGCGGCACCAAGCTACATTCACACCAACAATGTATGAGGATTCCAGTTTCTTCACATCCACATCACATTCAGGAGTCCACACTGAGTGAAAGCAACCTGAGGACCTCACCGGATGCTCTAACTTGACCTTCCTAGCCATCAGAATTGTGAGCCAAATAAACCTTTTTCTTTATAAATTACCCAGCCTCAGATATTCTATTACAGCAACACGAAGTGGGCTAAGACAGTAGCTGAGCAGCTTGGCTCCAGAATCCCTTGGCTATGCTGCCTGCCTCTCAACCTTGTCCAGCTGCCTCACTGAGGACTTTTTAGGAAAATGCTAGTAGCTACATAGCTGATGGGTCACTTTCAAGTTCCAACCCCCACTGTCTACAAAATCTTTTAAATAACTCTTGGTTTTAGAATTTAATCATCAGAGGCCGGGTGTGGTGGCTCACGCCCGTAATCCTAGCACTTTGGGAGGCCGAGGTGGGCGGATCACCTGACGTCAGGAGTTCGAGACCAGCCTCAACACGGAGAAACCCCGTCTCTACTAAAAATACAAAAAATTAGCCAGGCGTGGTGATGCATGCCTGCAATCCCAGCTACTCGGGAGGCTGAGGCAGGAGAATTGCTTGAACCTGGGAGGTGGAGGTTGCGGTAAGCCGAGATCGTGCCATTGCACTCCAGCCTGGGCAACAACAGCAAAACTCCATCTCAAAAAAAAAAAGAATTTAATCACCAGGTTAGGTATGTCACAAAGAAGTAAGCCCAAAATCAGATGGGTGAATGTCATTTTATCATCCTGATTCAGATCTCTTCCAACATTTTGAACCTGCAAAACAATATTCAGGATATTCTGACTCAATGGTCTATTACGAAGAGCATCTGGATTACATTTTGACTGCAATCATAAAAGGTTACAGTTGCCAGCAAAGCTATGCCTAACGGCCCATCTAACTAAAGCTTATAATTTACAGTATAATTTTATAACAGTTAATGGCTTTGTAAGCTAAATCTAAAAAATAGATCTTATAAGAAATCTAAAAGGTAATATATCTCATAATAAAACCAGTATGAATATAATGCTAGAGTTTACATATTTCATTTCTGAGCAGTAATTACAGGCATAACTTCCTGGTATATCCAGCAATTACTATAACTGCCTGAAGAGTTATGAGACATTAGAATTTGAGGGAACTTCAGTATATATCCAAAACAGTGCTCAATAAATAATTCCTGCTCCTTCTAGGCAAGGTAGACTAATGCCTGAGATGTGTCTATACTGATGAAAGCTCATTTATACCAAATCTTGTTTTATAATGTTATAATACTATTATTTATGTGGTAAGTCAATGATTTTTTATTTAAGTTCAGCTACTCACTATGCCATTTATATTTTCATTACACAAATGGCAGCAAATTCGAGGTCCTCATCTGTAACACAAGGATCTTGTCATCTAGTTCACAAAATTGTGAAAAACAAATTTTAGATGGCATATGTGAAAGACCTGCAGAATCCCTGAAACATGAAGGGTACTCAGTACTCATCCTGTGTACGTGCAGAAACATGTGTGACATGAGGGGCAGTGTGGGTCAGATAATACCAGAAGTCCTTCTAAAGCACATTTTATATGAGCTGAGCACAACTCCAACCTGTCCTTTATCTAAAGGCCATTTAACTGATGAACTTGGCAGCATAAAACCCAGTACCTAGATAATACCAAGAAACCTTCCTGATTAGGAAAATGGGTATCATTCAAATAACTGTTAAAGGAAATCAGTTTTTTCCCTGGGCTAGACCTAACTATAATACCATTTCTGACAGAACAGAAGACCCCAAAAAAGGCAATACCCCATCACCTATTTGCTCAAATGTTTCATTTAATTAGGTATAAGAAGGTTCAAAATGAAAAATATTAGTATAAATTAAGTTTAAGTCACAAGAGGGATGTAAAATGCTTTCCTGTTATGATGGGATTTGTAAATTCGGAACTTTAAATCAGAGGTCCCTAGAAAATAGATGGAAAGAGGTAGAGCCAAAAGTTCAGTGCTGGAAATCAAAGGGAAAATGACTCATAGCTGCGGCAGGTACGGGTATTTTCACTTCAGTAACACCCAGTTAGGCCTAAAGGATAAGGGACAGATAGGGGGAGGCAGAAGGGAAATAAACTGTAAAGCTAAAGTGACAAAAGAACATTCTATGGTGAGATCCAGATGGAAGAGAAATAGAAGAGGAAAAGGGGAAGGTCAACAGGGATACAGCATAATGCACTCTAAACTGTGAGTGAAGGTTTAGATTTTATCCTACAAGGCAGCAATTCTCTTGTGGTCTGTGGATCCCTGGGAGTCCTAAGACCCTTTCATGGGGGTTCAGATGGTCAAAATTCTTACGTGTATTAGTTCATTTTCACCGAGACTGGGTAATTTATAAAGAAAAAGAGGTTTAATGGACTCACAGTTACAGGTGGCTGGGGAGGCCTCATAATCATGGTGGAAGGCAAAAGGTATGTCTCACATGGCGGTCACAAGAGAGAAATGAGAGCCAAATGAAAGGGGAAACCCCTTAGAAAACCATCAGATCTCCTAAGACTCACTCACTACCACAAGAACAGTATGGGGGAACTGCCCCCATGATTCAGTTATCTCCCATCAGGTCCCTCCCATAACGCATGGGAATTATGGGAGCTACATTTCAAGATGAGATTTGGGTGGGGACACAGCCAAACCATATCATCATGATGGTACTCAGGCAAGACCTGCTCTTTTCACTGTGATTTTATTTACACTGATACAAAAACAATGGTGGGTAAAACTGCTCCCACCTTAGCAGTGGCACCAAACTGTACCAGTGTGGTCACTGGATTCTTCACTGCCAAACACTCACATAAAAAAAAAAAAGTCAGTTTTACAACAGGATGTCTTTGATGAATCATGAAAAATTATTACTTTATTAAATCTCAGCCCTTGAGTACACATGCTTAATGCTTGTATGACTAGATACTCAAAGCATTTATGTGCTACACCAAACAACAATGTCCAAGAAAATCACTGTGCAATCATTTGAGTTGTGAGCTAAACTAGCCATTTTTTTTTTACAGGAACTCGATTTTTATTTGGCAAAACAACAACCAAAAAAAACTATGATTATTCAGATTTGGGTATCTGGCACAGTTTCTCAAAAATAAAGCAAGCCTGATGCTGCAAGAAAAACAACTGACAGTACTTGCTGTTCATGATAAAATTTGAATTTGGGGTGAAAATTAGAATTTTGGAAAACTTGTATCTGCCATTATGAGCTAGACTGCTTCTCAACATTTAAAGAATTTTCTAATAAGATGGGTGGTGATAACAAACACGATTTTGTGATATTGTTTAATGAAATGTGTCAACATTTGTAAGATTTACATAACTCAGTGACCCAGTATTTTCCAAATGACCAATACATGATGTTGTATGTATTGGTCAAATCAAACAGGGGTAAAATAGCCATTCAAAGTATAGGATGGATCAACAGATTTTATTGTAACAGAGGATAAAAAGTTCACTTATATGACTTCAGATTCTACACTGCAACCAATCCTTAAGAAACTACCCAGTGTCAAGTTTTGGTACAGTATCACAAAATAACCACAATTTTCTGGAAATGCCACTAAAAGACTCCTGTTCTTTCCAACTACATATCTGTATAAGGCCAGATTTTCTTCAACTATTTCAACCAAAACAACGTTTCACAACAAACTGACTACAGGAGCAGTTATGGAATTCAGCCATCTTTTTATTCAGTGAGGCATGAAAGAGATCTGCAAAAAATGTAAAACAAGGCCACTTTTCACTAAATTTTTTTGTTTTGTGAACAGTTTTCATAAAAATGTTATTTATGTTAACATGTAATAGGTTTATTACAGCTATTTTAAGTGTAAATTTCTTGGTTTTAATTTCTAATCTGGCAGACAATGATAAGACAAAAATCCACATGAAGAAAAGTTCCTTGGGGACCTCAATCACTTAAGAGGACACAAGGGTTTTGATACCAAAAGGCTTGAGGTCCACCACCTTAGGAGATAAAAGCACGGGGAAAGATCTTATTGTGGGAGCAGCACATAACAAAGATTATTTTGGCAACATGTGAGTGTAAAATGAAGTGGAACAGAGAAGCCAGACGAGTCAGGAAGCAGCAACCATTAAGAGCAAAGTAGTAAAGTGAAAAAATATATAAAGGCCTGGACTAAGACCAGAGCAGTGGGGCTAGAAAGGGTGAATTCAAACGACCTTTCAGAGGCTGAATTGACAGAATCAAGCCACCGACTTCAGCATCAGATAGAATCCAGGCTGGGTGCAGTGGCTCACACCTCTAATCCCAGCACTTTGGGAGGCTGAGGTGGGAGGGCTGCTTGAGCCTAGGAGTTTGAGACCAGTGAGATCCCATCTCTACAAAAATTTTTTTTTAAATTAGCCAGGTGTGGTGGTGTACAACTGTGGTCCTAGCCACTCGGGAGGCTGAGGTGAGAGGATTGCCTGAGCCTGGGAGGTTGAGGCTGCAGTTAGCCATGATCAATGATCATCTCACTGCACTCCAGCCTGGGTGACACAGCAAGATTTTATCTCAAAAAAAAAAAAAAAAAAAAAAAAAGTACAGGCTGCTGACTTAGTCCATGAATAGCTTACAAAGCTAAATTATAATTGCTTGTTCACCTATCTAGCTTAAGGGCAGGTACTAAGTCTATACTGTGTATAGACACAGTATTCAAAAATACTATAGGCAGACTGAGTTCTAAAAAATGTTCTCCAACACTAACTGGGTGTCCTACCATTCATTTCAATTCTGACACTACCGGAGTTAGTGCAGACTCCCCAAATCAAGGGCTTGGTCCCATAAGACTTCCCCACTTCAGATGCCAGCCTCAAGTCTTGCACTTCTGCCAGGCTGACTACAAATTTAGGGGTTCCCCTAACTCCACTTCAAGTTAAGTAATTGACTAGAACAACTCACCGAACATGGAAAAGCTCTGTGCAACTCAGGAACAGCCAAATGGAAGAGACTCACTGCACAAAGCATGGGGGAGAGGAAGTACAGAGCTTCCATGCCCTCTCCTCCTCTGTGCAATATAGGCACTCACCTTTCTGCACATCATGGGTTCACCAACCCAGCTCTCCGAACCTCACAGTTCCAGGGCTTTCGTTTGCAATTTCATTGCATAGGCATGATTAAGTAGATCACTGACCACGTGACTGAACTCAATTTCCAGTCCCTCTCTCTTCCCTGGAGCTGGTGGTGGCGGAGGGCTGAAAGTTCCAACCCTCCAATCCTGCAGTTTCCTGACTGCTTCCTCCGGACCACCCCCAATTCTGAGGGTGTCCAGCCCCTCATCCCCAGGAGCCAGTTCATTAGCATGAACTCAGATAAGATCCAAAAGGACTCATTATGAATAAGAAGACACTCCCACCACTCAGGAAATTCCAAAGATTTTGGAAGCTATGTGCTAGGAATCAGGAACAAAATGATATAAAATTATACCACAGACTATCTGACACACAGTAAGTAATCAATAAATAACTGCTGAAACAATGAACAAAAGGATAGATAATAGTATCATTCACCAAGATGGGATATACAGACAGAGGAAGAGGTTGGTCAGAAGAAAGGTGGCAGGTGAGCAATGCTCTAGATGTATTGAAGTTTTAAGCGCCCAATGGATCCAGTAGGTACAGTCATGCAGCCAGTAACATTTGAGTCAATGATGAACTGCACATACAATCGTGGTCCCGTAAGATTGTAACAGCATATTTTTACCGTGCCTTTTCTATGTTTAGATATGTCTCGATACACAAATACCACTGTAAATACTTGTGTTACAGCTGCCTACAGTATTCAGTATAGTAACAGGCTGTAGGGGTTTGTAACCAAGGAGCAAAATAGGCTATACATATAACCTAGGTGTATAGTAGGCTATACCACCTCGGTTTGTATAAGTAGTTGACCCTTGAATAACATGAGTTTTAACTGTGTGGGTCCACTCATATTCAGATTTTCTTCTACCTTTGTCACCCCTGAGACAGTAAGACCAACCCTTCTTCCTCCTCCTCAGCCTACTCAACGTGAAGACAATGAGGATGAAGAATGTTATGATGACCCACTTCCACTTAATGAATAGTAAATATATTTTATCTTCCTTATAATTTTCTTAATACTATTTTCCTTTCTCTAGTTTATTGTAAGAATAGAATATATCATACATATAGCATACAAAGTATGCGTTCATGGACTATGTTATCAGTAAGGCTTCTGGTCAACAATAGGTCATTAGTAGTTACGTTTTGGGGGAGTCAAAAAGGTTATATGATTTTTTTTAAAAACAGAATCTGGCTCTGTCGCTCAGGCTGGAGTGCACTGGCACAACCACAGGTCACTGTAACCTCAAATTCCTGGGCTCAAGCAATCCTCCTGCCTCAGCCTCCCTAGTAGCTGGGACTACAAGAGTACACCACCATGCCCAGCTGATTTTTAAAATTTTTGTAGAGATGGGAGTCTCACTTTGTTGCTTGGATGGTCTCAAACTCCTGGTCTCGAGCAACCTTCTCACTTTGGCCTCCCAAAGTGCTGGGATTACAGGCAAGGGCCACGGAGCCCTGCTTATATGTGGATTTGCCTGTGTTGGGGACCAACACCCCTAATCCCTCCCTTGTTCAAAGGTCAACCATACACTTTATGATGTTTGCACAAAGACAAAATCACCTATCAGAACATCATCATTACACGATGCAGGGTTAGAAAAAAAGACACCGCTCCAGGTACAGACAGATAAATACAGTGAAAATGACTGCCGTGGAAGACCAGTGAAATGTCAAAAGAGGGTATGAAAAGCCCTGGCGACAGCAACATTTTAAGGATAAGAAGCCCTCAAAGGGAATTGGGAAGTCCTAAATGTAACAGAGCAACAGGGCAAGGAAATAGCTGAAATGACCCATGCTGAGGTCACAGCTGCTTATGGAAAGAAATGAAACTAAGAGGAAACTGACAATCAGAGATAAAAGGAGAAGGTCAAGAAAGCTTCTGCAGAAAACCAAATACCGCATGTTCTCACTTACAAGTAGGAACTAAACACTGGGTACACACTGACACAAAATTAAGAACAATAAACACTGGGGATTCCAAAACGGGGGCAGGGGTTGAAAACCTACCTATCTGGTGCTATGTTCACTACTTGGGCAACTGGTTCATTAGAAGCCCAAACCTCAGCATCATGCAATAAACCTACATAGCAAACCTGTGCATGTACCCTCTGAATCTAAAAATTAAAATAAAAAAATTAAAAAAGGCCGGACATGGTGGCTCACGCCTGTAATCCCAGCACTTTGGGAGGCTGAGGCAGGTGGATCACCTGAGGTCAGGAGTTCGTGACCAGCCTGGCCAACATGGTAAAACCCCGTCTCTACTAAAAATGCTAAAAATGCAAAAAATTAGCCAGGCGTGGTGGCAGGCGCCTGTAATCCCATCTACTTGGGAAGCTGAGGCAGGAGAATTGCTTGAACCTGGTAGGCGGAGGTTGCAGTGAGCCGAGATCGCACGATTGCGCTCCAGCCTGGGCGATAGAGTGAGACTCTGCCAAATAAATAAATAAACAAATAAATAAATAAATAAAACAAGTGGCACGCCACAGACCTGATCTACCTACTCCGGGGGCTGAGGTGGGGGGACCGTTTGAACCCTGGAGGTAGAGGTTGCAGTGAGCCAAGATTGCACCACTGCACTCTCCAGCCTGGGTGACAGAGTGAGACTCCGTCTCAAAAAAAAAGCTTGTTTCAGTGGCTACACACTTGAACAGAATTCAAACTCACCCCCTATACAGATGCACACAACACTGTACACTGTGAATGTCTGTAGTATTGGTTTTTGCATGAGGTCAACATTTTATATGTATGTGAAAGGAAATGACACCACTGAAATACTACAACATTTAAAAGTAACTTCAATTATTAATTATTAATTTGTATGACACTGATCATACACTGAGTAAAGGCCATCTGTTTTGCCTGCCTAGCGTTTTTTTCTCCTCTTGACAGATCCTACTTCTCTTTAATGCTTTCTGTTAATTCCACGAGTTTAGGTACTGGTCTCACCAACTGGGGGAAAAGGTAGACCCAAGGCCCAGGAGAGCCAATGAGAGTACACGTTTCCCTTGGTCATATGATGGGTTCAGACACACGATCATGCCAGGCCAATCAGAATCCTTGGACTTGACAGGTATGTGAGTCACTACATTTCAATGCTGTGCTTCTTCCACTTGGAAATGAAAAAGCTCATACAAATACAATTATGAATAAAGAAAACTGTGGCAATAAAGCAACCTTCCTTTTTCTTCCTTCTCTCTCCTACAATCCTCTTTTTTCTCTCCCTATCACTTTTTCCACCTCCCCACCCAACTGCATTTAGATAGTGGACTACTTAAACTTATCACTGAGTTTTTTTTAAGTTAAGGATTCCTGATACATGACATCACCACGACACAGAAAGCTAATCTAAGAACTAAGCCCAGCCCCAGGTAAACTATTCTGTGATTCAACTTCTTGGTATTTCGACAGTACACTTTAGAGTCTTGTTTCAAGGCCCTTCGCAGTGGCTCACGCCTGTAATTCCAGCACTTTGGGAGGTCAAAGCAGGCAGATCACTTTGGGTCAGGCGTTCAAGACCAGCCTAGCCAACATGGCGAAACCCCATCTCTACTAAAAATACCAAAAAAAAAAAAAAAAAAAATTAGCCAGGCATGGTGGTGCCTGTAATCCTACCCACTCTGGGGGCTGAGGTGGGGGGATTGTTTGAACCCAGGAGGTAGAGATTGCAGTGAGCCAAGATTGCACCGCTGCACACTCCAGCCTGGGTGACAGAGTAAGACTCTGCCTCAAACAAAAAAAAAATCTTGTTTCAGTGGCTACACACTTGAACAGAATTCAGACTCACCCCCTATACAGATGCACATAATACTGTACACTGTGAATGTCCCTAGTATTGGTTTTTGCAGGAGGTCAACATTTTATATGGATGTGAAAGGAAATGACACCACTGAAATTCTGCAACATTTAAAAGTAACTTCAAAATTTCTTCCTTCCTGTTTTCCCTCAGCTAGAGATCTACACCGGTTTAAAACAGGTCCGAGCCAGAGTCCGCATTTGTAAAATGGCCTTTCCAATCAAATTGTGATTGCCTGAATTAGATTAAATTTTGGTACTTCCATGTTTCTTGCTATCCTTAACTGTTGATGTTATTATATGGAGAAAATAATAACAAATTCACAACGTCCCTAGACATAGTGAAAAAAAAAAAGAGACAAGGTAGTATCATAAAAAGAATATTGTGGTAAGAATGAGAAGAATGTTTAGTTCACAGTAACAGAAACTCCAGCTACCTAAATCAAGGGGAAGGAGGTAACCTTAAGAACTCAAGAACGAGAATGCAGCTGGACCAAGAACAGACTGGAAGAGAGTGGCTTAATGCTGTCAGAGAGTCAGGTAGTGTTCTCTCTGCTTCTCTTTAGACAGTTACTTTATTCTCCCCATCCATAAATCATCTTTCTTAGTCCCCAGACAGCAGAACATAACTGCTTATAACTCCCAATCCTTTACTTAGGGTCCTTGAGCATATTAAGGCCAAATCCTTCTCTATTGAGCCTAGTTTCAAATTTCCAGGGAAGAAACGAACACTGATTGGGCCAGGTTGGTCAGGTGCCCAACCCGAGTTCAATGTATTATGTCTTTTGTGTAGAGAAGGAGGTAGGAAGAAATTGGATGTGTAGGTTGAAGGGCACTTAGGGGATCTGTGTTGGGTCAGATATACATTCCAAAGGTTCTCATCACACAGTCTCAGCTTTGTACCTTGTCTCATAATCAAAATACGGAACTAATAACTAACGTTGATTCTAGACTCTTGCTAAGAGTCTAGAGTATAACAGAACTTAAGATAATTAAAGTGAATTTAAAAAATCAAAGGCCAGGTGCAGCGGTTCATGCCCGTAAGCCCAGCACTTGGGGAGGCTGAGGCGAGAGGTCCACTTGAGTCCAGAAGTTCATGACCAGCCTAGGCAACACAGCGAGATCGTCTCTCCAAAAAAAAAAAAAAAAAAATTAGCCAGGTGTGGTGGTGCGTGGCTGTGGCTGTAGTCAAAGCTACTTGGGAGGCTGAGGTGGGAGGATTCCTTGAACCTGGAAGGTTGGGGATACAGTGAATCATGGTCATGCCACTGCACTCAGCCTGGGTGACAGAGTGAGACAAAAGAGAGAAAGAAGAGACAAAGAGAGAAAGAAAGAGAAAGAGGAAGGAAAGAAGGAAGGAATTAAAGGGTAACAAGCATTCATCACTGTTTTAGAAGTTCCATGCCAATAAACAAATACAAGTTATGGTGGCTCATGCCTATAATCTCAGCACTTTGGGAGGCTGCGACAGGAGAACTGCTGGAACCCAGCAGTTCAAGACCATCCTGGGCGATATAACAAGACATCATCTCAAAAAAAAGAAAGACATTGGCCGGGCGCAGTGGCTCACGCCTGTAATTCCAGAACTGTGGGAGGCCGAGACGGGCGGATCACGAGGTCAGGAGATCGAGGCCATCTTGGCTAACACGGTGAAACCCCGTCTCTACTAAAAATACAAAAAATTAGCTGGGCGTGGTGGCTGATGCCTGTAGTCCCAGCTACTCGGGAGGCTGAGGCAGGAGAATGGCATGATCCCGGGAGGTGGAGCTTGCAGTGAGCTGAGATCGTGCCACTGCACTCCAGCCTGGGCAACAGAGCGAGACTCTGTCTCAAAAAAGAAAAAAAAGAAAGAAATACAAGTTAAAAATAAATTATAAATTCTAGGAATGAAAATGGTCCTTTATAAACATGATGGTCTGTATGAAAAACTCGAGAATTTTTAAAAAAGCATAGAAGTCTTAGAGGGCTGAGATTCTATCTTGGTTCAAGGCTACTCACCTAGAGCAATGCCAGGCATATACAGCGTGTACTCAAACATTCACTGAACAGCTAACTAAACTCAGAACTTCCCAATCACGGCTGGGTGCGGTGGCTCACGCCTGTAATCCCAGCACTTTGGGAGGCTGAGGAGGGCAGATCATCTGAAGTGAGGAGTTCGAGATCAGCCTGGCCAACATGGCGAAACCCCGTCTCCACTGAAAATATAAAAATTAGCTGGGCATGGTGGCACATGCCTGCAGTCCCAGCTACTCAGGAGGCTGAGGCAGGAGAATCACTTGAACCCGGGAGGCAGAGGTTGCAGTGAGCCAAGACTGTGCCACTGCGCTCCAGCCTGGGCAACAAAACACGACTCTGTCAAAAAAAAAAAAAAAAAGAACTTCCCAGTCACAGTACTTTAAGTGGATTATAGTTGTGCCAAAGATACTGATGCCCTCAGTTTTGGGGAACGATGCCTACAATTAGTACTAATTATTGCTACTAACACAGTACTAATATTATCTGGAATCACAAAGACTGAGAAGCATTGAATGCAAGACCAAAACATTGCTGGAACTTAGAGTTCCAGCAAGACAAGTTGGTTACCAAATAAATTTGTGTAAGGCCAATAGGCATTTAATAATCATTCACACTCATTGGTAATACAGAAAATAATGCAAGTTAAAACAAATAAAATTGGCTAAGATGTTTTTGGAGATGGTTTTACCCAGTCCTGGTAAGAGAACAGGAAACAAGTACCTTTTACATGATAGGGGGAATGCATCTGAGAGCGGTATGCTGCAAAGGCTTTACAAACAACTTTTGGTCCAAGAATTTTACCTATCTTTATTAAAAAGCAAAAAGACAAAGAATCTATAGGTCCAGCAATAAGTGACTGATTACATATATGACGATGTAGCAAAAAAGGCTGCAAATACAACACATTAAGTGAAAAACACAGGCTACAAAACTGTACGTACCTGAGGCTACAAACTGGCAAGGCAACGAAGACTGAATCCAGCCCTCAGGTATGCTTTGAACCCCAGTGTGTTAACAATAAAAAGTGTGGCCCACATAAAAATCAGAAGATTTCATATTAAACCCACATTCTCCTAAATAACTATAAGGTGTAGTAACACCAGGACGCATCCTCCCAGAACCACAAAGGTCTGGGTTGACTGGCCCTGGACCGTCCTGCCACCTTCAGTGCTCGTGGTCCCTAACAGGCCTTCAACTCTCCCGGGCTAAGTAGCTTCACACCAGGCACCTGCTGGGTAATTTGAGCATGTTGACCTTCACAGGGTATTAACAGTCATTATCACTGGATGGTAAGATCTTGGTAGGCTTTTAGTCTTCTTTCCTTATATATGTTTCCAAAAGTTTTCTTCAATAAACATGTATTCCTTTTGTAGTAGGAAAAAACATGTTATTTTTTAAATTACCAAATCACAACTGTAATATTAATCACTTCATCTACCAAGATCAAAACAACTAAAGATAACAGATAATGACTGTGGTTTAAAACTAATTGAACTAAGAATTAAAGTAAGGTTACGATTACTGCAGGATTTCCCTCCCTTTGATACTAATTAAAACTCCAGATTGGACAGACAACAGCAGCATTTTACAAAACAGATCTTCCTCAAAGAGAACAGCTTCTATAGACAATGCAAAAGCCTGCTATTTTAAGGATTCATTCCCATACATTTAAGATTTCTTTCACTAAAAAAAGGAAACAAAATCTCTCCTATAGAAACCTATATTCATAACCTCAATTAATTTGTTTATAAAGCTAAATAATTCTTGATCTTTGTCTTACACTGCTATTTCATTTGATCAATAGTAATAATTTTATGGGGTTCTCTTTTCCTCAGAGAAACTCCGGAAAGTTTACACAAATTACCATTCATCTCAAACCATTCCTGAGACCTCACAAAGTACACCACATTATCCTCATCACAAAGATAAAGCAGAAGGCTAGGTAGAAACGTCAACATCCATAGACAGCTGGAAGCCGAGTCAATGGAATGTTCCTCTCTATCCATCCTCCAATCCACTCCCACATGATACTCAGAAGGAGATTTTTAAACAAAAGCACATCATGGGACTCCCCTGCTTAAAACTTACATTAACTTCCTACTTCCCAGACATTCAGAGTCAAGTCCCAAGTGGGCCTCTCTCCTTCACTCCCCACCTGTCTCTCTTGCCCCCAGCACTTGCTCTGTACCAGCTCAGAGCCCTCGGGCCTCCAGGCTTGAAGGACCTCAAACACTCCTTGATTTAATAAACCAACAAATAACCCTTGCGTGTCTGCCAGGCAGCAGGCGCTGCTCTAGGGCCTGGGGCTAGCCCCCTGGACAACAGCGATACACTCCCTGCCCTCATGGAGCTAACATCCTGGTAACCCCGCTACCAAGTTTCTTCCTCCTGTAATCATTTAAAGAATATTAAAACAACAATTGTAATAACTGTATCTGAAGGGGTCTAAAAATAAGCAGTGCTACCTATAATACAGATCTATTCTCATTTAATGACTTTAATATTAGCTCTTTATATTAAGTGCAGGAAAGAGGAAAAATAAAGGCAAAGGGAACTACTATTCATTGAAATCTGCTATATACCAAGAATGGCACTCATTTTCTTGTCAATTTTTCAAGGTTTCTCTCATTACTAGCTATATAGCTTTCATTCATCAGTGGCCAAAATGCAATTCTCCAATTCTGCAAGACTGGGGCAGCTGAGTTTCAGATAACTTCAGAAATTGAAAGATAACTTGGTTTTAAAATCTACTATCTTAAGTTCAGAGCGGAAATGAATTGATTTTTGTGAAACACTGGATCCACAATGAACACTCCTATTATAGATAACACACTGGAATGATATATGTGTTTACACAACATTTTGTCTGTGTTAGAACAATAAAACCGGTCAGGAAATTTGCCTTGCAGAGAAGTAATTAACCCTGTACACACACACAGGCAAACAGACACACACACACAAAACGAATGGCTCCAATTCGTTGGAGCTCCAATTCCAATCTTGTTGCAGTGCTTTTATGGTAAGAGTCAGCGTCCTTCTTAACTAGGTTGGTTAAAGCCTGACACTAAAAGCCAGCTGACCTCGTCCACGTCCATGAACTGTATCCATGTCTTGCAAATGCATGCCACCAGACACCAGAACGATTTGCAGACATAATGCAAGGAGGAACACATCAAATGCTCACCAGTGCAACAGAGGAGCAAGAGCATTGTCCTCCTGTATTAAAAAGAGGATGTTTAATTTTAACCACCAAGGGTAAAATTCTGACCACTTGCTGTGTTGCTATGACCTTGTTATTTTCTTTCTTTCTTTTTTTTTTTTTTTTCTGAGACAGAGTCTCGCTCTGTCGCCAAGGCTGGAGTGTAATGGTGCGATGTCAGCTCACTGAAATCTCCACCTCCTGGGTTCAAGCAGGGAATTGAAGCAATTCTCCTGCTTCAGCCTCCCAAGTAGCTGGGATTACACTTGTGCGCCACCACGCCCGCCTAATTTTTGTATTTTTTAGTAGAGATGGGGTTTCACCATGTTGGCCAGGCTGGTCTCAAACTCCTGACCTCATGATCCGCACACCTCGGCCTCTCAAAGTGCTGGGATTACAGGTGTGAGCCACCACGCCCGGCCAGACATTGTTATTTTCACATTCGAATTCACTTGAATTCAAAATTCTGCCACAGCCCTCAGCTCAACTCCTGGCTCCACCACTCAATGAAGGGCCAAACGCACTACCACATGACTCCAGCAGACCCCATACCACACAAAAACAATGACAGGTTTTGGTGACCAACTGAAAACTGAGCTAGGCAGCCAAACTCAGTCCAGAGAGCTGAAGCCAAAACAATTTCACCAATGTTCTCTCTGGGCAGTAAGCTAATAAAGCAAGCTACCTATCATTAATTCTACTAGAAAAACACCGAAAGAGCAGTGATGCATTAAAATAGATTAACTTGCTTAAAATTCACTTTCTTAGAGAGCTACGAACTTTAGGAACAAAACTGGAGTGACATTCTACCATCCCATGTATTAATAAAAATGTTTTGGTTTACTTTTCAGTGATCTCCCAGTGGATGATATCTCTCTACACTGAGGCCTTCACATTCAGGAAGCAAACTTCCTTAGGCCACTTTCTATCTCCAAAGTGGCCAACATTCACATTCAGGAAGTAAACTTCCTTAGGCCACTTTCTATCTCCAAACTCGCCAACATGGAACTACCTGGACACACACACCCAGCTGTCTCCCTCATCACACTTCTGTACAGTCTTGCGTTTCTAAGACAAGTCCACATCACAAGTGAACTGCCTTTTCAAATTTCACTAGTCTTCTCTAGCACTCTAATCCTGTTTTTCATGCAGGGGTACTTTAGGAAAACCACTACAGAGTAAAGGATAACAAGACTACTTTAAGGATGAATGCTGGACAGTTGATGAGGCTAATTTTTCTCTCTCTCCTCTTTCTTTCTCCTTCCTTCTCTTTCTCTTTCTCTCCTTTCTTTTCTCTCTCTCTTGCCCTGCCCTCCCCTTTCTTTTTTGACAAGATCTCACTATGTTGCCCAGTCTGGAGTGCTGTGGCATCTGCAGCCTCCAACTTCTGGGTACAAACAGTCCTCCCACCTCAGCCTCCCTAGTAGCTAGGACTACAGGTGGGCATCACCTCACTGGGCTACTTTTTAAAAAATTTTTTGTAGGGTCTTGCTATGTTGCCCTGGCCAGTCTGGAACTCCTGGGCTCAAGTAATGCTCCCACCTTGGCCTCTCAAGTATTGGGATTACAGGAGTGACCCACAGCACCGGTCCCAAAGCTAATTTCTGAGCTAACTTATGTGACCAACTCTTCAGTGAAAGGGATTCAAATTTGTGCCCCACCCAGTTTATATATTAGTACATGTCAGAGAACCTCTTAGTTACTCCACAACAGCAATCGAGAACATAAAAAGTACCCAAATGCCTATAAAACATGTCTAGGAAACAGGCTAAGAGTTTTGGACTCTACAGTAAAAATCTGCTCAGACACTTGCTGGCTCTCTAATTGCTGGTACCCTAGTTTCCAAGGCATCTGTAAGATGAGAGTTTTTTGTGAAGTGAGTTAATGTATATAAGATGCTGCAAAAGAACTTAATCGACATTAGCTATCACTATTACCCATGCACAAGATTTCTGAGTTTCCATATCACACTACTAAACACATTATACTAACAGTCCATTCTTCTTCCTAAAAGCAAAAATTCACTAGGTTTGTCACTGGTTAAGTCATTCCATAAAATGGGGGAAGGTACAAGGGGCTGGGAGACTGGAAGTCTGATATACCATGGTAAGAGTATAAAATGATACAATCTTTCTAAATGACAAATTGGAAATACGGATTTAAAAAATCCTAAAATTTAGCATAGGCTTTGATCCTGCAAATTCCATTTGTAGAAATTTATCCTAATGAAAATAATCTCACAAGTACATTCAGAGACATATGTAGAAGGACAGTCACTGCAGGGTTATAAGTAACCGTGGAGGAAAAATAAACAAACTAATGTCTAATAAAAATAAATTGGCTAAACCACCAGAGATCCATGACTGGGTGTGGTGGCTCACGCCTGTGATCCCAGCACTTTGGGAGGCTGAGGCAGGTGGATCACCTGAGGTTAGGAGCATGAGACCAGCCTGGCCAACATGACGAAACCCCATCTCCACTAAAAATACAAACATTAGCCAGGCATGGTGGCAGGCATGTGTAATCCCAGTTAATCAGGAGGCTAAGGCAAGAGATTCATTTGAACCTGGGAAGCGTAGGTTGCAGTGAGCCAAGATTGAGCCACTATACACCAGCCTGGGTAACAGACTGAGACTCCGTCTGAAAAAATAAAAATTAAAAAAAAAACTACCATAGATCCATAAAACGGAATATTATTTGGTTACTAAAATTGTTATAATGCAATATATATATAGGAAAAGACACTCATGACAAGATGTTAAGCAAAAAAAAAGCAGGTTACAACCATATGTATAGCAAGATCCCATTTTTGTTACCAGAAATTGTATATGAATAGCCATATGCACACACACAAAAGGATTTGAAGAAATATGTATGCAGGTAGTAGACTTACGGGTATTTCATAGTTTTCTACTTTATACTTTTCTGTATTTCAATTTTTCTACCATAAAACAATTATCTTTTTAAATACAAAGAATATTAGTTGCTCATCATAAACTATATTTTAACCTAAAAGAGATCAGGAGATTTAGTATTTATTTTCAAAACTTATATTAATACATATTTGATAGCTTATTAAATACTTTCAATGTTTAGTCTAGTCATTCAATTAAAAAAATTATACATAGTACCAAGGAGTTAGCAATAAACTTTTTTTTTTCTTTTTTTTTTGAGACAGGGCCTTGCTCTGTCACCCAGGCTAGAGTGCAGTGGCACAATCATAGCTCACTGCAGCCTTGATCTCCTGGGTTCAAGTGATTCTCCCACCTCAGCCTCCGAAGTAGCTGGGACTATAGACGCACACCACCAAAGAAACTTCTTTTTTAAGCAACAGATTTCTACTTACTATCATAAAAGTCCAGTAGTACAATAATTAAATGGGTTAGCTTTTGAGTTTTAGGTATTTTTATACACCCCAATTCTTTATCATCACTGTAACTACCATTTATTAAGTGGATGTGTCTCAAAAACTTAGGTAAGCACTTAGAAGTATGTGAACTTTATTATTACTATTTCCATGTTCAGCTGAGAAATGAGGCATTGAGAGGTTAGATCAAACTCCCTGACTATGTGTGGTCAAACACAATATTCTCCAAAGTTTGAGCTCTTAACTACATAATATCTATGGTGCCCTGTGGTGAACTCTTGAAAAGAAGGTGTAAAGGTCAAATTTTATTAGTATGAAAAGTGAAATTGGAAAACATAACAATTTTCTCTATTTGCTAGAAACCAATTTTTATAGCAGTATGTTGGACTTATGGTTTATAAAATGATATTTTGATATAAGACAATATACCAAATATAAGTTTGATATATGATTTACCACTACACTGTGACTTAAATTTACATTTTGACTCTCTAAGCAAATGCTTTGTTCTGAATCTTCTTTCTGGCTAATCACCTTGAGCACACTACGCCTGGGAAAGGCTCTCTCCTTTCTAAACTAACCAAACTTACAGAAGTCACTGGGGTATAGTGCTTGTGGCTCCTAATTTATAAAATCAGTGACTACTAAAAAAAATTTTTTTGTAATATGCTGGGCTTTAATATGCCACTAACTGATAGATTAATTTGACAAGTAACTTTTAAAAGATTGGCCTCGCTGCAATGTAATTCACGTATTCACTCAACAAATGTTTAATTGAGTTCCTCCAGGCACTGTTTTAGGCCCTGGAGGTAGAGGGGTGAACCAAAGCCTCTGCCTTCTGAAAGGTGTACGACAGGTAAAATTACGCAATCACAGTCAATTGTTTTTTATTAGCAGCCTAAGGGATAAAACTTAATCTGCTACTTGAAAAACTTTCTATCCACTTCAGGAGCTAGTCTCAGGAGATGCTCAGAGAGAAGGAAGCCAGTGGTTTCCAACTTCCCTATGCAGGAGAAATTCCTGGAGAATGCATTAACAACACCAATTCCAGGGCCCCACCTCTAGCTGTCTGATTCTGAAGCGAGGTGACAGAAACCCGTATTTATTTTTATGTATTTATTTACTTACTTACTTTTTGGACACAGGCTCGCTCTCTCTGTCGCCCAGGCTAGAATGCAGTAGGGCAATCATGGCTCACTGCAGCCTCCATCTCCTGGGCTCAAGCGAACCAGATCCTCCCACCTCAGCCTCTAGAAAAGCTGGGAATATAGGCACGAGTCACTAAGCCCAGAATATTAAAAAAAATTTTTTTTTAGAGACCAGGTTTCCCTGTGTTGCCCAAGCTGGTCTCAAATTCCTGGGCCCAAGCTATTCCTACTTCAGCCTCCCAAAGTGTTGGGATTACAAGTTTGATCCACCATGCCCAAAACCTATATTTTTAACAAGTGCCTCCATTAATGCTGATGTAAGTGATCTGAGGCCCACACTTTAAGAAACCCAACCAGTTAAGTGGAGCCATTCAGGAGGAAGTGATCATTCAGAAGGGAACAGCTCTATGGCAGAAGAATTTGAGGTGCATAATATAATCCCAACTCTCGTGTCATCAATTCTCTACAACTCACAAATGTTAGCAAATTAAAAAGATAATTTAGAGTAGAGGAATTTGGACGAAGCATGGTGGCTCATTCCTCTAATCCTAGCTCTTTGGGAGGCTGCCTAGGTGGGAGAATCGTTTAAGGTAGGCGTTTTAGACCAGCCTGAGCAACACAGAGAGACCCTGTCTCTAGAAAAAATTTTAAAATTAGCTGGGCATGGTGGCGTGCATCTGTGATCCCAGATACTCTGGAAGCTGGGGTGGGAAGATCACTGGAGCCCAGGAGGTCGAGGCTGCAGTATGCCAAGATTGCGCCACTGCACTCCAGCCTGTGACATAGCCAGACCCTGCCTCAAGAAAAAAAAAAAGGAAAGGAATTTACCAGCAGCTCCTCC